>NC_000010.11:33965671-34269953 GCF_000001405.40 Homo sapiens | reverse complement strand
AGTTCCTAAAAAAGGAAAGGTTTCTCTTATTTCAACTTTGTTCTGATTTCATAGGATTCAAGCCAAAACTCGAGAATTTAGGGAACGACAAGCTCGAGAGCGTGACTATGCTGAAATTCAAGATTTTCATCGGACATTTGGCTGTGATGATGAGTTAATGTATGGGGGAGTTTCTTCTTATGAAGGTTCCATGGCTCTCAACGCTAGACCTCAGAGCCCACGAGAAGGGCATATGATGGATGCTTTGTATGCCCAAGTCAAGAAGCCGCGGAATTCCAAACCCTCACCTGTAGACAGGTAGGCGCCAGGGGCAATCGTGGTATTGCTTCCAAATCAGCTTTTATACAGCTTCTGACAGGGGAGTAGACCATTCATCAATCCTCAAACCAGAATTGCCTTTTATTAATGGCCTTTAAAAAGCTGTTGTGTCTAAAAGTATTGAGTTTACACAAATTGAAACCTAATGGAAGGATCAGCAGAGGTTTTGATGGCTTTTCTAATGATTCCAACATATTTCATTTTGTTCTGAAGATGGTTTTATACCTGAGAACCAACCTCTACTTTATAACTCAAATAAAAAGCAAACTTAAAATTATGACTCTTCTACTTAAGTGATATGTCCTTTTATTGCTAGGAGAGCCTCTAGGTGTGGCAATTAAATAGATGGGGAATGACATGATTTGTTCCACTTATGATTTAGATGGATCACTTTTTTTTTAGGCAGCATAACTTTATATTATGAAAGAATCGGTAAATGAGAAGAATAATATAGTATAACAGATTGCTTATTAACAGCCACAGACCACAGGTCTAAATTATGTATATCAGTGTAGCACACAGGAGTGCAATGTTAACTGTATTTTTTAATTGATACATGCTATTTTACATGTTTATAGGATACATGTGAGTAATTTTTACATGCATAGAATGTGTAATGATCATGTCAGGATATTTGGGGTATTCCTCAGCTTCAGTATTTATTTATCTGTTATTTGTGTTTTATCTTATTTTATTTATTTATTTTTTATTATACTTTAAGTTCTAGGGTACATGTGCACAACGTGCAGGTTTGGTACATATGTATACATGTGCCATGTTGGCGTGCTGCACCCATTAACTCATCATTTACATTAGGTATATCTCCTAATGCTTTCCCTCACCCCTCCCCCCATCCCATGACAGGCCCCGGTGTGTGATGTTCCCCTTCCTGTGTCCAAGTGTTCTCATTGTTCAATTCCCACCTATGAGTGAGAACATGTGGTGTTTGGTTTTCTGTCCTTGCAATAGTTTGCTGAGAATGATGGTTTCCAGCTTCATCCATGTCCCTACAAAGGACATGAACTCATCCTTTTTTATGGCTGCATAGTATTCCATGGTATGTATGTGCCACATTTTCTTAATCCAGTCTATCATTGATGGACATTTGGGTTGGTTCCAAGTCTTTGCTATTGTGAATAGTGCCGCAATAAACATAGTGTGCATGTGTCTTTATAGCAGCATGATTTATAGTCCTTTGGGTATATACCCAGTAATAGGATGGCTGGGTCAAATGGTATTTCTAGTTCTAGATCCTTGAGGAATCGCCACACTGACTTCCACAATGGTTGAACTAGTTTACAGTCCCACCAACAGTGTAAAAGTGTTCCTATTTCTCCACATCCTCTCCAGCACCTGTTGTTTCCTGACTTTTTAATGATCACCATTCTAACTGGTGTGAGATGGTATCTCATTATGGTTTTGATTTGCATGTCATTTGTGTTTTAATGGCTATATATTTACTTAAAATTTTAACTGAAACAATTTTTAAACGATCTTTTCCCGCTCTTTCATTTGTATGTTCAAGCACCATGAGGAGTTTAGTTCACAAATAATCATTTCTTTTTATATCAGACATACGCATGTTATTGTCATAAATGATACACTCAGCTCATCATCTCTCATAGTGGTTTCTTATAAGTGTTGCTCTATTTAGGAACTGGGCCTTGAACATTATGAATAGCAGGTTTCATTAAAACCAGGGGCTCTCAAGCTTTAGTGTGTGTCAGAATCTCCTGGAGGGCTTCTTAAAACACACATTGATGGACTCTCCCCAAATTTTGATTCAGTAGGTCTGAGGTTGAGCCCAATAATTTGCATTTCTTACCCATGTCCAGGTTTGATGCTGGTACCATTGGTCCTGGGGATGGCACTGTTAAGAACCCTCACAAGGCTAGAGATGTACGGGAAATACTTCATCCATAGCATCCATGTGTTATTGGTTGCTACGTTTTGCACCCAGTTTCTATTTTACCTACTTCCAGTTGTTTTTAATAGAGGTTTGCAGATGCAACAGGTAACTCTTAGGCAAACCCAGGAAGAAGTATTTTTAAAAATAGCAAATGTGAAGCCAGATCTTAAGGTGAAATGCTATAGCCAGAGTATTTGGTTTGTTGCTTTGTTTTGCTTTTGTTGGGTTTTAGGTTTTCCTTATGGTCTTATGAAAATCTGTAGGTCTGTTTGATATTGACTATAATGACTGAATAATGTAAATTAACATAGGAGGCATATGGTTTATTTAGACCCCTTTGCTGTGATCACCTAGAAGGTTCACTTGCTTATTATCTAACCACAGATATGTCAGGATCCAAAGAATACAATTATTATCAGTGACAATGACATTTTCTTTAAAAGCTCTTACTTGGTTTCTGCCATACTTGTGAATGCTGCTTATAGAAGGTCAAACAGCATTTGAAGGCCATGAATGTCCCATTGGAATTGTTTTCCTGGGAGAAAGGACACCAGAATGCTGGCGTTGTCAGTTAGTAACTTTTGGAGGAAGTAAAAAAAAAAAAATTAGTTGACATATTATTGATCGTTGATAAAAGCACTCATCATTTTCAGCACCTTCCACATCCACTTTGAAAACCTGAAAAATAGTAGACTACCACGTAGCAGTTTTTCACACAGCTCAGAAGTCCCACATGACATCAAAGCCAGGAGTCAGATGGGTTCTGTCTTCCCAGCTCCTGAGGCCCAGAAGTGGTTGCTTTAAACCCCAGTTTAAATCATAGTGCCCTACAAGAGTCTAAATCTTGCATGTAAATGTCTGCAAATTTTCAGTAGCACTTACATGCTCAGAACAGCCTCTGTTTCTGGACTCCAGCATCCCCACTTGGAGTCTGTACCCTGCACTGTGCTAACCCCAAACTGAAACTCAGCCTCCTAATTTCTGCCAAAATGCACTCAGAGAAACATTCTGGAGGAGACTTTAGTCATGAGGATGAGTTACACCAAGCAGTAAGTAACTCAGAATCACATCTTAGACATTGCTGTATTCAAAAGCCCCTCTCATCCTAACTCAAGCACAGCCTCAGCAGCTGTCAGACTTACGATACTTTTATGCATTTGTGCCCCAGAAGGGTGATTAGACTAGATAATTTGTGAGATGCTTCCAACTCAGGAGAGACATAATTTATATTTTTAAGAAAAAGGACTATGGAAACTTTAGTTTTTTGTAATTATTATTTTTGCAGAGAATAAGATGTCCATTAAACAAAGATTGATGTTACTAATCCAAAAAGTTGGGAATTATCATACCTGTAAAGCACTTCTTCATCTGCCTTTAACAGGATGTGAATTTGGCTGTGATGTCATGGTATCACCTCCATTGTCTGTTCTTGTCAAAGAGAAAGCTACATAGAAAAGTGTTTCTCAGACTTGAGGAGTATAGGAATTTTTTTTTTTTATAGAAAGACAATCTCTTGGTACTGCAGTATTGAACTAAATTGTTTTGATTATAATGTTACTTAAATATGTGTAAAAATAAAATAGGACTAAACTCCTTCTGTTGACAACCATTATACAACCATAAAGCCAAACATCTTTACAAATTAAATACAAAAATGGCAAAGCCATTACCTTCAAATGAACAACATTAACTTAATGTGGCCAATAATGTTTCTTAAATCTAAACTCTTGCACAAATCATGAATATGGTGGTGGCTGCTCCATGGCAGGTTCATTTGGGTTTGTTTGCCGACCCCCACAGTCTTGCCCATCCCTTTTCTCTGTTGAATTTCTGCAGTTCTTTTGTATGTTCCTGTTCAGCAGCCTTTGGCCTGCAGCTCCCACAGGGGCATCATGTGTGCACGAAGTTCAGCCCGCTTCTGTTGTCATTAACCGGAGACAGTGAAAATAGCATTCCATCGTGCCTTCATGTGTGTAAACCCAAATTCAGACAGTGAAATGACACGCCTGTAAGAAGATCTAGAATATGCTTATACTAACGTTTTTGAAAAGTAATTATTCAAGTGGAAACATGCAACTTGGAACTCCGCAGAGATTATTTCCTGTATGAAGAATAGACACAATAGAGAAACTCCTGTCAACTGACTAAATTCCACCAAAATTTGCAATTGGTGTCCAGTGACCTTTACTATTCAAATTTTTGGATTTCATGGGAATGCAGGCAGTTGACAGTCTGATGTGTAGCCTGCATCTGTTCTGGGATTTTCATTGTTCAGTAAGGAAGCAGTGTTCTACATTTCACTGCTTAATCATTTTAATTGATCTTATAGTCAGAAATATGGATCTGGTAGCCCCACATGGAAACAGCCAGGGATGATTTATTAAATGTGGTGAATTTGGCATCAAAATGGGACATTTTCTCAATTTCCACGTATTACTTATAAAATGCTTTTTATAAGATAGCATCATGCCATGTCTAGAAATAGTCCCATGTCTGTTTGATTTTATTATAACATGAACTGTAGGCTATAGTCACAGTGTCACTGTTACTACTGTTTATTAGTGTCGTGGGTAACATTTTGATTTTTCACCTTGGATTGATGCTAAAGAGAAGCAGATCCTATCCTTGTGTTTGATATGAATAACAAGGCTTAAAACTCACAAAAATGTTGGCGTAGGCCGGGCACAGTGGCTCACACCTGTAATCCCAGCACTTTGGGAAGCCAAGGCAAGAGGATTGCTTGAAGCCCAGCGTCTGAGACCAGCCTAGGCAACAAAGTGAGACCCCGTCTCTACAAAAATAAAAATAAATTAGCCAGGCGTGGTGACATGCATCTACAGTCCCAGCTACTCGGGAGGCCAGGGCAGGAGGATCACTTGAACCTAGGAATTTGAGGCTGCAGTGAGCTATGATTGCACCACTGCACTCCAGTCTGGGCAACAGAATAAGATTCTGTCTCTTAAAAAAAAAAAAAAAAAATCCCAGTTTTTTTCTGGCTAGCAGAGTGCCTAGCTAAAAGTTTCCCAGGCTCCCTTGCATTAAGAGGTGACCATGTGACGTAGTTCTGACTCCTAAGTGAGGAGTGTACCTAGAGTGGGGACTTCCTATAAAGCTAGTCTTTTCCTGAGTGAAATGGGGCTGACTCATTTTGTCCTTTACCATTTTCCCTGATTCTAAAGTTGTAGGCTACATGAAGGAAGAGGATAGCAGTCTGGTCCTGTGAGCAGCTCTTCTAGTTCTTATCACCTGTGAAAAGTGAATTTGTTACGTGTTTAAGTTACCTGCAATCAGGTTTCTATTTCATGAAGCCAAAAACCGTTCTGAATACAGATGCTTCTCAACTTTCAATGGTGTTCGGTCCTGATAAGCTCATTGTAAGTTGAAAATAACATATTGGAAATGCATTGAATACGCCTCACCTACCAAACATCGTGGGTTAGCTAGCCTACCTTAAACATGCTCAGAACACTTACATTAGCCTACAGTTGGGCAAAATCATCTGTTCTAACATGAAACCTATTTTATAATGAAGTGTTGGATATCTTGTACAATTTATTGAGTACTGTACTAAAAATGAAAAATAGATTGGTTGTGTGGGTACTCAAAGTATGGTTTCTACTGAATAGTTAGCACCTTTGCACTATCTAAAGTTAAAAATCTTAAGTTGAATCATAGCAAGTCCGGGACCATCTGTATAATGAATTGTGCACAGAAGAGCCCAAAGGGAATCATTGTCTTTTGATCAAGATTGTGTATATTTTAGAGAACTATCCCCTGGTCAAATAATTTCCACAATATTTTGTGAAATTAAGTAATGAGCAGTATTCTCCAGTGTTGCTCAATTAGCTCTTCTGCCTTTCATTTTGTTATGCATCTAATTAAAGAAATGTTACCAATCAAATGTCTGCCAGCAGCTAGTCTTCTTAATTCTTTAAGACACTGCTATCCTCTGATAACTCCTATTTCCACCAACAATCCTGCTATAAAGTAAGAAGCAGTTGAGTGTAACGTACAAGAGAATGAACTATGGAGCCAGAATACTTGAGTTTGATCCTGGGCTCTTCTTTTTTTTCTTTGAAACAGGGTCTCACTCTGTCACCTAGGCTGGTGTATGATTTGGACTCACTGCAGCCTCAACCTCCTGGGCTTAAGCAATCCTCCCACATCAGCTTCCTGAGTAGCTAGGACTACAGGCATATGACATGATGCCCAACTATTTTTTTTTTATTTTTTGTACAGATGGGGTCTCACTATGTTGCCCAGGCTGGTCTCAAACTCCTGGGCTCAAGTGATCCACCTGCCTCAGCCTCCCATAGTGCTGGGATTACAGGCGTGAGCCACCGTGCTCTTCTTCCTGGGCTCTTCTGCCATCAGCTGTGTAAAGTCTCTGCTTCACTTTCCTCATCTATAATATGGGGATAATAATGGTACTTGCCTCATTAGGTTTGGGAAGGATTAACTGTGTTAATGACATATAAAGCACTTCACACTGAGCATGGTCTGTAGTAAGCACTATTTGTTTGCTGTTGCAACTGTTACTTAGGAAATGGGCTTTTACTCTCAGGAAAACACATATGCTTTCAGCATCGCCACATAGGTGCAGAAACAAGCAAGGAATGAAATTGAAATCAATAAAGACAGGTTTGATTCTTTATACTTAACATAGATATAGGAGTGTGGGAATGCAATTCTGCTGATGCCACTTCCTTCATTAAATAGCTTGGTCTCCTAAGTATTCTCCATAAATTACATCACATCATGAACTGTTTCCCTTTAAATTAGGAGTTACTGAATTCAGGATAAGGCATTCCAGATGGCTTCTATAATATAAATATTTAGAATAGAGTAAATGCTGGGTAGCATGAAATGTCTTATTTGAGAGTGACAGGTGGGTCATGGTATAAGGACCTGACCTCTCAATCAATTTCAGCCTTTGGTTTGGTAATTTGAAGGTTTTCATTTTGTACTTGCATGAAATTCTTTGAAGTTCCTCATGGTTTGCTTTCATAAAATTCTTACTGAGTCTGAGTTTGCAATACTCCATGGAAATAGGGCAGCTTGAACGTCTCAAACCTTGTCTAAAATGTTGGCATTTCTGTTTACATCAAGTTATATCTTAGAGGGACAGGCAAGCCTGAATCATGATCTTAAGAACTGTAAAGGCTAGGCACAGTGGCTTACATCTATAATCCCCACATTTTGGGAAGCAGAGATGGGAGGATCACTTGAGGCCAGGAGTTCAAGACCATCCTAGACAACACAGCGAGATGCTGTCTCTTAAAAACACTAAAATTATCCGGGCATGGTGGTCACACACCTATAGTCCCAGCTACTCAGGAGGCTGAGGTGGGAGGGTTGCTTGAGCCCAGGAGTTTGAGGCTGCAGTGGGCCATGATCATAGCACTGCACTCCAGAATCAGTGACAGAGTGAGACCTCGTCTCTAAAAAATAAAAACATTTAAAAAAAAAAACCGTAATAGGCTTTGTTCTAAAACAGTGGTTTTTCTAATTTAAGCATATGTAGAAAGACCCTGGAGCACTTCTTACAGATCCTGACCTCCCCTCATAGATATTTTGATTCAGTAGATGTAGTTGACTACAAACCCACATTTTTACCAAGTACCCCAGTTGACTCTGATGCAGCCATCCTTTGGAAAATATTACTCTTGGGCTAATAAAAAAACAGTTTGGAACTCCAGTATGAGTTAGTTTGTTACTGTTAACAGTGAAGCTGTGAAATAATTTATCATTTCTGTCAGACACAGCTTTATCCTGGCATTTATAATGTCCATTGTTCATCTATGATCAAATAATCATTTTGTTTAAAAGGTCATCTTGCAGGTGTCATATTCCTAAACTGCATTCTGTCCAGTGTGTGTGTGTTTGTTTGTTTGTTTGTTTCTTTCTTTCTTTCTTTCTTTCTTTCTTTCTTTCTTTCTTTCTTTTCTTTCTTTCTTCCTTCCTTCCTTTCTTCCTTCCTTTCTTCCTTTCTTCCTTCCTTTCTTCCTTTCTTCCTTCCTTTCTTCCTTTCTTTCTTTGAGACAGAGTCTCACTCTGTTGCCCAGGCTGGGGTGCAGTGGTGTGATCGTGGCTCACTGCAGCCTCAGCCTCCTGGGTTCAAGCAATTCTTCTGCCTCAGCCTCCTGAGTAGCTGGGATTACAGGCACGTGCCATCATGCTTGGCTAATTTTTGTATTTTTAGTAGAGGCAGGGGTTCACCATGTTGGCCAGGCTGGTCTCGAACTCCTGGCCTCAAGTGATCCACCCACTTTGACCTCCCAAAGTGCTGGGATTACAGGCATGAGCCACCGTGCCCAGCCCCTGTTCAGTGTTTCTTGACACCAGAAAGTTTCTTTTCCTATAGGTTACACAATTCTAATTTGGAAAGTTTAGTACACTTTAAATTCTTAACAAAGAAATCATAAAATCCTGGTCAATAATGTTTTTTTTATTTGCTTGAAGACACCATGCAATTTGTATTTTTATATCCAGAGACCAGAATCTGTAGTTAAATATTCTACAGAAAGACAGCTTTAATGGACATTTGCTGACTGTCACTATGCAATCATTTGCCACCAGGAGTGCATTGTCCTCAAATATAATGGGAATAAAATACGAACTGTGTCACTATAAATCTAAATAGCAAGAAAATAGTAGGCTAGACTCCCCCTGCTTGCTGAGGACACCTTAATGGAAACATAAATACCATAATCACATGCTTTTTGCATGCATTTTACCACTAAAGAGAAAAATGTCGATTTTAAAAGAAAAGACCTTTGTGAACTTGTTTCCCCTCCCGTTAAAATCAGAATCCGGTTGCGTCAAAGGGAAGCCTGGCAAACACAGAACAAAACTAATTTTCTTAGATATAGGCACTTATTAAACATGTGCTCTTTTAGAAATGTTGGGTCATATAACAAAGTTGTATTTGCTACTGAAAAAGTCAAATACCACTTTATTTATGTTTGCTTAGTATTACTTACCTCTGCTTTTCTTGAAATGTGAGAAAGTAATTCTCGAAGGTAGTCAATCTCATTGTAATGTGAGTTCTGCAAGTTGGTGCCTTTGCTAATTAATGTGCTCCATCCAACCTGGGCCTGATCTCAGTGTCCTTGGCTGTCTACTAATATCTCTGGCCTTGGCTAGCTCCTTCTCCATTCATGTTAGCAACTCTTCCAAACTTTGTTGGTCCCTTCAGCACAACTCAGCTCCAGACCTCTAGCCCATCCACATCTGTGCCTGGGCCACTTGCCTCTCCTTA
This sequence comes from Homo sapiens, assembly GCF_000001405.40. Lineage (NCBI taxonomy): Eukaryota > Metazoa > Chordata > Mammalia > Primates > Hominidae > Homo > Homo sapiens. The sequence continues at coordinate 34,260,465 of NC_000010.11, read as the reverse complement.
ATAGCTGAAGATCACCTTTCCTCCTTCCAGGCCAGCTCTCTAAACAGTCTTCCAGATCCCAGCCCCACCACTTCAAGGCACCTGCTCCGTCAGTGTCTCCTCTGAGCCCCTGTCTTCAGCCTCTGCCTTTCTACTGGAACTTCCATGTAAACATGTTAATGTCTACCATACTGTTTAAAAAGAAAAAAATTGGCCAGGTGTGGCAGCTCACGCCTGTAATCCCAACACTTTGGGAGGGTGAGTCTGGAGGATTGCTTGAGCCCAGGAGTTTGAGGCCACTTTGGGCAACATGGCGAAAACCCATCTTTACAAAAAATTTAAAAATTAACTGGGCATGGTGGTACCCACCTGTAGTCTCAGCTACTTGGAAGGCTGACATAGGAGGATTGCTTGAGCCCAGGAGTTCGAAATCAGCCTGGGCAACACAGTGAGACCCCGTCTCTACAAAAAATAAAATTACCTGGGCATAGTGGCACCTACCTGTAGTCACAGCTACTTGGGAGGCTGAGGCAGGAGGATCATTGAGTCCAGGAGTTCGAAGCTTCAGTGAGCTATGGTTGTTGTACCAATGTTCTCCAGCCTAGGCAACAGAATGAGACCCTGCGCTCCAACCTGGGCGATAAATGAGATTCTGTCTCTCAAAAAGAAAAAAAGAAAAATTCCCTTTTTACCATCTAGCTATTTGCTTCCCTATTTTTCTACTTCACTTCTAATTCAGACTTCTTGAAGGATTATTAATACATTTGATGTAGATTGCCATATCTTCTCTCCCACATCTCTGGTTCATTCCTCTCGTTGTATGATGGGCATGATAATGCTTCCCCAAAGATGCCCACGCCCTAATTTCTGGAACTTGTGAATGTTATCTCACCAGGTGAAAAGGACCTTCAAATGGGGAGGTTTTCCTGGATTATCCTTTTGGGCCCAGTGTAATCACAAGGCTTTATCAGTGAAAGAGGGAATCAGAAGGGGCAGAGTCAGGAAGGAACTGAAGCTGCTGCCCTATTGACTGAAGTCAGAGGAAGGGACCATGAGCCAAGGGATGCAGGTGGCTTCCAGTAGCTGGAAAAAAAGCGAGGAAGCAGATTCTCCCCTCGAGCCTCCGGAAGGAACTTGGCTCTGCCAACACCTTGATTTTCACCCAGTTGAAACCCATTTCAGACTTCTGACCCCCAGAACTATAATATAATAAATGTGTGTTGTCTCAAGGCAATACAGTTGTGGTGATTTGTTGCAGTACCCATCGTGTATTTGTTTCCTAATTGCTTCCTAGAAGCATGATTCAATGAAACTTGAGTGCTTTGCATTCTAGATTACTCTGTGGCATTCCTGAAACTCTGTTCTCTTTGTTTTTGTGGCACTGCTTTCCCCTTCCTTTGAAACTATCCTTTTTTTTTAGAGACAGAATCTTGCTCTGTCACCCAAGCTGGAGTCAGTGGTGCAATTATAGCTCACTGCAACCTCAAATTCCTGGGCCCAAGCGCTTCTCCCACCTCAGCCTCTCGAGTAGCTGGGACTACAGGTAGGTGCCACCATGCCCAGCTAATTTTATTTTTTGTAGAGACGGAGTCTCACTGTGTTTTGTAGACATAGGGTCTTGCTATACTGCCTTGAACTCCTGGGTTAAGCGATCCTCCCACCTTGGCCTCCCGAAGCACTGAGATTGTAGATGTGAGCCACTGTGTCCTTTTGAACTATTCTTTAGATGTCTCTTTAGAGGTTCTATTCTACTTTTTCCTCTTAGGTTTTGGATTTCCTAGGGAAATAGCTCTGGACCACTGCTATTTCCTATGTGTTTTTCTTGGTTAAGGTTTTCACTACCATTAGGCATAATGATGCCTGATCTCACTAGCCCAGTTCTCTCTTTATAAGCCCCAGATTTCTCCAGCACCACCAGCTGGGAATGCACATTTCCTGTGCCTATCAGTCACCTGATCCCAACTGATCTAAAACAGAATTCATCATTCTTCATTCTAAACCTCCTCTAGTTTCAACAGCCTAATCTCAGCAAACGCAATCACAACCCACACATCTCAAGCCAGAGCCTTTCTTTTGTAGCCTGCTCCCCCCGATAACAGTCAGAGACAAAGCCCTACCAATTTGCCATTACAAGTAATTCCACATCCTTCTCTCCTTCTGTCGTGCGGCCCATGGATACTGATGGTCGTCTCCTGACCCCTCTCCCATCTCCAGTCTTGTTCTCCACAAGTCCGTATTTCACCCAGTACCTGGAGTTTTGTACCTGAAACAAAATATGACCATGTCATTCCCTTGCTTAAAATAATTCTGTGGCTTATTGTCTCCAAGATGCAGTCTAAGCCCTCAGTATGGTGTTTACGGGCCTGTAAGACATCCAATCTCAGGCTAATTATATCAGACTGTGTCATATTGGTTCACATCATACTATAGGATCAGTTTAAAAGGATAAATCCAATTGCATCTAATACATGGGTGAATTACGTGGCTCTTTGGTGTTATACATTTTGCAAATGTTAAATTTTGGTGAGTTAAAAACAAGCAATCACCATCCATTAAGCTATTCTAATATAGTTAGAGATGCAGCAATGAAATTAAAGGCTGAGGTGACATAAAACACCCAACAAATGAAATCTTGAAAGTAATGAAGCCATAAATAAGGTCATGGCTAATTTTAAAGACTTCTTGTTTAATTCTTTTTGTTGATTAACATTGCCCGAAACCACAATTTGTTTGTAGAAGTAATGTGTAATGGGGGTTGTTTATTTATGTATTTATTTTAGCCTTAGAGGAAGTTTAAATATTCTGCAGAAATGTGGGGATAAATGAAAGCTGTTTTAGACTTTGGTCGTTAGCAGGCAAATAATCCTCCAGCAGAGTATCTGCATTTTTGTTTTAATGTCTTTCCCTTCATAGACCACTGAACTTTTAGGTCTTTAAAGAGATTTTAGGCCATTCCATGATCAAAATCTCCTGGAGCTGCCTGGGATTTCTTTCAATTTTAGCCTTCTAACAAAAGCTCCAAGATCCTGCTTCATGTGCAATTTGGCACGATAACTCATCTTTTTATTTTGACCTAATCACTTGGTTCTCCTGTCCTTTAGACAGTACAAACCCATGGCTTCAAGTACCAATCTTGTTGGTATTTTGTGATCTTAAGTTTGTGTTATTTTCTTCCTTGCTCCTGCATAAGGATGGAATATCAATCAACTATTAATAAAAATTCATGAGGATTTATGTGGAGTCCCATTGTGAGATGCATTTTCAACTTCTTGGGAGACTTTATCGAGCCCTAAATCCGCAATCCAGTTTTAAATTAACTTCCCAGATGTTCTAGAGCTTTTCCTTGGGTACCCTAAGTCCTTGGTGTAAATAACTATTTGATTACTTTCTTTCTCTTGTTGTTTCATGTCTTCTTCCATTTTTTCCCCAATTGGTTGATTTTGTGTAACTAAAGGAGATGCAGTAGTTGATTTTAAAAGATACCTGTTTTCTTTTCCAATCAAGCAAGTTGAGATATCCTTAGTATTTTTCATTAAAACAGGTGTGTACATAGAAATGTGAAAATTATAAACTTTCTGTATCGTTACAGAACAGAAAGTAACTAGATAATTCATTTGTTCTATGGCTATGTAATAACTATTTTGAATATGCATTTCACATTGCATAAAATGGACTCCAATGTTAGAGTGAATTAATGTAGATTGTTGTATATATACATTTCTGTAAAACTGACAGATATTTTTAAACTGAATTTTCTGTATCAGTTTATGCCTTTCATTACTAGTTCTATTCCATAGACTATATAGGGGGTCTTGGGTTGACTCTTTGAGAATACAGGGATTTGAAAATATTTGTTCCTAAAACAAAATGCTTTGGGACCAGGTAGTTGCCTCCAAGGTGATTCCTTTTGGTGAGGTGGGTGGATGTCTCTTGCAGCTTAACTGTTTTTACAGACTATAAATGTAAATTAAATATCACTTACAGGCAAGAAACTGATCTTAGCCTGAGACTGCACTTCCTTATCACCTTTGTTTTAACTGAAAGTCCTGATTGTCTCCGAGAGAGGCCAGCCTGGCCCTGCTCCGGCTGTGGTAACCTTGCCAGGGTTTGGGGCCTGACCAAGTGTGGAGCAAACGACAGAGCAGAAGCCCATGGAGCTCAGCTCATGACCAAAGCTGCAGAGTGTCCAGATGAAATGGTGAACACCAAGTTCATGAGGCCAGAGGATTCCCTGATGTGCACAAATTCGGACAAAAGCTTCAGTACTTGGAATTGATTGATAATGTCCATCTAAGTAGAGGAAATGATATAAAGTCTGAATTAGTGAATAATTAGCGAATATGTTGAAAGATATGATATTCCGAACTTTAAAGTGTATCCAGCAACTCAGATGAAATGCTTACACTGCTTCAGTTAGTAAATCTTTATTTTTTAAACTCTATTATAGGTTGTTTTTAATTCCAATTTTGAAATCAGATTTGCTTACATTTTGTTTTGATGTGATTCATGTGTTGATTCCAACACCATTGGAATAAAAAGTAGTTATTCTAAGTTCCCCTCAAATGAATCCCCCTAAAATCTTATTTATACTACAAATGTATATAGAAAAATGTACTTAATAGTGGAAAAGTACGTTTCTTTATAAATTTTCAAAAGCTACAAATAGTGGCGTGTAAAATAATTATAAATCACCTCTGTGAAAAATACTGCTTTAGTTTCATGTTGACTTCATATAATTCTGGAATTGTGAAAATATATTTAAAAATAAGAGTTTGTCGTCTTCCATGAAGAAAAGTGTTATTTAAAAGGAAAAAAGTTTGCCATTTCAGAACTTACTGATGATCATGACCTGGAAACAGTTCCCTCCAGATAAATCTGCATGACAACCACCTAACAGATATCTTTTTCCTCTTTTCTCTGGCCTCTGCTTTGATTACTTAACAGGTCATTCATTACCAGGCAGAAAGTTTGAAAAGCAGTAATTTTTTAGTCTTCTGAAAGTTATATAATACACTGAACCTGTATCAGGTACTTAGAAGGCAGTGCAGTGGTAAAATAAAAATTTAACTCCAAGTTTGTTTTTAATTCTATTATTACCTAGGATTTTTAAAGAAGGGAAGGGCAGGATGCAAATGGAATTGGGGTGTGCTGAGGTTGTAGAGGACCAGTTGAGCAAGGTACAGACAATACAACTCCAAGGGGTGCTATAAAACTATAGCGTGGATTGGAACACTTCCGGTGATTTTTTTTCTGGCAGTTGGCAGCCAAGTGTCTTGAGGAATGAGGGTTTTCTCTGTATTTCACAAAGTCACTGTGTGGTCTGTGGCAGAAAGGAGGGAGATCTAAAAAATGATTTAAATCGTAAATTATTAGAATTTGGTTGCAACAGAATTTGTGGGGGAGGGTTTTGGGGGTTTTGCAAGCTATTAGCATAATTTAAAAAATACCTGCTTTGTAACAAAAACTAAAGCTGATTGAGGTTACAGACTTCTAGTTATTCTTTTCCTTCTATTTCCTTCTTTCCTTTGGTCTGTATGTTTCAGCCCTGTGAAATAGTCAAGGGTTTAAAGTCTTTGCACAAGCCCAGAGTTCTTGTACACATCTGTCTGTCAGTGTATCTGGCAGCCTTTGTGACTGATTACTCACTTCCCCACAATTTGACTGTGGGCCAAGAATTGTGGTAGGTGCCTGTGGTAGGGATGGAAATGAATAAGACCTATTCACCCCTCAGGGTCACCCCACCTGGTATCACATAGCAGACCACACTCAATACATTGTGTACAGAGTGATAAGAATTAAATAGGATGCTAAGGAGACTGACTCAGGTTGAGGAAGGATGGGCTTCTAAGGGGTGATGTGCTTGAGCTGCATCCTGAATTCCTAAATGGGAAAGAGCTAAATTTTTATACACACACACACACACACACACACACACACACACACACACACGTTTACCTACCTAGATGTTAATACTCACCTTTCATCACTATTTTTAAATGTTGATTACACAATTACAATGACAAAAAGAGAGATCATAGATGTTATAACAAATGTAACTTTATCTTAATTTTTTTGTTTGTTTTTGTTTTTGTTTTTGTTTTTGTTTTTGAGACAGAGTCTTGCTCTGTCGCCCAGGCTGGAGTGCAGTGGTGCGATCTCGGCTCACTGCAAGCTCTGCCTCCTGGGTTCACGCCATTCTTCTGCCTCAGCCTCCTGAGTAGCTGGGACTACAGCACGTGCCACCATGCCCAGCTAATTTTTGTATTTTTAGTAGAGATAGGGTTTCGCCATGTTGGCCAGGCTGGTCTCGAACGCCTGATCTTGTGATCCACCCGCCTTGGCCTCCCAAAGTGCTGGAATTATAGGAGTGAGCCACCACTCCCGGCCTTAAAATTTTTTTAGTTTGTTTGTATTCATCAGGTACAAGTGCAGTGTTGCTACATTGGTATATTATATTGTGGGAAGTCAGGGCCTTCAGTGCACCCATCACTGGAGCAATGTGCGTGCTGTACCCACCGAGTAACTTCTCATCATCCAGCCCCCTCCCACTCCCACGCTTCCAAGTCTCTGCTGCCCGTCATACCACACTCTGCTTCTGTGTGTCCACATTATTAAGGTCCCACTTATGAGTGACAACATGCTGACCTAGTTTTGACAGACAGGGGACCTAGTTAAGGTACTGGATTTATATCTTCCTGGTAAATATTAAATATGATGAACACTTTACTGTGAAAGTTCCTAGATACCTCTTGCCCTGAAAAGCCACTGGCAGACAGCTGTGTCTTCTCTGAGTGGTCGTCTGATTCTTTGAAACTTTCTATGATATTTCAGCAATTAAGGATTGCTTAGCCTCTACACTCATGGTGTCCTGAAACCTCAGGTAGCTGAGGCCTTAAGACCTGCGGGATAATGAGGGAGAGCCAGGCCATGAAGAGATGCTGCAGACCCTCCAAGGTAGCAACCAGATGGCTTCTAGGCCTCAGGTACCGTGGCTCATCACTGTGGGTGGTGATTGTGACTGTATGGATCAGTTCCAGAGTAGGTCTGTCAGAATATCAATGTCTTTAATATAGTTTTAAGCATTTGAAGAATTTAACATTCTTGGTTTGGCCATTCATGACTGTGAATGACACATGATTTACAGTATTGCTAGGGCCTGTAGGCTTTGCTGGAGCATGAGGGGTTAAAGAACTAATGTGAGTCAAGGACAGTATCTGTTGCGCACCTACTTGACACAAACTACTTTACTAGGCCATTTCAGATACACAGACAAATGTCGTAAAGTAATGATTGAGTCCACACCTTCCTTCTGATATTTATTTGTAAGGAATTTTATTTGCATCTGGGAGAGTTCCATTAGTCTCTCTTTGTAACAGACAAATCTAAAACCTACTCCCACAGTTTCTTGTAAAGACCAGCACATCTTTGAATTGTCTTGGTTTTTTAATAAGATTTCCAGCTTTTATACCAGATCAAGGCAAACTGGATGTAAATATAGCGTTATCCTTGCTGAACACTGTTGCAGACCAACAGGTTCACAGTTTCCTACATCCTACCCATTTATAACTGAAACAGTATGTCAGTTGATTTTTAAAAGTGCAGGTGGTTTTCTGATCGTTCACTATGATTTCCTTTACAGCAAGGGCATGAGAGCACCATTTCCCCACTTTTATATCTAGTCCGTTCTTGAAAATGTGTAACAAATGACTATGCATATATATATATATAGACATACATACACACATACACATATATATAAAGTTATATATATACACACACATAAACATATATATTCACAGAAGTTGTGTTCTCAGAATAATAGTAAAATAAACAATGATGCTTCATGCAGGCACTGGTGATAAACTCCACTGTGTCGGGATGATCCAGGGCTGAGACACAGATCAGCAAGGGCCGCTGCCATTTCCCTTTCAGATCACTGTAGAGACAGGTGTGTGCAGACAGGAAGCACCCTTTTCCATTAACTGTCTCTCCTGACCCCTCTCTGGACTCTGCCAGCGCTTGCCCATGGCCATCAGGGTTAAGTTTGCCTGTGTGGCTTCCAAGGAGAGCAACGGGGAAGGGAGAGGAAGGACGAGGAGATAACAAGTTGGTTGGCAGCCCAGGCAAATTCTGGGACGTCACAGGAGCCTCAGTCCTTAGGAGGGAGTGAGTCAGAGGTGCTTCTGCATGGAATGTCACACTCTCAGGAGCACACACCTGTAGGGACCTCAGCTGCCTCTGAGGGGCCTGGCTCTGTCCCCAAAGCACAGCAGCTGGGGGCAGGCAGGCAGCACCACCACGCAGTGACTGGTGTTAGTTGACGTGACCACACGCAGGTAATTTAAAAGTGCAGCTCTCCCCTCCCCCTCCCCAGCACACCCTGACTCCCTTCCCTGCCTTCTTTTTCTTGCTAGTCCTTATGGCATTATGATGCGGCATAAATGCACTTTAAAAATGTTATCATCCGTCTCCTCCAACTAGAATGAAGTTGCATTTTGGAGCGGGGCAGGGGGTGTTGTCTGTTGTCTGTTTCATTCACTGCTGTATTCCAAGTTCTACCACACAGACATTCAAATATGTTCAATAAATTAAGGAATGGATAAACCAAACTCCTCATCAGCACAGCAAAGACAGTTTATGGGATGTATGTGTGATAAGACTGTAAGCTGTGTAGGAGCAGAGAGAGCCTGTTTTTAGAAAAGAAACCTGGAGTTTCTGTCAGCAAAATGCAGTTAAACATTTTAAGTGTTAAAGTCCCTTTTGCTTATTGTATGTTAAACTTATAATTCTTGTAGGTTTCTTAGAACTTGTATAGTTTTGAGAGAGAGAGAGAGGGGGAAGAGCAAAAGAGGATTTGATACAACACCATACCATAAGATGATAAGGTAAGATGTGATGTAGGTATTTTTAAGAGCACAGGCTCTGAAGCCAGCTTAAGTTCACATCCCAGCTCTGCCATTTAACCTTCTGTGCCTTACTTCTTGTATCTGCAAAACGGGGATAATAACACTTACCTCACTGGGGTTTTTTTGTGAGCATGACATGAATGACTACATGTAAGGCACTTTGAACACTGCCTGGCACACAGAGCAGTCCCATAAATGTTAGTTGCTATTGTTCGTATGATGCCACCACTACCATCACCGTCGTCTTTGTTCTTGAGTTCTAAGGGCATTTCAAAGCTAAAAGGTTTGCCACAGAGATTGTTTTTGCATGGGTATGATATTGGATTCTGTATCTTATTTTTAGCATCTTTTATGTGTAAACACCACTTAAGTTAGATTTGTCACCTTTGTATTTCATGATACAACTGATGTCTGTACCTCTTTACCTTACATACTGCTGCTAAAATGGGCATGGTTATGGACATTTGATTAATTTCTGTAATTAGGAAGCGTCTTAATCTTTAGTAATTTGGTATAGTATTTCACTTGAATAGCTAAAGATTAATTTCCATAACAGGAGACTAAGGTGAAAGAGGTTTATGATATTAGAGGATGTGATTGAAGATCGTGCAGGCCTCAGGCCTGGAGTCAGATTCTCTCAGAGCTTGTGATGCAACCTGGGTAATTCTCACTCTTAAGAGAGAACTGCTTTCCTCCTGGAAGTGTGGAGGGGAATGATAAGGCCGTCTTCAATAGCTGTATGATATATTTAAATAAAATCTGCCATAGAATTGCATAATATTAGTATTATAAATGCCTTGTATCATTATATGATAATTAAAATAAGTTCTATGTTAATAAATATGTAGTGTACTATTATTGATGTTTGCTTTATGGTAAACAGGAAACATCTTGAGTGATTTTTTTTTTTTTATTTCCAGCTTGGAAATGATAAACAAAATCTGAAAAGGGGCTTACTTTTTTTTCTTTTATTACTGAGTATGTCTGTTTCTGGCACATTTTTTCCACTTACCTGGGTCAACTACATACATATCTCCTAAAATGAAGTCTCTGTATACCCAAGGGTAGCTAAATGCCCGTCAAGGAATAAATGAATGCATTTGAGTTGTTTTAATTAGCTAGGTATGATTTAAAGGTTGCTGAAATCAAAAAGCCTTATTCATTTTTCATCAATAATCACTTACCTTAATATTTCATTAGAACCTGCTGATTTGCAGACTCCTTCTGGGCTTTGATTCATTATGACTGCAGACATAATTTAACTTTCTCTCTTTTTCTCGTTCTGTATTATGCTCTTTCATCTCTGAGACACTATTAAGATGTTTCCAGCATTCAGAAGGCTGCTAATTGATCCAACTTTTTTTTTCTTTTTTTAACTGTACTTAAAGCTAAGAGTTCTAGGCTGTGGAAAGCTGTGTGTGTGTGGAGGGGGAGCAGTTTTCTTTAATTCTTTAAACAGCTGATAATAACGTGTAAATTTTCTATTTCATATGTTCCAAGAATTAGGATGGACTTATTGTATGCAGCAGGCAGGAAGTACATAGTTTGGCCACATTCTTAAGAGTATGCCATCAATTGGAAAGAACAAAGCATCTCGTGTGTGGCATGCTCACCAGATGAGATTGCTATCCATGCATATACCTTATTTTCAAAATATTTCTCTAGTTGCTTTAGATGCAGCCTAGCATGTGGCCTCGGATGTGCAGCGTGCCTGGTGGACTCAGGTAGTGACTGCTATCCCAGGCATCTGTGCTGCCACCTAGGGAGTATGGCTCTCATGCGGAGAAGTTGAGAGATGGGCCCTCAGATTAATAGGATGCTTGTGCAGAAAAGAGCCATTCTTCTTCTTAAACTGTGCCTTTATATGAATGATCAGATCAGAGCCAGAGACAGACCATACAGGGTGGGGGACATATGGTTGGAACTTCTTAAAAGCCAAAATTCCAGGCACCTGTCTTTAAACACAGTTATATCTTAGTTTTTTGGGGGAGAGTAGCTAATCTAAAACTTAAAAATATACCCAGCACGGACTGGAATTCTGACTGGCTGATGCTGGCAATGAGAAAAGAAAATAGATAAATGTGTAAATAGGTATTTTTCATTTCTTCCAGATTATGAAATGCTGCATGTCTGTCTTTTATAACCATGTTAAATGGTTTGTATGAAGTGCATATTATTAACTTTCACTAGCTGTGCCAGTTTTGATGCCGAGTAAAAATTCCTAAATGTTAAGGAATAAATTTGTGTCCTTAAAAGCTTGGTAAATGCAGGCTGAGCATGCTGGCTCATGCCTGTAATCCCAGCACTTTGGGAGGCTGAGGTGGGAGGATTGCTTGAAGCCAGGAGTTTGAGACCAGCCTGGGCAACATAATGAGATGTCTACTGTTAAAAATTAGAAATGAAAAAATTTGGTAGATGTAGATGTATATGTATTCAGAAGTGTAAGTATATTCATTGGACTAGACCTTTTATTAACTTATTGATACTTTCCAGGAAACGTAATGCTGGTCTCCCTTACCACTAGATTTCTGTTTCAAACACAAGTCTAAAAAAAATTAAGGAGCCACCAATATAAATATCTACTGATGGAGAATTAAAAGAACTCTTATGTGTTAAGAGATTTTAACCACCATTTAAAATTATCAATCCCCGGTTAACTAAGGCTGCTCTTCACATTTTGCTTACCTTTGGAATATTTATTGATAGTGCTTTCTAACACTTTGTGTGTGTGTGTGTTGGAGTTAACATGGCTTGCTTTGTGTGAGTATGAATTTTAATACTATTCTTTGTTTATGATGATCTTCAGGATTCTGGAAGAAGTTTTCAGTATAGACTGTCTCTTCATTGGGCCTTAACTTTGTGATCTCAGCCTGCCTTTGCGGCTTCACAGCCATTTTTCTACCTGTGTGTGCAGGTGTGTGCTGGTGCTGGGAGGTGCTATTGTAGACAGAGCATGAGGCATTGGATTCAGATCCTGGCTCTGCCACTTAACTTGGATGTTGGGCAAGTTATCTGACCTCTGTGAGCCTCATTATATTCATCTGTATTTCCATTTTTTTGTCCTATTGTTAGACCATATGTCAGCTGTGTCCTGATTTTTATATTTAGAGAATATGTTCTTGCCATGCATCATGATCTGTGTTAGAAGCTATTGGGGTTGAAAGAGAAAAACAGATTCAATTTCTGATAGTAATGTTCTTCCAGTCTTTTGGGAGATAACAGACGGACTTAAATAACACCACCAGTTTTATTGACCATGCTGTTTATTTTAATAGCTAGGCCAGAATGGTTTGATTGACTTTTGAAAAATCTGGTATTTTTTTTTACCATATGGACAAGGCCATATCTGGAGTGCCAAGCTAATAAGCCTTCTTTTCTCTGCCAGTGAACCATGAAAGTTGTTAGCAAAATGTTTTATCTTGAATTGATCCATTTTCCAAGCTCTTGGTGATATAAACACCCATCTTAAGGGATAAAATGCAGATTATCTTTCATCAGTCATTGGAAATTTGTTGCATTAAAGAACTGTAGGCAACTGGTATGTGAAATGATCTAGAAAGGAATGTACCTAGTGTGGTTGGGGATGCCTAAAAATGTGTAGGACTCCCGTAAATCAGTTACTTATCAGTACAAAGCACAGGTCACATTATTTTGAATGATGTTGTAATACTTGAACGTAAAAAATGGGAGTATAGTAGTACTTAATTGTAACATTTTTCTTAAACAGTTAAGGTTTAAAGGAAGATGACCGTACTTTTCCGATTATTAACAAAAGGTCCAATGTATACACCATTCTGAGTCAGAATACCACCAATTTCTGTGTCTAGCAATGAAACAATGTAACCAGTATTAGTTGTCTTTCAATCTAATCAGTGAATTAAGTATTCATTCCATCCCAAGCCTCCTTGTTACCATCAAAATATTTGTATCTTTCATTTCTCTCCTCTTTATGTTCCTGTTTTTCTTTATGTTCTTTAGCATGTATTTGAAGCATCTTTTTAAAAATTCTTTTTCCTCTGATTCTATCATCACTGTCCTTTCTGGGTCTGTTTTTGTGTTTTTTGTTTTGTTTGTTTTGTTTCTTTCAGAGTCGCTGTGTCACGCAGGCTGGAGTGCAGTGGCGTGATCTTGGCTCATTGCAACCTCCGCCTCCCAGGTTCAAGCAATTCTCCTGCCTCAGTCTCCTAAATAGCTGGCATTACAGGTGTCTGCCACCATGCCCGGCTAATTTTTGTATTTTTAGTAGAGATGAGGTTTCACCATGTTGGCCAGGCTGGTCTCGAACTCCTGACCTCAGGTGATCCACCCACCTTGGCCTCCCACAGTGCTGGGATTACAGGTGTGAACCACCATGTCTATCCTGTCTGTTTCTATTGATTGATTTTTCTCCTGATTGTGGCCACATTTCCCTCTTCCTTTCTATGTCTAATAATTTTTTATCAGATGTCAGACATTATACATTTTGTATTACTGAGGGCTTGGGTTTCATTTTTTTTTTTCCTTTGGAAGGAGGCTCTTGCTCTGATACCCAAGTTGGAGTGTGGTGGCTCACTGCAGCCTCACACTCTTGGGCTCCAGCAGTCCTCCCACCTCAGCCTCCTGAGTAGCTGGGACTACAGGCATGCACCACCACACCTGGCTTCATTGTATTTTGTGTGTGTTGGATCTTTCCTGGCAGGCAGTTAAGTTACATGCTAATCTTTTATATTTAAATTACCTTTTAATCGCTTTTAGACCAGTTGCAGAGTAACTTTCATTCTAAGGCCTAATTTAGCCCCATTTCCAAGGCGTAGCCCTCCTTGACTGAATACCCTGGGTATTCAGTCCATGCAGTCTCCTCCTCTGCGTGGGTACTATCAGGGTGCCCACAGTTGTTCATCTTACGGCCGCCTGGTATTTATTCTTTTCACAAAAGTTGTTCTTGTCTGGGCTTATAGGATTTTCCCTTACTCATGCCCAGGGTGGGAATCAAAGACTGAAGAGGGCCCGTGCTGATTTCTGGAGCTCTTTCTCTGTGTAGTTCTCTCCTCTCAGGTCATCTGTCTAAAGATGCTGACCACCTTAGCCTCCCAGATTCATAATTCTGTCCCCTCAACTCAGGGTGGCTGCAGTGTGGTTTGGTTTTGCTCCCTGCACTGCAGTGCCCAGAAAGCCAAGGTGATGGTGGGGCACCCCTTCTTTTTTTCCTTTTCTCAGGGGTTACAGTCTTAGCCATCTTGGTCCCCAGTTCCTGCTGAAAATAGTTGTTTCCTATTTTTGACTAGTTTTCTAGTTGCTTATAGTAGGAAGTTAATTCTGGACTACTGTATCTTCTTATTGCTGGAAGTGGAAATCTCTTAAAATATATTTGAACAACTGTTCTGCCAAAGGCTTCTACCATCTCTTTACCTCATTCTTACTCTTAAACCCCTTAAAATGGGCTTCAGCCCCTCTCTACTGAAGAAAATTCTTTTCAGGTGACAAAATTGCCAAATCTGGAGGCCATCAGGAAAATGTGTCCACATTTGACTTATAGGACACCCTTCTTCCTTGGTCACTAGTGCTCTCCTGTGTCTTCACTGCTGATCCCCACCTTTTGGGGAGTTCATTTGTCCCTGTTGTGATTCTCACGTGCCTACACCCTTGTCTATGTTTCTCCCTGTCACGTCTTCAGCTGTCACTGGTATGATTTCCATTGACACTGTAGTAGTGCCGCTCTGTGGCACACACCAAGCCTGGCTCTGCACACATGTCTCTGGGCATCCTGACAGCATCACGAACTCAACGGGGACAGATCTGGTGGGGTCTTTATTATCCAGACCGTGGCTGCCACTGTGTACCATCTCTCTGCTCTTTTCACCAGCACCCTGTCCATCTCCTGTGCTCTTCTTGCTTCTCCGTCCTTAGCCCTCATACCTAGTTCCGGAGTGTTATTGATTCTATTTCTATACTTTTTCTCAGATCAGTTCTTCTCCACACATTCCTTGTTTTGTTTTGTTTTGTTTTGTTTTGTTTTGTTTTGTTTCAGGGATGTATTACCCCTTGTCTGGCATAATGAAGTCACAGCATTTACGTGTCCACACCTGTCTCAGCCCCCTTGATCCCTCTTAGTCCTGTCTGTTACCTTTCTAAATTCTAGTCAGGGTGGCCTCACTCACCCTCTCCAAAGAACGACGGCAGAATCAAGTCCAACTTACTTGGCGTGGCATTCTCATTCTAGGGAAGCACTGCTGACTCAATCCCCAGTATTTATCCTCATTGAAACTAGTCACCTAGGGCTCTTTCCCATCCCATATTGCGTCAAGCATTTTCCTACCCCCGTTACGTATGCCTTCTCATCAGTGTGGAACGCCCTGCTGCAGCCCTCTCCTGATTCTCCAATGCCATCTTTTCTGCAAATTTAGTACTTTTAGTTGGAATGAATCTCTTCCTATCCTCAGATCTGACAGAGTTTGTATGTCTGCTAAGACTTCCTTGGGTGTCTAAACAGGATTGTTAAAAGCTATCTGTATCCGCTCCACTTTTTGCAGTTTGTACTTTTCCCTGTGTTCTCCCGACATCTTCTTTGGTGATGTTGGGAAGTCATTAAGGCACTTCCTGAGATCTGTTTTTAGGACTCACACTGCTGCTAGAAAACAGTCTCATACATAGGGCTGTGGGGTCACTGTGTACAAGGCAAGCTCTCCTGTAAGGAAATAAGAACTTATCTTAAGGAGATAAGGATAAGGACCATGCCTTAATTCACCCTTATCCCCTCCAAATTCATGTGTACATTTTTGGAGAATTTAAAGGCAGTATGTAAGATGAATGAATGAAAAATGATGACTTCAAGATACTTAATAACTCGATTCATTTATTTAAGAAGATTCCTTTATATAGCATGTGAACTCAGCATGTAAGAATGATTCAATTTTTAAAATTAGATTGTATAAGATTTTTAGTAACATATCAATGACATGGGACAGAATATATCACTTTACAAATCTATTATTACACTGTAATTTTTTGCTAGGACTTCTTTCCTCAAAAATAACCATAATTCAGAATTGATAACGTTGCATTTTTTTCTTGGTGAATTTCTTAAGCCAGTGGTCATGATATAATATCCTCCTGATACTGCTGGATTCAAGAACAGGTATCAAAAGGAAACAAAGTATGTAGGTTATTTTGAGGCCCTTCAGTATCTCTGTTCGTCTGTGTTTTCTTCCTGGGCCGTTATTCAGGCAAGACTGGGCACTATGTTTAACTAGGCGCAACATTTTGCTGATTTCCTTTAAATGTTTCCTGAGTAAGAAATATATTATCCCTTAATCAGCCTCTTTTGAGATGTCTGTTTATAGTAAACAAAATCTTACTTCAATTAGTTTCAAATTCTAAGCGAAACTACTGGTAATTCGACATTGTCTAAAGTAACATCCTGTTACTGTACTGCAATATTGAAGTTGAGGTGCAATAGAAACAGATATTAAGCTTATTACCACATTTATCAATTTATTGGTATTCTTTAACTGATCAGCCACATAGGAAAACTAATACTGACAAGGAATTTTTCTTTTCTCAAACTTAAGCACTGAGAATTTGGGAAGCTTAACACCTTTCTCTTCTTATCTGTAAAACTAGATAACTGTATACAAATAAATAATTATAGTCACTATCTTGTAGGGTTGTTGTGCAGGATGAATGATCTAACCTAGCTAAAACATTTGTCATAGTGACTGCTTGCAGTATTATACATATATTTAATTATGGCGCAGGTCAAATTTGATGACTATATACATATATATATATATTTGAGATGGAGTCTCGCCCTGTCACCCAGGCTGGGGTGCAGTGGCACAATCTTGGCTTACTGTAACCTCCGCCTCCTGGGTTCAAGCAATTCTCCTGCTCAGTGCGCGCCGACACACCCAGCCAATTTTTGTATTTTTTGTAGAGACGGGGCTTCACCATGTTAGCCAGGCTGGTCTGGAACTCCTGACCTCGTGATCCATCCACCTTGGCCTCCCAAAGTGCTGGGATTACAGGCATGAGCAACCGTGCCTGGCCATATTATGATTTTTAAAAAATCCTTAAAGTAAGTAGATCTTCAGACTTCAATGAGTAGCTCAGTTACTTGAAGAAGCATTTCGTTTTAGCACATCATAAAATATTGGACAACATCTCGGAGTTTATTTTAAATGGAATTTAATCTGTAAAAACTGCGGGCCATCTATGGAGTAAACAAAATGAAATAATCTCTGAATGTGATGTATTGGGCAATGTACTTAATATATGTTACATATGCATAAGGATGATTTGCATCTATCTAGTGTTTTCCAGGTCCTTTGTTTTGAATGTGGGCATCAGGTGGGATGAGAGCATTTCAAATTTGAACTGTCAGTACGTGAACCACCGTAACATTAATTGGCAGTAGTATTTCATAATGTGTGTGATCTGTTATAGTGGTAAAATAGATTATTTTTAGATTCCCAATATAAAATTGTTTTCTCACTAGGTAATTATAATTGGTTCTGTGTGTAACACAAATTTTAAATATTGTATGTTATTAGTTAACACCAGCGCAACACAGATACTAACAAGATAGAAATGCAAATGGATTTTCTGTTTCTTAAACTGTGGCTACAAATGGAGAATTGGTTCCATAAATTATGGTTATTATCATTTTTTGAGATGAAGTCTTGGTCTGTTGCCCAGGTTGGAGTGCAATAGTGTGATCTCAGCTCACTACAACCTCCGCCTCCCAGATTCAAGTGATTCTCCTTCCTCAGCCTCCCGAGTAGCTGGGATTACAGGTGTGCGCCACCACGCCCAGCTAATTTTTTGTATTTTTAGTAGAGGCAGAGTTTCACCATGTTGGTCAGGCTGGTCTCGAACTCCTGACCTCAAATGATCTGCCTGCCTCCACCTTTCAAAGTGTTTAAATTATTTTTAGTGTGCATACTTTTTACAAGGTCTTTACAGTGGTCATTTCTCATGGAGAGGTAGTTCATACTTTTGTTCGTGAAATATTGGTTTTCATTAAACTTTATGTTGAAAAGCAAACCTTTAGAATCATATATTTCTGCCATTTTAGAGCTGGAAGGAGCATGGTTTAACAACCCCTCATTTTACGGGAGTTGAACTGGTCTGGGGGTGTGGTGCTGGGGATGAGGGGTGCAGATGAAGGTAGTCGCCTCCTACCATCGTCTTTCCTTTTACGGATGTCCTCTCACATGTGATATGGATTTGGACACCTGCAGGCTAGAGGGGCCACTGTCCTTAAATAGGAGTGCTGCCTTGGACAAGGTCACCTGATTATCAGTAGCCTTTTAATAAATTTATAAACAGGCATGATCATACCAATTAAAAAAGGAAGACAGACTGATCAAGTAAATTATATATATGAAAGCATGCATAAAAACATAAAGCTGTACCAGTGTGTTATGTTCCGCTATGATTATAATGACCCCTGTATACTGACCTCTCCCATGAGCTCCAGGAGTGAATTCAAATGCGAAGATGTATATGATAGCAACTTTGGAAAGTAGAGTATACTTGACCATGCCAGCTGGTTATCATAAGTATACCTGGATTTAGGTATTTCTGTTTAAATGATACCTAGTTAAGGGTCTTACTTGGACTTAAAATGAGAAGAGATTTTTTTTTTAAAAGAGACTCAATATGCACAATACAGATAGTTATAACCATGTTGACTTGAGAGTTAAACAGATACAGCTGTTTGTGAGTAAGCCAGACAAATGTGATTTGAGTGTTGAAGTACTGATGACGCCTATTTAGAACCTGGTAAGAATGCTGTGGTCTGGGACTTCTGGGTCCATTTCTTCTGGCGTTGGTGTTGAGACCTCGCTCCCTCCTGAATTCCATGTCCTCCCTATTACTCCCACAGGCTCAAGTGGTGGTAGTACCCTGGAGTGCATCTGTGGCCACTGTGCAGTTCGTTTCAGGTTCTTGTGAAACATCTTGATGGCCCTTCATTGCAGCTGTGATTAAGACGTGTTGCCCTGCTCTGTATTGAGAGCTCAGTCTGTTTCCTTCTTCTTTTGCCTACTACAGTGCTGCTTTCCATTCCTCTGTTCTGTGTTTTTCCTTTTTTCTCTTTTTATGGACCTGTCTTTGCTTTTTCACTTCTGTGAACACTAGACACCCTGTGCCCTCCCGCTGCTGAGGCCCGCCAGGACCACCGGGTCTCCCACCACCCTCCCCTCCACCGGTGCTCCCCAGTGTTCACTGTCCAGCCACGCTGGCCTCCTTGCACTCCTTGACTAGGCCAAATGTAGAGTCCTAGGCTGCTAGTGCCCCTGCCCTTGCCATTTCATCTGCTGGGTGTCCTGCTCTGGATCTTGAAATGACTGGCATCTTCCTGTTATCCAGGCTCAGCTCAGAGTTTCCTCTTTAGCATGGTCTACCTGATGTCCTGTCTAAAGCACAAGCCAAGCCCCACCACAGACACGTCCTCTCAAGCGCATGGTCCCTCTTGAATGCTTTTTATACATAGATCCATATCTCACATTGCCCTGTTCATCCCTGTGTTTTTCTATTTCTGATTCTGCCCTCTTAAGTGTAACTCTAGGAGAGCAGAGACCCCATCTGTCCTGTAAAGCTGTGTGTCTGCAAGCCCCGAAACAGCGGCTGGCAGACGGTGGCTGCTCAGTTGACACTGGTTTCATGGATGTGTGTGTGCAGGGTGTGGGCTCCTCACCCCTGAGCGTCTCTTTGTTTGGTGGTGCACGCTCAGGCAGTTTCTGTCTGTGTTGTCTGCTCGAGGTCCTTCTCTCTATAGTTTTGAGCTCTGCTTGGTGGGAGGGACTGTTTACCTCTCCTCAGAAAATCTTGCTCTGGAGACAGGAAGGGGGAGGTTGGGGAAAAGGAGGCTGACTCCTGGGTGTGCCACCAAGAAGACATCTCCACCAGGAAGCAAAACAAGCCCTCTCTTTATGGTGCTTCCTGTTTCTTATTTTTAAAGCAACTTCTTTTCACCAAATCCAAAAATCCCACCTTACCTCAAGGCAGCTATAATTAAAAGCCTGTCTGTCAAAGATTTTGCTATTCAGAATTTCACATGCCTTCTGAAAAACTAAAACTCCTGAAAATTGTTATCATTGAATACAAAAATAGAATGATCCCTTTGACTAAAGCTTAAAATTATCTGAATATGAAAGTGATACTTTTTTGTATAAAACTTACAAAACATAGGAAAGGGAAAAGATCATCCAGCCCCCAAAACAATAATTTTTAATATTTTAGAGTATATGCTTAGACACATACAGTTATTTGCACATCTGTACTTACTCAGAACTGAAAATAAAATCATACTCTACATAACTCTTTAGTAATGTGCCCTCTTACCTAATAAGTCACGAACATCTTTCCAGACCACGCTGTATTCTCTTACGAGAACATTTTTTAAGTGGCTGCATGATCTTTCATTTTATGGATTTATCTCGATCAAGTTGCTTAACCTCTAAGCCTCGGTTTCTTGGTCTGTAAAAGGGAATCATAATTGTGCCTTAAACAACCTAAAGGAATTAGACGGGGGTCATACGCTAAATCACTGAGAATGTTCCTGTCACATAGGATTGCTCAGTGATTGTTAGCTGCTGCTTCTGTTTATCCAATTTCCTACTATCTTGTAACAACTTAAAATGAACTATGACAGATGTCCATGATCTATCCTATTTCCTGCCAATAAAATATTTTTAAACTCTAAAAATACTCATATTTTTTCATTTTCAGATAATATTATCAAAAGATGGTAGGGTATTTCTACTTAAGGCAAACACCAATTTTTTTTTTTTTTTTGAGATGGAGTGTCACTCCATTGCCCAGGCTAGAATGCAATGGCGCGTTATTGGCTCACTGCAAACTCCACCTCCTAGGTTCAAGTGATTCTCTTGTCGCAGTCTCCTGAGTAGCTGGGATCACAGGCACACGTCACCATGCCCGGCTACTTTTTTGTATTTTTAGCAGAGATGAAGTTTTACCAGGTTGGTCAGGCTGGTCTCAAACTCCTGACCTCAAGTGATCCACCCGCCTCGGCCTCCCAAAGTGCTGAGATTACAGGCATGAGCCACCATACCAGGCCCACAAACACCAATTTTTAAAAACTTTGGTTTTAGCAGAAAGATCTTAGGGGAACCAGGATTCCATCTGAAAGTAGACTTCAGCCCACTTCTCTCAGTCTGTGTCTGCCTCTGCCTTGACACTTCTTCCCCTGAGCCCTCTGCTCAAGGCGGAGGCTCCGCTTTTGGTACTGATGTCCACCAGGCTGTTTCAGAAAGAAGCCAGTGAGCACCCTTCCATCGGCCACCGTGCCTAGAGCTGTTCTCCACATTCTCTTTTTGCTTATCCTCTCAGCACTCAGTGGGCTGCCAGCCTCAGGATGGTGTTAGATTAAAGAAATGGCCTATCAGAGCTTAGTAATTCACCAGTTCTCTTTAAGAATTCACATGACCTTAAATAAAATGTTCGATTTAACTTAAAACAAATCATGTCAAGCATGTAAGCAAACAAATTCCGAAATGGTGAACTGTTTCTCTTATTTTAGATTATTTTCTTAAAATACCCATCTGTATTTGTAATGAAGGTCTATTCTCCTTTTAAAATATGTCAGTGCTCTTAAACTGGTGGCATGAGGAAGAAAAAAAAGTTTAAAATAAAATATGTCAGTGTTAAATTTCTATTCTGAAGTTATGTATATTTAAAACCATGTATATTCATGGCTGTACAGTGCAGTTATTAAGAGCTGGAAAAAATGCTGCTTATTTTTAATCAGGTTGACACAGTGGATTTATTAGGATTTTCCTCCATTTTATGAGTTACTCAGAATCTTTCTTATAGGAGGTGGAGTGAGTTAGAAGAGAGACGTATTCCTTCAGGTTAGAGTCATCTTCCAAGTGAGTGTCTATTCCCGTCACCACTGTTTCTCTGAGATTTTAAAGTGTTCAGCACTGCATGGTTTTTTAAAAAGCATTTCCTGTGATTTTCAAAATATTTTCTTAGGCTTTTTTTTTAAGGGCATGTATTTCTCTTTCTTAGTCAAAACCGATTGTTGGCTACCAGCTTCTTTGTCTGGGACCCCTATGTGTGGGAGATGTTTGGGACTAAGGGAGTTTGTTAGCCCTACTGACATTTGTATTGTTTAAGTGGAACTAGCTATTGAAAAATGCTAACACAAAACCTCAGCTATTCTTTTATTAATGTATTAAAAATTCTGACCAAATTAAAACAACCAGGAGAGCCTTGTTGAGCCTGAATCTGTTAGGCTATGAAATGCACCCTGGGTTTTGAGGAAGAAGTGAGCACATTTATAGCCTTAATTACTCATTTGGGATACTACAGTCTGTTGCCAAAGCCAGTTATCATCAGCTTTGATTAGAAATCAGGAAAGACAGCTGCTGAAATGCAGAGTGAAAAGAATTGTATTGGATTAGAGTGGCGTTCTTTTGAATCTGAAAGAGAAGGAAAGCATCTTTGGGAAACATCTGAATATGCATTTATTTTAATAATTCAATGGCTAGAGGTGGAGTACAGTACATTGTAAGTTGGAGTGGTTTTCATTATTAAATTAAGTGCCTTTGTTTAGTTCATCTAGATTTTCCTATTGGCTGCTGCTTTTTTCTCTTTTTGCTCCATTTTGATGCAATGTTATATTCCTATTTGTGGGTTGAAATATGTCAGTATTCATAAACTAAATTCATGGACCACCCTTCCCATCATTTGGCCTGATGAAACACCATTTACCAGTGTGAAGCCAAGCCAGGAGACGCATATAAAATACTGCATCCAAATGCTAAGTTTAAAAAGACAACATGCTTAATTCCCAATCCTACGTACATGGAGAAGTACTACTTTGAGCTTTATTATTTTAACAATGTAATGTGGGGTTATAATATATATCAGAATAATGTCCTAATCAAATGTCCCTGAGTAAATCAAAATTTCAGAGTTATATTCACTTGTATATGTTCATAGTTTATGTAATCAAAAGATGTGTCAGGAAGATTTACTTCCTGCCTTTTGAAAGCTGTTTGAGATATTGTATGGAAATTTACATATGAGTATTTCCCCCATCCTTAATTAAACTTGTTAAACAGCAGCATTTCTCCTATTTCTACAAAAAACTATCATGGTTGTTAAAAAATATATATACAGTGCGTATAGAAGTACACCTAACCCTTAACTAAATAAATAAGAATAGTTGTGTTTATATTCATATTTGCAGGAGAGTAAACATTTATGCAAATACACTGAAGAAAATTATCAAACACTTTGTCTCCATGTGCTCTAGCTTCAAAGTTAAAGCTGAGAATTTTCACCCAGTTATTTAACTCTAGGCAGTGTAGTGCTTAAACAAAACAAAGATAACATTCTGTACCTACACAATGGATCAAAACAGCTTCCTTCATCCTCACTTTGGACCATCTGTTTAAAAGAAACTAAAAACCCTCAGGAAGCAAGCCTCTCATCTGTGGTTAAGAGTTTACAGACACATGCTCATTCTCACAACCCAGCAATGTGTATCGAGGGCTGTAATAGGTTTTGTATTAGCTGTAAAAGGCTAGTTGTCTTGACCTCAGCATCTGTCCGTTACAGCTTCTCTGTTATTCGGATAAATTTAAACACTCTTTTTGTAGAGGATCTAATTTTATGGTATTTTAACGTCAACTTTGATAAATATTGGGAATAATATTTTCCAAGAGCTAAATTATTCTTAGTTTCCCCATCCTTTTAAGAACCCTAATTCTCACTCTCCCCCTGCACTCCCTTGATGAAAAGAGTTGCAGTCATCCAGACTTATTGGAGAATAGACTTGATTGGTGCTAAGAGAATTGTGAAGGTCTTTAGCCCCACATTATTTCTTATTGAATCCCACTAAAACTTTTGAAAATTTCACATTGGTTTAAGAGATTTGGACATCTGTTAACGTTTTCCGTCTTGAGTACTAGCATGGGTCTAGGTCTGTTCCTTCCTGTAAACTAGTTGTTGCAAGGCGGTCAGGGTTGCAAGACAATTTTTCCATAATACCAAACAGGAAAAACAACAGTAGCGCAACAAAAGGTTTCTACCTTGCTAAAAGGAAAAGAATATTTTTATAATTAAAGCTTTTAGTTATTTGTCATATACTCATTATCGGAAAATGTTGTTATCTTTAGTCCTGTATTGACACAAATGTGTTACGTGTTCTTTATTATAGTTGTGGAAAACTTTAGTAAAGGTGGTATTAAAGTAGTCCCGGTCAGGCAGCCCTGGAAACTGAAATAAATGGAATAAGAGTGGGAAATAAAAAAATAAGCTTCAATATCTGTGTTTAGCCCAGTAAATGGTGTCTATTACTACAGATGCAGTTTTCTTTTATGGATATCACTGGACAGACAGTAGGCTGTGTAGATTGTGAAATTTAGTCATCATCTCTCCAGTAAGTGCTCTCTCTCCCCATTTCCTTAGATCATAAGCTGTAGGTTACCCATATTATAGCCGTCACATACCCCAAAACTAGCCTTGTACTTCAATAGATGGTTGGATTAGGTATAATCTCCAAGGTCTTTTTAAACTCTGATTCCAACATTTGGCATTCACCAGCTATAGAGAAGATGACATTGTCCTAGTGACACCCTTTTAGTTGTGCAGAGTTTTCTCGGTATCTCTGTTAATTCAAATACTTTTAAAAGTGTTTGAAT
Organism: Homo sapiens; assembly: GCF_000001405.40. NCBI lineage: Eukaryota > Metazoa > Chordata > Mammalia > Primates > Hominidae > Homo > Homo sapiens. The sequence continues at coordinate 34,235,924 of NC_000010.11, read as the reverse complement.
ATACTTATATGGTTGGATATTTTTAGAGAGAAATACCATGTTTGGAAACATTTCAGCTGGAAAATGCATTGAACTGGATATTGTCAGACATTTTCTGAGAACAAATCAAAATCGTTTAGTACAATGTAAAATATAAAAGACATGCAAAAGCCAGAGCAATTATTGCAACCTTCCTTCTTCATACATATGCATACCTGACTCACATTCAGACCAGTAAGACCACAAGTGGATATCATTAGTCAGAACTCGGCAAGATCCAATTTCATGCCAGTCACATTCACACACACACATTTGTTTGTTTATGTCAGTCATTAGAACTCAGTAACTAAACGTCAGTGGTAGTTAATGTGGCGTTTTATAAACACATAGATGAATTGGGGAAAAAAAGCAAATTATCCACAAATAGCCACCAATTGCAAATAATGCCATATCCATCACAAAAATATCTATGAGTAGGAGAGAACACGACAAGGGCAAACAATTTGAATGAGGTTATACAAAAAGTCAATGTGGTCGACTCTGGAAGCATGCCTAGAATCTTACCAACCTATGAGCTGATTCTCACCCAAGTCATTGTCATGTTTAGCAGCAGAATTGGGCTGACTGCAAATCTCTCCGATGCTTCAGCCCTGACATTAGCTTTTATAGTTCCAGGAAGATTTGTTGGGAATTTCAACCTAGTAATTTAAGAAGCTTTTATAGTTCTATAACATAATAATTTTACCTTTAAAAAATGAATGAAGAAAATATGGCAAAACTTAATAAATTCACATTAAGCAGGAGAAAGACCTAACTAAATTAGTAATCTGAATTGTAGAATATTTTTAAAAAATTAATAGTAACTTAATTACTGTCAGATTCATGGAGTTCCTTGGAGAAATTGCTTTGGCAAATAGATAAGGAAAATTTACAAATAGCACAAAACTTGGTAAATAAAGCAATTTCTAAAGAATCCGCCATGGACTAGTATTTTTAAGTTATTTTCTCCATAAAGTGCATGTATGTTATCAATTTGCCTTGCAAAATCATTTTTATAAGAAAGAGAGCTATTTCTGTTTTTACCAATTATTTGTGGTATTTGAAAGTCATTCATTTACAAAAACATAAGAATGATATCCATTTACTCATTCATTCATTCATTGAGCAAATATATATTGGAGGTCACTGTGCTGGGTACATAGTGGTGAGTTCAATAAAGTCCTTGCCTTTTCTAGCATGGGGGATGGGAGTTAACTAAAAAATAAAATAAATGAATAAATATTTTGTAATACATTATGATAAGAGCATAATCAAGGTGCTGAATAATTTCTTTGGGAAGATGACATTTGGCTGAGTACTGAAGGATGCAAAGAAGTCATTCATGCAGAGAAGGGAGGAAAGAGCCACCCAGGCAGAAGGGAGCTATGTGGACAAAGCAAAAGGCTGGGAGATGTTTAGCATGGGCCAGAAACTAGAAGGTAGTCAGTGTGGCTACAGTGTGTTGAGTGGTATGGGAAGAAATCAGAGAGGTATGTGGCAGATGAACCTACCGAGGCAAAGCTAAAATATGAAATTTTATTCCGGATGTCATAGGGAGCCATATAGTGTTCTTTAGATTGTGAGCATAGTCTGATTCATAATTTTGAAACATCCCAATGGCTTTTTATGAGGGAAACTGATTACAAAGTAGTTGTATCAGCCAAAGTAGTTATATCAGTAGTTATATCACAAATTGATTACAAAGTAGTTATGTATCAGTAGTTATATCAGAAATTGATTACAAAGTAGTTACGTATCAGTAGTTATATCAGAAATTGATTACAAAGTAGTTACATCAGCCAAAGTAGTTTTATCAGTAGTTGTATCAGAAATTGATTACAAAGTAGTTCTATATCAGTAGTTATATCAGAAATTGCACTAGGTACTTCAAACAGATGAGATTTAGTATAGGGGCTTGGTTACACAGGTGTTGGAAGTAGAAGAAAAAGGCAACACAGGGTAACTGGAGATAATAACTGCAGAAGGCAGCTCCCACATCACAGTGCAGAGTGTAAAGGGCCACCTTGGAGCTCAGAGACAGACAGTAGGTGAATATCCAGCACAGTGGGCAGCCTTGAGGCAGGGAAGCCTGTGTGAGGGAGCTGCTGCTGCTCCTGGGACAGAATCATGGAGGCTTGCACTAGGAGGTGGGATGGGATAGAAATAAATAGACGAGAGAGCGATTTTAAACCTAGAGCCTATAGGACCTGATGCTTATTGGGTAGGAAATAAAAAATGACTGGCAAGATTCTGACTTGAACAACTAAATATCTGGGGCACTGCTTTTTGAGATGCAGAAAGCAAGAGAAACAGGCTTAGAGCATTGTAAGTGTTGAGTTTAGAACATGCTGAGTTTGAGATGTCAAGCAAATGGTTAGATATGTGAATATGGTGGACAGAGAAGACATGTAGACTGGAGTTATGGATGTGGAAATCAACATGCAGATGGTATTTAAAACCATGGAAATGGACGATATCATCGAGGGAGAGAATGGAAGAGAGAGAAGGGCTAGTTCTGAGCCCTTGGGAATCTCCTGTGTTGAGAGATCAGTACAGAAGCGACAAGGAGCAAAGGAAACTGAGATGGGGTAGCAGGAATAATAGAAATCAAGAGAATGCAGTCCTATAGAAACCAAGACAGGAAGGAGGCAGCAGTCCACTGTTTCTAGCGGACCTAAGAGATGCTTAAGATGTAACAGAATGATGTCCATGGATTTAGCTACATGAGGATATCTGGCTACACGCCTGATGGGGTAGTAGGCTGAAGAGTTTACGGGAGGCAAGGGCACTCCATTCTGACACAGAGAGTCCAAGGGAATGTAAAGGCCAAATTGTTTCCTCAGTTCAGGGCCTACTTGGAGCTAGGCAAAAAAAAAAAAAAAAAAAAAATTAACATTTGAGGATGGGCCGGGCACGGTGGCTCAGGCCTGTAATCCCAGAGCTTTGGGAGGCTGAGACTGGAGGATTGCTGGAGGCCCAGGAGTTTGAGACCAGCCTTGGCAACATAGCGAGATCTCGTCACTACAAAAAATTAAAAAATTAGCCACACGTGATGGCATGTGCCTGTAGTCCTAGCTACTTGTGGGGCTGAGATGGGAGAATTGCATGAGCCTAGCAGTTCAAAGTTACAGTGAGCTATGATCACACCATTGCACTCCCGCTTGGGCAATACAGCAAGACTTTGTCTCTAAAAGAAAAAAGGAAAACATTTGACTATACCTGCCAGGAGGCAACAATCCTACCTACCCTTCCCAGTTACTTTCTCTATATTGTAATTTGGGGACCAAGTTCTTGTTTGTATTGCACAATATTCCTTTATGATTTTCGTGTTGAACTTTCTTCCAACATACTGTTCTATAAAAGAGGAACATTTCATTCACGTGTATAAAAGTCATCTTGTTTGAAAAATCTCAGAAGATAAGTTGTTGGGATTTTAAGTCCTGATTAAAGGTTTGCCTCTCGTGAGGTCTAAAGAGAAGCCCACATGGCCGTGTTTTACCAGGTTTCCTAAACTGTTTAGGTGTGTGCTGTGACGCTGCAGAGCAGAGATGTTACTGTGACCTTTTCAAGCTCCCCTTTCTGTCTGTCATATCCAGGTCCAGTCATCTTTACCAAATAGATAGGGTCATAAAATTGCAATTGACTGGAGTCCTTGGAAGAAACATTTTGTGAGTTTTATCAGTCCCCCAAATATCTCATATCTGGACTAATAGTATAATTTAGATATTGCTATTGAATACCTATAAGACGTGGTATCTGGTAATATTATCTCAGCAGCATTAACCTCTGACTCTGCTCTCAAACCAGGATTGGGAAAGTGAAGTATTTGCTTAATGATTGATTAATATTTGGACCTTTATTCGAGTTCTGTGAAGCGCCTAACATAGCGCTGAGTGTTTCGGCCTATTATCTCTTGGTATGTAAGTTATCTCTTAGTTTGCTTTGCTGCTATAATTAAGGAGATAAGAACAGAAAGCCTATTTCTTGGTCAAAGTGCTATTTTTATAGGAGGACAAAACATGTATTGTTTTACTTTACTATCAACAGGCCACACTGCTGATCACTAAGGTTGTGTTTAATAAGTATGTTCTCTTGGGCCAGAATGTCAAATATATCCCTAATGAGTTCAGTGACATCACTGAGCGTGCTTATGTTCCTTGCCAATAGTCGGCATTGTTGGAGCAGATGACATTAGCTGTCATCTGAGCACAGATGCGAAGGTCAGGGCGTTAACAAGCAAGAGAGCTTCAAGAGAGAAAAAAAAAAGATGAAGATTTAAAGCAAATCTGTCCATGTCAGAGAACAATGAGTGGCTGTTTAGGGGGAGTGGTAGAGACATTCAAGAGAAGACATTTGCCTCATACAAGTTTTCTGCACATCTCTGCCCTGTGGAAATTGCGTCAGTTAGAGATGGACCTGAAAGATGATCATCTGTAAGCCACAGCTGCCACTTTGAATGTCGAGGTTTGGAATATGCCATAGACAGCCCTGACATTCTAAAATTGATTGAAATTTTGTGACCTTCAGAGGTAACTAATATATTTCCAGTAGTGTGACTTCTGGAAGTAATATAGTTCAGGAACCAAAAGTTGATTCTTTGTAGTTAATGAACAAGTTCTTTTTTTTTTTTTTTTTTTTTTGCCTAAGATTATATTAATAACACTAGTGTATGTCAAAAGGAAAAAATATCTCATGTATATATTTTTTCCTGTAAGAATAGAGTATATAAAGCTATTTTAATAAATTTTGTTGAACATGTATATATATGTGGATGTCTAAAACAAATATGACAAACTGAGAAATTTTTGTGGCTAGGATGAACCTCCGCTTTTGGATACAACTGGAGTAACCTGAGTTTCAGTTGGGGTTTTCTTTTTTAAGATACAGGGTCTCGCTCTGTCACCCAGGCTGGAATGCTAGTGGTGCGATTATAGCTCACTGCAGCCTTGAACTCCTGAACTCAAGAGATCTTCCCACCTCAGTCTTCCAAGTAGCTGGGACTGTATCCTCACCCCAATGCCCAGCTATGTTTAAATTTTTTGATAAAGATGAGGTCTCATTGTGTTGCCCAGGCTGCTCTCAAACTCCTGGCCTCAAGTGATCCTCCCGCCCTAGCCTCCCAAAGCACTGGGATTATGGGCGTGAGCCACCACACCAATCCCAGCCCCTAGTTTGTTTTTTTAAGTTGCCAGTTGTACAATTTCCTCTCTGCTCTCCAAACTTGTTATTTTAGAATAGAGAGAAAAAGAGTTTCTAGCTTTCCTGGTGGTTGGTTTGCATTGAGAAGGAAAAGGCCAAAATATGACAAGACATCCTCAGTATTCAGTTGACTAAAGGAAAAATAATTTGGAGGAGGTAGAGCCAGTCCAGACCTATAGTCAGGTGACTAGTGGGAGTCGCTAGGTATGGAAAACTTTCAGTCTATTTCTTCTCTAGATATTGGCCGTATTGAGATGTCTTTGTACATTGCTTTTTGGCAAATATAGACAAAATACTTAACTTTACCAGTGTGAGTTTAGAACGGAATCTGCCTTCATGCAGAGGTCTGGAGTAGAGGTAGAAGGGGATGATGGAAGAGGCACAAAGTTCTTCCAGGTAGTACCTGCTGCTGCTGGGTGGACCAGGCCCTGGTGTGTTTCTCCCTGCTCAGGAAATCCACATGTTGAGGCTTTCCTGATTTCTGTGGCTGGGTAGGTTTATGTTCTATGGTATGTATTTATTTATTGGTTACAGTCTTTGATTTGTGGTTGCTCAATGTATTAAATAGAAACAGAAGGCCACATTGTTTCCTCAGCTCAGGGCCTCCCCAGAGCTGGGCAAGGAAAGGTTATTCATATTTGACACTAATGTATTTGCCTTTTCTGTCGCACCTCATTGCTGCCCAAGTGTATAAATGTGAACTAACGCTTCAGTATTTTTAAACTGTCCAAATGCAAATAGGAATTCGTTTGAGAGCCACATGACAAAAGCTAGATGAATAGTTCTCACTTAAGACTTTTATGTAAGAAAAGGTACTAAAATGCACAAATTGGATGAATAAAATGAAAGACATGTTTCTTTGTTGCATCAGCACTTCACTCATTCTCTCCTTTGGTTATTTGTTTGCTTGTTCATTCATTGCCCAGTAACAAAAACAACAAAAATTGATTAGGTGTACTGAAAACATAAGAAATATGAGGCAGAACAGAGTTTGTGACCTGGAGTTTTTGAGCAGGTTGAACACACACACACACACACACACACACGCACCCTCAACTAGAGAAGAATTATGATGGGACGTATGAACAAGAGCAAAATGATAGTATTAAAGAGGCATATTTAGGCATAACAGTTGTGGAATGTATTTAAAAAGAAGAGTTGGGGCCAGATGTGGCTCACACCTGTAATCCTAGCGCTTTGGGAGGTCAGGGTAGGAGAATCACTCAATGTCAGAAGTTCAGAGACCAGCCTGGGTCACATAGCAAGACCCTATCACTAGAATAAAATTCTACACTACAATAAAAATTCTAAAATTCTAAAATTAGCTGCGCATAGTGGTACACACCTGTAGTCCCAGCTTACTCAGGAGGCCAAGGTGGGAGAATTGCTTGAGCCCAGGAGTTCAAGGCTGCAGTGAGCTGTGATCATGCCACTGTACTCCAGCCTGGGTGACAGAGCAAGGTTCTGTCTCTAAATAAAATAAGGAGGAGGAAAATTTTTTAAGCTGTATTTGGAGGAGAGGCATCTCATGCAGAAGCAGTCATATAGCTGATGCTGAGAAGCTGGGCTTGGTGATCCCATTGGCTAGGCGTGTGGCTGTTGTGAGGACTGAGTCAAAGGGACAGGGGACCCAGTTGCTGGAGGTTTGGAGGCTGAAGGAAATGATAAGGAAACACTGTTATGATGTCCTCATCAGCCCTCTACTCAGGAGAAACAGAGATCAGGGCCATGGAGTAACTTGGATATAAAGAGGAAAGAAGTGTGATCTCAGACGAGGTGTGGTGACTACAGGAATAAAAAGCAAAAAAGAGAGAAGCTTCAATATAATCCCAGAGTTACCTGCCTCAGAAACACACGTGCGTAATAAAGGGACAGATGAAGAGAGTTTCACATGGTGGAGGGGATGTCTCAGCTTGCATTTGGGAGCACAGGGTCTGTTTTTTCATTTAAGTAATTTTGTTGAACACGATTCAGCTCCTGTGCTGCTTAAAATCCCATATCTTCCTCTGCCATTTTCATCCTAACCAATACTTTATACCAGCTTTATTGAAGTATAATGTTCATATCATATAATTCACCCGTTTAAAGTGTACAAGTCTATAATTTTTAGTAAATTCATAGAGTTGTGCAACTGTCACCACAATCTAGTCTTTTAACATTTCTATCCACAAAAATCCCAGCAGTGTTCTCACCCCAGCTTATCTGCTTCTGTGGATTTGCTTCTTCTAGACATTTCATATAAATGGAACCGTTAATATGTATAATTTTTTGCATGTAGATTCTTTTTTATTTTTCTTCCAGCTTTTATGTTTTGGTTCGGGGGTACACGTGGAAGTTTGTTACATGGGCAAATTGCATGTCATGGGGGCTTGGTGTACACATTACTTTGGCATCCGGGTAGTGAGCATAGTAGTGGTTACGTGGTTTTTCAGTCCTTACCCTCCTCCCTCCAGTAAGCCCCGGTGTCTATTGTTCCCTCTTTGTGTCCATGTGTACTCAATGTTTAGCTCCCACTTATAATTGAGAACGTACAGTATTTGATTTTCTGTTCCCACATTCATTTCCTTAGGATAATGGCAGCTCCATCTGTGTTGCTGTAAAGGACAGGATCTCATTCCTTTTTATGGCTGCCTAGTATTGCATGGTGTATATGTGCCACATTTTCTTTATTCAGTCCACCATTGGTGGGCAACTAGGCTGGTTCCATTATCTTTGCTATTGTAAATAGTGCTATGATAAACATAGGCGTGCATGTGTCTTTATGGTAGAATGATTTATATTCCTTTGGGTATATAAATTTTATATATACATATATATTCCCAGTATATATATATATATATATATATATATAAAAAATAATTCCCATTACTGGGAATATATATATATATTCCCAGTAATGGGATTGCTGAGTTGAATGGTAGCTCTAAGTTCTTTGAGAAATCTCCAAACTGCTTTCCACCAGTGGCTGAAATAATTTACATTCCTTCCAGCAGTTTGTAAGCATTCCCTTTTCTCCACAACCTCACCAACATCTGTTATTTTTTTATTATGTATGTATTTATTTATTTAGAGACAGAGTTTCGCTCTTGTTGCCCAGGCTGGCGTGCAATGGCGCAATCTCGGCTCACTGCAACCTCTGCCTCCCGGGTTCAAGCGCTTCTCTTGCCTCAGCCTCCTGAGTAGCTGGGATTACAGGCATGTACCACCATGTCCAGCTTATTTTTTTGTATTTTTAGTAGAGATGGGGTTTCCCCATGTTGATCAGGCTGGTGTCGAACTCCTGACCTCAGGTGATCCACCTACCTCGGCCTCCCAAAGTGCTGGGATTACAGGCGTGAGCCACAGCGCCCAGCCTTGACTTTTTAATAATAGTCATTCTGACTGGTGTGGAGATCATTCTGGTTTTGATTTATATTTCTCTAATGATTAGTGATGTTGATTGAGCATTTTTTCATATACTTGTTGGCCACATGTATGTTTTCTTTTGGGAAGTGTCTGTTCATGTCCTTTGCCCATTTCTTAATGGAGCTGTTTGTTTTTGCATGTTGATTTAAGTTTCTTATAGATTCCAGATATTAGACCTTTGTCAGATGCATAGTTTGCAAGTATTTTTTCCCATTCTGTAGGTTGTGTGTTTACTCTGTTGATAGTTTCTTTTGTTGCGCGGAAGCTGTTTAATTAGGTCCCATTTATCAATTTTTGTTTGTGTTCCAATTGCTTTTGAGTCTTCTTCGTGAAATCTTTGCCATGCATGTGGATTCTTTAACTTAGCATTCATCTGTTCATTTAACTTAGCATTCATGCTGTTGTATATATCAATAGTTCCTTCCTTTATTTTGCTTCATAGTATCCCATTATAAGATATACTACTTTTTTTAATTCATTCAACAGTAGATGAATATTTGGGCTTTTCAGTTTGGGGCTATGATGAATCATGCTGTTATGAACTTGTGCATACAAGTTTTTCTGTGGACACGTTTTATTTCCCAGGGGTGAGATTGCAGAGTTATTTGCTAAGTTTATGTTTAACTTTTTAATAAATTGCCACACTGGTTTTCAAAGTGGCTGAATCATTTTACATTCCCACCAGCAATGTTTGAGAGTTCTAATATAGTCACATCTCCACCAGTACTACTTATTGTCTGTCTAGTTTTTTTTGAGACAAAGTTTCGCTCTTTCCCCCAGGCTGGAGTGCAGTGGTGCGATCTTGGCTCACAGCAACCTCTGCCCCCTGGATTCAAGCAGTTCTCTTGCCTCAGCCTCCCAAATAGCTGGGATTACCGGCATGTGCCAACACACCCAGCTACTTTTTGTATTTTCAGTAGAGACGGGGTTTCACCATGTTGGTCAGGCTGGTCTCAAACTCCTGACCTTAAGTGATCCACCCGCCTCAGCCTCCCAAAGCGTTGGGATTACAGGCATTAGCCACAACACCCAGCCTATTGTGTATCCTTTTTATTATAGCCATCCTAGTGAGTGTGAAGTGGTATTTTATGATTTTAATTTGCATTTTTCTAATGATGTTGAACATCTTTTTGTTTGATTAATAGCCTATTTTCTTTCTTTTTTGGTAAACTATTCATATCTTTTGCCTCCGTTTTTATAAGATTGCTTATCTTCTTACTGAATTGTAAGTCATTTATAGATCTGGGTACTAGTCTTTGTAATAGATATATGGTTTACCAGTGTTTCTCCCAGTCTGGGACTTGTTTATGTATTTTTTATTTTTTTAATGCCCAAGGTTACAACAATGTAGCTTGTTTCTTAATTTACTTACTGTTGTCTTTTGAAGTATAAAAGTTTTTAATTTCGATGAATCCAATTTTTCAACTTTATTTTCCTTCATCATGCTTTTGATGTCATATCTAAGAACTCTTTCCCTATCCCAGAACCATGAGGATTTTTCTCTTATGTTTTCTTCCAGAAGTTTTACAGTTTTAGCTCTTATGTACATGCCTATGGTCCATTTTGAGATAATTTTTGTATATGAGATGAGGTAAGAAACTCAAGTTATCTTGCTCGCATGTGTATGTTTTAACCGATAATTAAAACAGACCAGTCTGGCCGGGCATGGTGACTCACACCTGTAATCCCAGCACTTTAGGAGGCCAAGGTGGGTTGATCACCTGAGGTCAGGAGTTCAAGACCAGCCTGGCCAACATGGTGAAACCTTGTCTCAACTAGAAATACAAAAATTAGCTGGGTGTGGTGGCGTGTGCCTGTAGTCCTAGCTACTTGGGAGGCTGAGGCAAGGGAATCACTTGAACCCGGGAGGTGGAGGTTGCAGTGAGCCGAGATCATGCCACTGCACTCCAGCCTGGGCAACAAGAGTGAAACTCTGTCCTAAAAAAAAAAAAAGAGAAAAAAAACTAGTCCAGTCTGCCTGGTGAACTTTCATTTGTCCTCTGGAACCCATCTTGGATATTTAAGCTCTCTGTGGTACTTTCCGTGTCCTCTCTTCTCCACTCTGATACAGCTTCCTCCTACTTATCTCTGTGTACATTTGTCTGTTGTTGAATATGAAATCCAGTATTGTCATGATGTGTATATGTCTGTGTTCCCTACTGGAATATGAGCTTATTCATCTTGGTGTTTTCAATGGCTGAAACATAGTAGGACCTAAAATATTTTTGGTTAAATTTGATTAAATATTAACATCTCTAAACCTTGAAAATCTTGGTCTCTTTTTTTTCTGTCTCTCTTTCAAAATTTAAAACAGTCAAGCATTTGAAACAACAACAACAATGAAAATAGAGCCAGGGAACCAGCTTGTTCAGGAAAAGGAATAAATCATTCTAGCTGACAGTACTCAGTAGACTGCTTTGTAGCTTTTTGAGATAGACATATAAAAAGGGACACTGATTTGATGGAACTTGAACAGGATGATGGATAAGTGCTCCAGGCCTAATGAAATAGCATGTCTAAGAAAACCTGGAAACCCTCAGATGACAGCAGACACGCGACCAGTTCCACCTCTGCTATTTACTCCCAGTCATTCTGCGCTTTGTTTGGCCGAGGGTTTCATGGCCCCCTATTGATTGCAGAGATGGGCACTTGTCCCTCTGCCCGCCCTGTGCACTTCCTGTTATGGCACCTAAGTTTTCCTACTTCACAGGTGTGACAACAACCAGTGCTTTAGAGAGTTATCTTAAATTTGCTGCACTGGAGTTTGTTTATATCTCTGCATATTCAGGTGAGAATCTAGTCTCCTTTCTCCGCAGATATTTACTGAGGATTTAGAGTGTGTAAAGCTCTGTGCCCTGTGCCTGTGGAAGACACATGCACACTCGAGTGACACCTGGTCTCTTCCCCTGAGGGGGAGTTTCAGTATGCTTAAAACACTGATGAAAGAAGAAGAAATATTGCTCTAATTCCCCCATGTACCTCTGCAAAATCTTGTGAGATTTTTGCCAGTCCAGCTGAGAAGTTATCTTTCCATATTGTCAACTTAAGCAGGATTCATTGAGCAATGTATTCAGATATTGATCGTCTTAACTGTGTCTTATGAAAAGCTTTTAGGTCAATCTCTTAAAGTTTGTTGTTTTGAGACAGGAATATAAGGGCGTTGATGATTATAGGATCTGGCTCAGGCTGTCAGAATGAGACGACTTCTCCCTCCTGAGGCTGACCTGCTTAGGAGTTTGAACCATATCAAACTGTAAGGATCAAGTACACCCTCAAGGTTTAAGAACAAGCTTTTAAAATATCCACCTCTATTGTCTCGCCTCTGATGTAGTTTAAAACATGTCATTTAGAAAAGTGATTAGGCTGGGATTAGAGCCATGAAGACCTGGGTTAGAATCCAGGGGCTGCCACCTGCTGGCTGTGTGTCCTTGAGTGTGTGACATGGTCTCTGAGCCCCAGTTTCCCATTCAATACAAGCAGTGTTCACACCTGTCTCACAGAGATGTTACAAAGGTTAATGAGGAAATATATAGAGGCTGGGTGGACCTACCTTGTGCATAAGAAGTTATTAATAGATGGCTGTCATTATTACTGTTTTCAGCTATTTCTGTGCTGACATGAACTTGATTATGCTAAGCCCATACAATTTCTCTGTAGCAGTCTGTAGCTCATATGGTATCTCTTGATTGTTTTTTATCCTTTAGAGTTCTTGTTAAGTAAACCACACATTATGGATATGGTCAAATTTATCTCTCACCCTGTTCGCCTTCCCCCACGTAAAGAGCTAAGCAGTCTCCTGAGATGGGTCTGTGTCCCTTGGTTATTTTTAGAAACTCTCCCAACAATAAAGAAACACACTGATTCAATAGTATCTAATATATAACCTGTTTTCAAGTTCCCTTAATTGGGATAGTTTGTTTTCGATCTGGGATCCTGTTAAATGTATGCATTGCTTTTGGCCATCATGTCTTTTTCAGTTTCTTCTCACCTGGAACGTTCATTCTCCCACCCTTCCCCTTTTTATGTCCCTCTTGTTGGTGGCATTTTGGCGGAATCTGGGCCAGTTGTCTTGTGTAACATCCTGTCCTCCAACCCTGCCTGGTGGCTTCCTCCTGCCCTGCGAGCCCCATGAGGTGATGGGACAGTGTGGTCTACAGGCCCCGTGTGTTTCCTGCTCTGCCTCTGCTCTCCGACCCCACACGTCCAGCTTCATCTCTCAGAACCTGCTTCTCTTCCAACTGTGGGACTTACCGAACACAGAGGGTTACTATGAGTTCCCAATGAGATGACTAAAGGGAAGGCCTGAACAATTCCGGGCCCACGGTACACCTGCGAAAAGGTTTTCGGCAGCTGAATAGGCGCAGGAGTGCTGCCCAGAGAGGTGAGAGGAGAGCCGGGTGGGCCAGGCGAGGATGGGAGCAGAGAGTGTCCTGAGTGTGGTCAAAGCTAGCAAATGCTTAAGAGAGCGGTTTTGTTTTTGGTTTCCTTTCTTGGACTTATCGTGCTGTGATTTGGAATACAGAGGAGCAATGTGACTCTGTAAACTGAGGTAGCAGATTCAGCAGGGCTGATAGAGCAGGAAAGCTCCCTTTGAAGGTAGAAATTAAGTAAAGTGCTGATCCAGTTCTGAGCATCTGGCAAGTGCTTTCTGGACCTTGGGGACGCTCACAGACCTGGGGTACCTTCACATAGGTGAGAACCACACTCTCCCTTCACCACCAGATGGATCTCTCTCTCTCTCCATTTATTACTATCCTGGTTATGCCAGAAAGCTTCTGCTGTTGCTGCTGTTTGTGTTTTCACATTTACTGCAAGAGCAGCGAGGTACGTACATAGAAGGTTCCTAGATCTTGAAGGGGTCTCCCATTTGGGGCCTCATGCTGTCAGTCCCTAGTAGGAGGGACCGCTTTCTGCAGGGCAAGGGGAAAGTCCTAATCCTTCCTGGGCAGGCCTTAGTTGTCCTTAAGCCACTCCAGGGACAAAGACTGACTCAAATAACTGGCTGCTGGTCGGTGCTAGCTGTTAATACATACTTTGTGAGGGCTTGTGCAAAATGAAAATGCTGGGCCCCTTATTCAGAGCGCAAGAAAAAATCCCTTTAAAGGTATTAAAATAAAAGGCATGTTTCTTTCTTCTGTGGTCTCCTTCCCAACTTGTCATGATGTTTTTAATTTGCTATTGAATGTTACTCTAAGAAAAATAAAATAAACTTTTAAATCATTAGCATGAATTTTACCTTTCATCTTTATATAGTGCAATGCTAGAGGTTTTTAATAAAATTTACCATCTTAACCATTTTTAAGGGTACAGTTCAGTAACATTAAGTGTATTCACACTGTTGTGATGAACGTCAGTTTTAAAGCAAATGTAAGAGCCTTTAGCTGGTATGTAGAATCACTGAAATGACATAACTCGTATTTCATAGCTTATACATGCATGTGTATTGCATTGTCAATAGAATGGTGAAACACAACACAAAACTAACTCAGCGGTTTGTATCTCATTTCTTTACACATGGACATTGTCCCCACACCCTTGACTTTTGGCTTACTGATGAGTAAGGAAGGACTAAAAGGAAGGGTACTACAGGTTGCCTGATCTTTTTCTTTCTATGTCATCTTTGGTGTAAGTGGTTGACTAACAGAGATATAACACACTTGTTAAGAAAGGAACGGATAGGGCTCCCTGGTCATTCGTGTTTTATAGAATGCCATTGCCTTCTTTCTGCATTAAGAGCAAGTTCTGATTGCTAAGAGAGTAGATTTTAAGTATTCTCACCACAAAAAAATAAGTACGTGAGGTCATGCATATGCTAATTGATTTAGCCATTCCACCACCTATACATATATCAAAACATCGTATTGTACACCATAAATAGCTACAATTTTTACTTATCAAAAAAAAAAAAAAAAAAGGCAAGTCCTGGTTTGAATGGAAAAGAGTGGCCTCCTGAGGCTCTCAGCACCTCTGCGGAACTCCCAGGCTTCCCTGGTCCATGGGAAGCTTGCGCTCATAGGGTGTCAAGGGTGGCCATACAAATGGGGCTACAAGGAAAGCGGTGGACATGCACATCACCGGATGGCCTCTCCCATGCACCATGCACGTGCGCCTTTAACCCATCAGACTTCACTTATCAAAGATAAAATAGTGAGAGTGGCAAGACGGGAACAGCAGAGCCCCTCCATGCTTGGGTTCTGTGTGCCTGTCAGGGTTGCACACCCACGGAGGAGGTCCTGCTCATAGCAGATGTTTCACCCAGCCCTGCAGGAAGGGAAGATATTGGGGATGGCACTGCTTTTGGGAGCCCCTTAAATCAGGCCATTTGAAGTGGCCAGTCCGTCTCCCAAAGGTGGCCCTGCTCCCATTCCTAGCCCTTTCCTCACATTCAATAGCTCTCCCGCTGCTATCCCAGATGTAATGCGTGGGTACCAAGAGGTGGGATTGGGTAGGCTTTATTAGTCAGAATCCATTTAACTAATTCAAACTGTTTGGGGAATCATAGAACCATACCTTTATGAAATATGTAGCACATTAGTCCCCACTGTGAATATGTTATTGAACCAACTATGTGCTGAGAAGTGCACATAATCTTCCCAACTAGGACCTAAGCAGAAGGTGCCATCACCCCCATTTCACAGCTTAGGAAATGGAGGCCCCAAGTAGGTAAGGCAGAATTAGGCATTCCTCCATTGCATTTCGGGTGCCTGTATTGTGGTTTCAGAGCTTTGTCAATCACCCCCTATTCAGAGGGCTGAAGGAAAACTTCACTCTCTGCCAAGAGTCACCAGCCCTCTTTGAAACAGCTCTTGTTTGAGCACAAAATCGCACAGGTAAAATGCACTCTGGGGTGTGAGGCACCAGGTGCGATCCAAGTAGAGAAAAGTGCTCATTATTTTGAAGGTTACAAATGGATTTCAAACATGGGACTGTTCTTTTGGTTACTTCCGGAGATGAAAGTGCAATTTTCACAACATACTTTTTCAAAAGCTATCAGAAGCTTCATATTTTTTAAAAACGCGGGATGTCACTCCCTATCGTCTCTGTGGTTCCCTTGTGGTTGAATATTTTAATCAGGTGTTTCTGTGCTTTAAAGATTTTTTCATTTGATTTACAACTTGTAGGAGTGGAGTTGCAGTGAGTAATTAGGAAGAATGCCATAAAGAGGACAAAAGGAAGGTGAAACCCAGCGTTAATAATTCAGTTTCAATAACCTTAAAAGGTTTACTGTTCACTTTTAACCTTGTATCCCAAAAAGCAAGCTACTGCAGTGAATCATAAAAATGTTTCTTTTAATTTGCAAGTCATTTATCTAAGTAGGCTTACAGGGACTGATGCGTTCGTAAAACAAAAAGGTCATGAAATGACAGCAGCTGCTCCATTCCATCCTGGCCATTTGAGGTCGCCTAGCCTTTGATTGGAAAGATCTTAGGGTTTAAACTCTGTAGAGTCTTGCTTTCAAAATTTATAGATTAGTACAGTGCCAAATTTAGTAGCATTTTAGTTAGTACCAGGCAAATCAAAATAGACTCACACTAGTGGAGAGGCAAGAAGAGACTAGAAGTGATTTTTGATGGGGACAAAATGACTAAGAGATTTACAGGTGATATTTAAATCCTAACATCAAAACCAGGGGGCAGGCTGAGGTTAGGCTCGGCAAGGAACTTCGAAACACCTGCAAACTAGAAATTTTACATCTCAGGAGGCCTGCTAAATTAACAGAGAGATTTTTCACCCAGATCTCATTACCAGCCCTATTAAAACAATCCCTGTTGAACATTCTACTACGCCATTGCATAGAAAATCACCAGGTGCATGAAGGTGTGCTTTGTTTCATAATTAAGAGGGGGGTGCATACCCCCGCTAAAGTGGAAGAGCTAATGGCATCTTTTGTGGGGTTTCTTCCTCATCTTTAATTAAAAAATATGTACCATAATAAATGGAACCATTTTTTTTCCTGGAGTTATTTTCTTTCTGCTAATGGAGTTTGTCAGTATTTTGTTTCTCAGTGTTTCAGGCATTCTCTGCAACATTTCCTACTGCCAGGCCCCTCTGCCACAGTTGGGATATCAGCCTCCTAAGACCGCCTTCTATGATTGCCCTTGAAAAAAGAGGGAGGCTGAGATTATTGAGAACTCCAGAAAATGGGTTACTAGATTTTTTCATTTTGATTTTGACATAAAGTGGGCAGGCCCAGCTGAAAAAGTGAACTAATAATTCCTATACCTTTAAAGGATTTTGACTTTTTAGCGTGAACATTTGAAGTGAGTTCTTCTTCCTGCTCTAGGCCTTTAAATACTATGGCTACTTTTGGCCCATCCTGAAATCCTGTGATGATTTGAACTATTTATTCGGTTTTGGTTGATGGACTTGGAATGCGGATCTGATCTTAAAATAGGAATCTTGATGGGCTATTATTTTCAGGTGCCACTGATTATAGAACAGTTAGGTTTTCACCCTTTTTCTTCCTCTTTCTGGTTTTGCATCCCCCACCCCACACGACATCCCTCCTCCCCCATGCCATGTCCCATCCCCCATTTCCCATGCCCTCCTCATCTCCTGTCCTCCATGACCTCTCCAATCCATCTTTCCACTCATGGCTGATTCTTCTTTTTTTCTTCCTCTTCCAACTTCTTCATTGCTGTCACGACCTTCTTTAAAATAAATTTGAAAACTTCAAAAAAAAATTTGTTTTTCTCTTGGAGAAGTGCCCCAAATGGCAAAGTATTTCCCGCCCTTCCCAGTTTTACCAGTGATTTGCTAAGTAGTCCGTCTGTTACTTGGGCACATCTCAGAATTGAGTAGGTTTGTGGAGGGTTGGGTGGGGACGGAGTGGTTAGAAGCTAGTCTGCTTTAAATGGGGCTTAGAGATACTCTCTTGACTCACATCTTCAGGGTGATCATCTGTAGCTTGTTTTTTCATGGTGGTTAGTTAACAGAAGTTGATTATGAGATTTTTCTGGTCCTATTTATTAATTTATTCATTCAGCAAACAATGACAGAGCACCAAGTGTGGTCCTGTGTGCCAACTCCTCCAACTCCTATACTAAGAATGAAAAGATGTCATGTGCCTTCCATAGAATTTTCCAGAATAGAGTCTAATGGGTTGAGAAGTCCTGAGATTCAGAGCATAATTTGGAAACTACAAGCATCTGAAGGTTAAAAGACCAACAGTCAGGTGTGCATGGTGTTCCTTCCTTGTCTTGAATCTCCTTTGTGAGTGATGAGTGATGTTTCAGGGACGTAGGGGCGTGCAGGAGGTGCCTGTGGAAGGGAGGTAGTATTCTGGCATCGGTCACAAACATGAGCCCAGATGTCATGTCTTCAGAGGACAGCTCCTGCCCCCCAATGTGTCCAGTTCCCACTGTCACTCTTCATGACTTCATTATATTTTTTAAGGTATCCGTCAATATCTGAAACTACATTACTTATTTATGTACCTTTTGGTGTCTACCTCCCTCTTTAGAGTCGCAGAGGGAGGAATCCTGCCTGTCTTGTTCAACATTGTGTTCCTAGTACCTAGAACAAAGCCTGACCTGCAATAGGAATTCAGTAAATATGAACTGAATAAATATCCCACGATTCAAAATCCAAAAGCATCTCACCCTTAGGCCACAGTCATGCATGACTGCCTCTGTACTTCATGATTACAAAGCTTCTCCTCATGCACTGCTTTGTCTCAGTGCACGCCACGAGCATGGTTCCATGCCCGTCTATCCCTGTAGTCTGCTGTCTGCTCCAAGGTGTGGCACTTGACACACCGGCCCCCCATTTCCTTATCCATGAAGTGGGATCGCACCACCTGTTACACCTCTGTAACGGGCATTTTAAGGATGACAGTAATAATGAATTAGCCTTTCCAAAAGCTTATCCTTATACATACAAGTATTGAGACTTGTACAAAGGGAGTGTTTTTACAAGGGTAGAAAATGATATGTACCCTTCCTTTTTTGATAATTCAAGGACAAGTTGCACCAAAGCTGTGAGCAGTATCAGATATTTAACACTCTATCTTCCAAGTGATGACGTGTACGATCTAGTTCTCCCTTCCTGGAGAGAGACAGAGACAGCGCAAGAACAAGCAAGTGAGAGCACCCAGGGACAGGGAAGCAGTGAGGTGGACATCCTCCCACCGAGATGTTGATGTCTAAGGCAGGCCAGAGTTACTGGATTTCACACTGTGTCTTCCATACCAACCCACGATTTCCTATCACCCACACTATCACACTATTCCAAGGAAGAAGAATGATGCTCTGATGGATAAGCGTTTGAGGTTTCATAACCACAGAAGTCATTTGTCTAATATAGTTAAAGAGACAAATATTTATATAAATCAAAGCATTTCTTTTTCTGAGAAGAATGTCATTCAATGAGGATGGGGATGGGGACAGAGTTTAAAGATGGCATTTGCTAAAAATGTGGACCCAAGCAGTTTCCTCTAAAGTGTAATTGGCTGTAGTGTTAATCTTTATGTCCATAGTCAAGGAAATCACCATTATAGTTTTCACATGTGAGGGAAGTCAGACATGCCTTGTTTACATTACTGCCATTTATAAAACATTTAAAGCAGCTATTCTGCTGAATAAACATTCAAGAGCCTGAAGGATAAGCATATCACTTAAACTTCTTAAGACTAAACTTTCCAAACCATTTCCTGCCAGAGGGACCCAACAGCAAAATTGCAAACTCTGTGCCCTGAGATGAGATAGGCTGAATTAGATTAAGCAGCTTACTGTTGACATGTCTATTGATCTGGGTTCAGTGCAGTTTCCTGTCTCTGCCAGCAGTCAGATTGCTGTATACAATAACACAGTGTCCTGGTTTATGTGAAATTGGGGACTCCAAGCATCAATTACTCCAGGAAGGCAGTGGCACTAGGAGATAAGGTTAAGCCGCTTGCAGTGTTTAAGACGGCTAAAATCCAAGCAACATATTTGCTGTCTAAAATGTTGCTTACAAATTTGACAGTGTTCCATTTATAAAATTTCCAAAGAGATCATCCAGTGTTGTTCTCTGCAGGTAGTCGTACAAATAGCATTATGAATGCTTATTGTTAAAGTGGTATATCCCACTTGCTCAATTTTGTGCATGTTTCCTAAATATTTGCATACAAATATTGAGCTGGGTAGCAGGACATCAAGAATGTTGTGGCGCCATCTTAGACCATCAGCTGTGCCCAAATGAGGGAATGCAGTTGATGTAAGAAATAAGTGTCGACCATCTGACTTGGGTATTTTCTTTTCTCTGGGACCAATCAAGTAGATTCAGTCAGCTACTCTCTTTGTATTTCTAATACCCATTTATTTGTTTTCATAGAGCAATTATTTTTCTAAATACTAACAACTACATATTTAATGCAAAAAGTGTATACAATACAGAAAAGCAAATGCAAACCACAAATGTCACCACCCGATGACAATTATTTTGAATTTTTGGATGCTAACAGTATTTTAAGTATTATTTTTAAATACACCCTCCTCCATCCACCTGTGCCAGCGTGTGACACACACACTTCTTTGCTAAGCACTCATTTAACTGCGAATATAATTCGCTATCTTTTTTGATTAAAGGAAATATGGCTTTCCTTAGAAGATTCTTACCTCTTGCAGTCCTACAAACGTTATAGAAGGATAGAAGTTAAGCCTATGTTTATGTACTTCTGAAGAGTGTAACTAGAAGACATTTTTATAATCCATGGAGTTGGAACTCTTCAAAATTCTTGATGGGTCAGCTCTGTTCATGCAAGTTGTCCTTAAGTTTCATGCTTAAAATGTAACTTCTTATTTCTGTAAAAGATGTTCACAGAGCAAATTCCACGCTTTCTTGTGAAACATATGTGCTATGAATTGGATTAAAGGATAGAGTTTTGAAAGTGACATTTCAGCTTGCCTATCATGACATTTTATGTATTTTTCAATACATATTTATCTCAGAAATATCTCCCTTACTTTATTACAGGTAGAAACAGAGTTTCACATAAAACTTAGGAAATCCCTCAAATACAGTACTGATGGAAACCAGACCTGGAAATTTGACAAGTCTGGGCACAGTTTACTAACTTAATTGTATTTTCCGGGCTGACCTCCTGAGATTGGTACTGTCCTCAATAAGCCTTTGCAACATTCACACCATTCTTTTCCATTTTATACCTTCCAAGAATGAGGCAAAATGAGTGTATTTAAAGTGTATTTAGCGTTTATTGGCAAAGTTTCAGGTTTTATCTTTTAATGCAATTTTAATTGGTTTTATTGCAGGATTGATGCAAGATGCCCGGAATGCCAATAGGTGAGAGGGCTCTAATAAGCAAAATGGGCCACTGCAATTACTGTTGATCTGACAACCCTTAACAAAACTAGCATGTTACATTCCTGACTGCGTCTCACCCTTAAAAGAAACCAGGCCTGATCATTTTAGATTTTTTTTCAAGGGGCCTAGACTCTTCGAAGTACTGAGAATTCCTCTCATAGTCTTTCTTTACTGAAATGTCTTGACTTTGTAAATTTTTAATTATCTTCAAAATGTCACTTCTGATGTTATGCTTCTCCTGAAAAAGAGGGTCCTCTCTGTATGATGCTTTCAGATATCCGTTATACAATGATGAACCCGATGTAAACAACCACACTTTAAAATAATATATTTTTTTTTATTTTTTGCAGAGACAGAGTCTTGCTACATTGCCCAGGCTGGTCTTAAACTTTTGGCCTCAAGCAGTCCTCTTGCCTGAGCTCCCGAAGTGGTGGAATTAGAGGCATCAGCCACTTCTTTTCATTTATATATTGGTTGTGGTGTCTGCAAGGAAGAGCCAAAGGGAGGCTGCTTTTCTCTCCCATGTGCCCAGAAACGGGCATCACCACCCCACGTTGCTTATGTTGCTCAAAACCATAAGGGCCTTTGTGGTCAGTTTAGCTTGTCATTGATGATGTGCAAGGAAGAATTATTAAATTTTTTGATAAGAATCACATGTATAGCCAGACTAATAATGGCAATAACATTATTAGGACTTTCTGAAATCGCAACACCCACTGCCTCCAATTTGTGAACCCTGAAGAGCTATAAATTTAGGTACTCTACTTAATCAAAAGCATCCACACATGAGAATTAATATAAGGCCAGCACGATGGCTCACACCTGTAATCCCAGTGCTTGGGAGCCTGAGGCAGGAGTATCACTCGAAGCTAGGAGTTCAAGACCAGTCTTGGCAACATAGCAAAACCCCGTCTCTACAAAAAATATATTTTTTTAATTAGCTGGGCATGGTGGTGCACACCTGTCATTCCAGCTACTCAGGAGGCTGAGGTGGGAGGATTGCCTGAGCCCAGAAGTTCAAGGCTACAGTGAGCTATGATCACACCACTGCAACTGCACTCTAGCCTGGGCAACAGAGCAAGACCCTGTCTCTAAAAACGAAACAAAAAAAAGAATTAATATAAAAAGATACCCTGCAAAAAATCAAAATAAGTTGAAAAATGTATAACAGAAAAAAGTCAATCGTTTGTCATTATCACATGAAACATTCATGAATCGTGGAGCAGCACTGCCCACGTCACCTCCTGTCCTCTGCTGCCAGGCAGTGGTTTTACCTTGCCTTTATCCCTGGTATCATGTAGCCATCTTATCTCTGCTATAGGATTGAGAGCCCTTTGAAGGCCTCTCTCTTTTATCTTTACACCTCCCACATAACCAAATAGGAAACCAAACCCTTATAATTGTCTGTAAACATTTATGTAATCATTAACTGAGTCAAGTTAGACCAATAGGCTTTCCAGGCCTGAGTGGAATGTAAGAAGTGAGAATGAAATAAAGGTTGGCTTCATCTGCGCTGTGGTTAGGACATAGTTCATCCCCACCAAAACTCATATTGACGTTTGACCCCCAATGTGGTGGTGTTGGGAGGTGGGGCATGGTGGGCGTGCTTGGGTCACTGAGGCAGATCCTCATGAATAGATTAATGCCCTCCCATAGGGGTGAGTTCTTGCTCTGGTGGGAGTGGATTAGTTCCCAGCAAAGCAGATTGTTAAAGGAGTCCGGCTTCCTCAGTTTCTCTTTCTTGCTTTCTCTCTTGCCATGTGGTCTCTTTGCACACACCCACCCCCCTTTCACTTTCTGCCATGAGTTGAAGCAGGCTGAGACCCTTGCCAGATGCAGCTGCCCAATCTTGAACCTTCTAGCCACCAGAATTGTGGGCCAAGTAAAACTCTTTTCTTTGTAAATTACATGGTCTTAGGTATTCTGTGATAGTAACACAAAACAGAGTAAGATAATGTGATAAAACACTTGGGCAAGCTTTGGAAAGGCCTAAGATAGTGTGGAGAGCAAAGAGAAGCCAGTGAATTTTTAGGGTGACTGAAGCTGATTTTAAGAGTGAAATAGATGAAGAAAGATGAAGGGGCTTCGAGAAGAATGTTCTGATGATGCCTCTGAGCCTGAGGTTTGGTGGCAGTGTTGGTGAAGATAAGTTAGACTCTCCTGGATGTTTGCAAGGCCTCTGAACTGGTTTTTAATCATGAGTTTCTTTTTTTCCAGTTCATCCTCAATGTAAGGGTTTTCTGACCAGGTTGAACTCCTGATTTATTAATGGCTTTTCAAGCTGCTCCACAGAACTCCATCCACCTCTGCGGCCTTTGCCCCCCTCAGAACCCCCCCTGCCCCAACTGACCTTCCCATTGTTCCCTACTCCACGAGGGGCTGTAGGGCGCACCAGGTACAGTCCTGGTCTTGTCTGCCTTGTATTTTTAACATTTTATGGTGACACATTGGGAGTTATTTCCCTAAGTGAGACCCTTTTCTGAATATATCTGTGCCCTCATAGCCTAGCAGAGTATTCAGACTTTTGAATGATGGAAACAAAGCTGTGGGAAAAGAGCAGAATACAAAATAACAATACCAATTTGAGCTAGCAGACATTGCTGTCAGGGGTCGGGCTAGAAAGATGAGAAAAACTGAAGCCTGCTTAGAGAGGTGTTGACAACCACCAGATCCAGAAGAATGACCTAGATAACAGGGCTTCAAGTTCTGACATGATTTTATTAGAGATGTTTCAGAAATCTCTACTGGAGAAGTTGTGGGAACACAGGGGAATAAAGTCACGGGGATGGGGGAGGAGTCATGATGGTAAGTGTTGATTTCCCCAGCATGGATCACCTGATAGCATCATCAGTTAAATTAGGATAATAGCGATTTGAGCATACTTAAGTTAGTAGATGCAAGAATGGGAGGAGAGGGCAGAAATACACATGGAAGCAAAATAGAGCAGAAATATATGGGAGCAAAAAAAAAAAAAAAAAGTTGAGCACTCTGAGATTCCAAAGAAGTAACATCTTACGTGATATACCAAAAAGTGGCCTTTTCTCTTGATGGAAAGAAGGAAGTGTAGTGTCCCCAAATACCAGAAAGAGCCTTGGGAAGATCTTTGGGATAACCCTGGGAAGGTGGAGATACTGATATGCTCACAGACAGTGAGACTCCTGGGGAGAGGAACAGGCATCTCTACTCCTTTTTCTTTTTCTTTCTTTTTTTTTCTTTTTTTGAGATGGAGTCTTGCTCTGTCACCCAGGCTGGAGTGCAGTGGCTCGATCTCGGCTCACTGCAATCTCCGCCTCCAGGGTTCAAGCAATTCTCCTGCCTCACGCTCCCCAGTAGCTGGGATTACAGGCGCCCACCACCATGCTCAGCTAATTTTTGTATTTTTAGAAGACGAGGTTTCACCATGTTGGCCAGGCTAGTCTCGAACTCCTGATCTCAAGTGATCCGTCTGCCTCGGCCTCCCAAAGTTCTGGGATGACAGGCGTGAAACATCACTCCCGGCCTCCATTTTCTAACTAGAACTTTGCTCCCTTCCTCTGTCGTTTCTGCTTTCCCTTTTTCTTCTGCCTTCTCTCTGCGTATGCCCCACTCAGTTCTGAGCATTTGTAAGTGTATCCTCACTCCCTTCCCGCTGGCCTAACTGTGATCTGAAAGAGGAAACACACACTTTGTAGGAGGTGACTTGGCAGAGGCAAGGGCCTACCAGGGCTTGGGGTCACACGGGCCAGAACTGGGCCCAAATCCTTATGCAGCCCCCTTCTAATCTTTACGACCCTAGACACATCTCCACATCTCTTGGTTGGAGGTGATTGCTCTGCCCTCACAGAAATGCAAGAATGAAGGGTCCAGGGAAGAGAGCGAATGTTTATCGGTGCGTTTCATGAGCCTGTCACAGGCTGAAGAGCTGTGTATCTGTTCTCAATTCTCACGTCAACCCGGTGAAGTAGATTCTGTTAATCCGTGTTAATGAGATAACACATGCAAAGACCTTGACACAGTTCCTCACTCCTCCTAAGCCCATAAACATGTCACCTGTCCTCCCTTATGATTGGTAGGTGTCACCTGAACAGGTGAAAAACAGTACGTTCCTTTAATATTGGGGGCACAGGGTCATAGGAGAGTGTGCAGCCAACCCCTTACCACCACACTGTGTTGAAAAGTCAAGTCAGGAAGCAATTGTCTGTATTCCTAAATGACCATTGTGCACTGAATTCTAGTTTTCCTAGAAATTACATGGTTGAAATCATCCCAGACACCCTATTTCCTGAGAACCAAGTCCAGGCTGTGGCTGTGATGATAGTGATGTGGTGAACTTCCTCTAGGAGACCACAGAGTTAGAGTCACTCTTGTTGAATAGTCTGAGCACCTTCCCAGGTATCAAGTTTTTGATCATTAATATCTACTATGTCAATCAGGAGAGAATGATCAATTATTTCCACTTTGTACCGCCGGATGTATCTCTTCTCCTTGTAAGTAGAAAGGTCATAACACCTTGAGCTGTTACGTATACTCCACAGGCCAGCAGGCTCCAGTGCAGAAGGTGGTGTCTAAAAGAAATACTCCCCATCGCCACTCTGCCCACCAAATGTCTCAACCAACATCCACACGCAAAGTATGTGGGGCAATTCACTAGTGAAAGAGTGGTTCTGATTTATGTTAACATGTCATGGAAGAATTAAACCACAAGCTTACTGAATAAAAGAAAACTCAAATATTCCTCATACTCTTCCAATTCCTCTTCTCTCCACCACCTGCACTACACACACACATACATACATGTACAATACATGTGTGAGTGCACACATGACCTGTTTTTGCATTGATTATGATAACAGAGAAGATAGGTGTTTATATGTTATATGTTGGGAAGTTCTTAGTCCTGGCCTCGCATTGAGCACATTTCATAAAGACACAGTATCACTCACATGTTCACATTTTGTTATGAATTCTAAAACTTCCTAGCCTTGCAATGTATGGCTAATTTTATAAATTTACAGCATATAAAATATATTAGAAATTCAATGAGTCTCATCTCCACTAGGTAAGATTTTTGGTAACTGAGGATTAACTTTACATATAAATATTAAAGTGGTGACTTATTTTGGATTTCTATCCATAAATATCTTACCTGATACAGTTTTATCATTATAACAACTTTGTGATAAAAATAATAATGTTAATGATAACTAATAATAGCTAACATTTACTAAATGCTTTCTCTCCCAAGAATTTGCATGCATTTTCTCATTTGGTTTCTGTAGCATCCCTGTGAGGTAAGCACTTTTTTAAAAAACCACATTACAGTACACAGAATATGTAGAAACTTGGAGAAGTGACTCAGCCAAGACCCCATAGCTAGTAATTGGTGGGAACCAAGATTTGAACCTATGTCTCTCTGACCCGTTTCTTTGCTCTTGGTTAGGAAAACTGAATTGAGGAATATTTTTCTCCATTTATAAAAGGTGTTAATTTTTGACTGCCCCCCACAACACACTAATATCTAACATTAATTTTAATATCATTTATCTCACAGAAGACAGAATCAACTATACTTGGCTTCTTGAAGCAATTCTCTTCCTCGCTCAAACTCCGTTACTGCCCCTGATGACATCTCCACATCAGCTCTGCCTTGTTCATGTCGAGAATATTTAATAGCATGACATTAAAAGAATCCTTGGGGCTCCTGCTCCTGATAACCAAATCAACCTCCAACTACATATTCTGCTAGATTTTTGATGAGAAATTTCCTGTGAAATGAAGTTTGTTTCTCATTCAAACAACCAGTGCATTTTTCAGTGAAAGTGCTGTTCATCTCTTGACCCAAGAAATAGAATTAAAGGAAGAAGGGATTCTAGGTCACCCAAGTAGAAAGAAAATCTGAAGTCATCTTTTTCCCTCTAGTTAAAGTTTACTTTGTCTTACATTTTTTATTCCTAGTCAGAATATTATATGTGGAATTTTAGTTTGCATGAAAATGGTCATTCTCAAATACTCTTTTCACCATAATGTATCTATTAGACAAGTATATTTCTGAAAGCTTAAAGAACTTGAGGTATTTAAATTCTTGGAGTAATTCTAACATGTCTGTTTATTTATAGAGGTTTCAAACATTTAATAGTCATTGAAGAACTGTGGGCTCCCTTTTTAATTTTTTCAATGACATCAAAACCCTCGATTGTTAAATGTCTGAAAGGAACTCAGAATGCTTGCCCCACACCATGCTGATAGCTACCTGGCTGCCTAGGAATCTGATGGCCCTCGGCTCCTTGAGGTTCACAAAGACTGATAGCTGGGTGGTACAGCTCCTGTTTCCTGAACGCTCACCCTGCATGAGCAGTTCTAGGGGACCGTTGGGTCACGCTTAACACATTTCTGTAGCCATCTTTGCCTACCTCTCTTCTCTGCGTCCTTAACCCTCTGCAAAATGATTTCACAAGAAATCAACTATAGATGCCTGTGCCATGAGGTGTGATCTATTAGTAAACAGCCTTGTTAAAAACGTACTGAAAGGCTGGCATTCCCCTGGTGGTCCTGGCAAGGATTCATAAGATTGAAGAGACATGTTAGCAACATTAGATGAGAAGTCACTAATAGTGCTGTTCTCTTATAGAACAATTGGATAACTAGTTATGCAAAGCCTCTATAATTTGGTTCTGCTGCCCCCATTCAGGCCACCTGCAGACAGTCTTCACTTAGGCACCATCCTTATTGCCAATTACTTTTCTTCGCTGAAATACTTCTTCTTTAATGAATGTTATTATTTACACTTTGCAGAGTAGTTCATGACAACCTGATTTGACTTGTGTCCACGACAGAGACTTTTATTTTTTAGAAGACATGTAAGAAAAAAAGTAAATCATGTGTTCATGGTTATGTCTCTAAAAAATGCAATTCTGCTGATGTGTAGCTAAAGCAGCCTATTAATTAGCAAAGGCACTTAAAATTGTTTTACACCACAGACAGTATTCAAGCTTTGAGAAATAAAAAGGTGTGTTCTTTGCATGAGAAGTTCAGGCATATATTATCCAGAGAGAGCTCATTACTTTTTTCTCTTTTACAGAAAGTTAGATAACAGCCTCTTTTGACAGAAAAATGTCTATTTTCTGACAAAGGACCGGAGGCATTCTTCTTAAAATCAGTCATTCTGGGTTTTCTAACAAAGCCTCGATGTTGTTCATTCTAAAGAAAATTGTGTCACCTTAAAAACTAGATTCATGCTGGGTTTTCCTATTTAACATAGGGATTAAGAGATTTAAAACGAAACTCTTGGTAAATATCAGTTGGAATGTCCATAAAGTTTACTGTGTCTCTTCATTAGTGGGCGGTTTTGGGGATTTGTAAAAAGGGTGAAAATATCATCTTGGTAAAAGAAAAGGTAGAGTACACATTTAACCCTTAAATGATTCTGTGCCTTATTTGTGTAACTTGCTTTGTCCTGAAGTGAGTGAAACTTGATCCATGGTGTCCCAGCCTGCAGTGACCTCTGACACTCCATCTGAGGACCAGGGACAGTTGTTCTACTCCCACCATTGGAAATGCTTTTGCCAGAACCCCACGGCTGGGGTTTCACTTTTTCTGTGTCCTGACTCGTTTGCATTCAATTACTTTAATGCTGAGAGATGTAGGAAATCAGCTCCATCTCTCAGCAGTTAGGGTGAGGGTTGCTTATTGAAAACACTTGCTGCTGTGCTTATTTTTAAAATATATTTGGTTACCTTTTTGTCCCCACCCAAGAGTGACAAAACAACCAACCATTTGAATGGGAGCTAATCAGAATACTGAATTTTAACTCATCATGAGCCCCTGTGTGAGATAAAGGAGGAAGTATTTGAGGCGTGAATTGCTGATGTAGGCTTGATAAGTCTTGTTTTCCTAGTTAAATTGTAAGCAGAGAGGCCTCACCCATCCCAACCAAACACACAGGTGAGCATACCTGTGTGCCAGCACACACCATGGCAGATGGTGGCTTAAAGCTGGGCACACAGTGACAGCTAGGTGCTTGTCAGTTGATGAAGCTGTGTAATCTAGAGTCCAGGATTGATCCTGTGAAATTATAGGTGATACTGCTTTTCTCTGGCTGTATGGGACAAGACCTCGATCTAGTAGTGAGGTAGGAGGTGAGACTTTACTCCAGACCAGACTGAAGACTGGTTGAAACAGAAGAGGTGAGAGCACCTCTCCATAAGACACACCTACCAGTGCCATGTTGGTTTACCATTGCTATGGCAACACCTGGAAGTTTCCACTGCTTTCCATGGCAGCAACCTGGAAGTTACCACCCTTTTTCTAGAAATTTGTAAATAACCCATCTCTTAATTTGCATGTAGTTAAAAGTGGATATAAACATGACTGCAGAACTGCTCCGAGCTGCTTCTCTCCACCCACTGCCCAGGGAGTAGCTCTGCTCTGCAGGAGCAGTCAGGGAGATGCAACACTGCGTCCTCAATAAAGCTGTTTCCTTCTATCACCGACTGGCTCTGGAGTTCTTTCCTGAGTGAAGCCAAGAACCTTCCCGGGCTAAGCCCCAGTTTTGGGGCTTGCCTGTCCTGCATCAATAGGAGCTGACAAATCTTAGTAGCCCAAGGAAGGCCATAAAAGGGGCTCACTCCAGGCAAACGCCGCCCATTTCCTATTTCCTACCTGTGCTGGATTTGCTGAAACCGTCACCATAGTGAATGACATCTGAGACCTGTAGTCTGGTTTCATACCCCAATATGCTGAAGATGTGCAATGAATAGCTAGGGGCGCTAGAGCCCTGGACCAGCAAGCAGCCTGTGCCACTGACTGCCACTGTTCTTGTTCCTCCTGGCCCAGCAGCCACCTTCCACACCTGCACTGGGACCTCCCACTGTGCCTCTCCTCCCTTCCATGGACTTAAGTGAAGAGGTGGTCAAATTATGCTTGACTGCTGTGATTTATACATGTGAAAGGGTTTTTTAAATGATCCATGTGGATCTGCTTTTCTCTGGCTGTATGGGACAAGACCTCGATCTAGTAGTGAGGCAGGAGGCAAGACCCCACACAGCCACAGGTGCTGCCCCTCCTCCCAACATCAGCATCGGTCCTCAGCCATGAAGTGCTGTAGTTTAGTGGCAGCAGCCATCAGATGCGCAGCCCCAGGGGATGGGGGGACTGTATCCGGAGCATACGCTGTGGTGGTCTGCCTGCCGCCAACTACAATGGCCACAGCAGGAACAAGTCAAAATCCTAAGATATGTGGCTTTTTCTTGACCCCAGAGGAAGCTAGGAAAGTGAAGAGGCAGGAGGAAGTGCAGGAGGTGAGTCCCTGCCCATCTTCAGGCCCAGCCTCTGCTGCCGCCATCCCCTTCCTCTCCAGCTCCCAGGCTTTCACCACACACATCGCTTCACCCTCTCCCTGGCCGCCCACTTCCTCTTCTTAGAGCCTGGCATTCTTCTTTCAAAATTCAAGTCCCTCTGCTTGCCATTGCATCTGACACCTTACCGCACTCATACAGGATTAAGGTTTGTGGATTTGACTTCTGAAAACTGATAAAGTGAACAGAGGAGTGTTTTTCTTAAAATAATTTTTTAAAAACACTGCAGATAGATTTGAATGCTTTATTAATTTGTTTTCTAACGCATGAAAACATTTTTCATTTCACCCGGCCTATCTAGCATGCTAAGAGAATTTAGGCCAGATAGGAATATTTATCAATTGAGTTCAGATGTCAGCATAACAGGCTAAATACAGTCAGATTAGGCAAGTTCAACAAACAGGTGTTAAAGATCTCATTTCCTGCTGATTCTCACCTGAAAGTCCCAGTGACCTCAGCATCAGATGTCTCTTAGTTGAGAAATACAAAATCAAAGATTTTTTTTCCAGCAGGTGTATAACACACCTAACTGATTTCACTAGAGCCCTGAGGCTGATGTTGGTGAAATGTGCTTATGATGCAAAGGTTTACAGTGTGTTGTTTTCCAACTTTTTTGATGATAATCATCCCCAGACTCAAATTACTCCCTATAGTTGCTATAATGATGCAGGCACAATCGTTTGGCTTAATTACGGTTGACTGTCTAAAACTACCTTCCCCTGGAGTCATTGAAAGTTTTATTGGAGTTCTTTAATATGATTATAAAAATTAATGGACTTGTAATTAGGTATAAGAGAAGCACATCCAAAGTTTGCCAAATAAACAAGTGTTCTACTTATGAAGTCACACATTTCTGCTTATGAGCCCATAATATAGATACCACGAATTCAAAATCTTATGCTGGCTTGTGTTTACATCAAGAAAGATGATTTGAAAATGAATTCAGATCCTCTTATTGTAGGGGGGAATGTAACGTAAGCACACCCTTAGGATGATCCTGTATGGCAGATGCATCTGAATATGTGTTCCAAGTTAGGGCATCCAGGAGTAGCCAACCCAGAGATTCATTCCTTGTCTGTGAAGAACATCTGAGCCCCCATCCTGTTCTGTTGAACACAAGCTGTATGGAGGATTGGGGCCCTGAGTTTTGGGTTAAATGAAGGTTGCAAGGTGGAGGTCGTTAAGGGGAGGGTGTTAAGTGAAAACGCTGTATATAAACTGCATGCTGTTTGCAAGTGGTTGTGGTTTTCCTACCCAGCCTGCCAACACTGCGCCGTGAGGTTATGCTTTCCAGCCTGCCACCACTGGACCATATGTAAGGTGGTTATCTTGTCCAGCCCACTGCCACTGGACTCTCTTTCCTTTATGTAAGCCACTAATAAAACCCCATGTGTCATTCGCTTGCTCTGGGTCTCTCCTTTGGCCTCTTGAACTTGGTGCCTTTCCTATTGAGGTTAATAGAGGTTCCACACGGTACTTGCAACTTTCTTTGAAAAGGGAATACGTTATCATTAACATCAATACTGTCAACACTATCAGTAAATGTTGATGTACTTACCTTTCTACATACCTTCCATTTGCTAAGTGAGATCTAGGCTTAGTCAACACATTTACTATTCAGAAACCTCTAATCAAGTGATAGAACTCTGACTTATGAAAATTATAACTACAATCTAGCTGCCACTGAGTTTTAATCATAACATGAGAGGCGTCTTTGAGGCATTTAGAACCTTCTTTGAAAGACATTAGATATCTCCCAAACTTCCCTTGCACATGAACAAAATGTCTTCACATTATCCCTTATTTTATTACTTGAGTGTGTCTTCTGCTGTTGCAAAACCAGGCATTGACAGATCAATAGAACTCAGGTGTGTGGATTCCTGGTGGTACTTGTCTCTGAATATACAGTCGGCCCTCTGCATTCATGGGTTCTGCATCGATGGATTTGACCAACCACAGATCATAAATACCCGGGGAAAAAATGAATGAATGATTGCATCTCCACTGAACATGTTCAGATATTCTTTTCCTTGTTATTCCCTAAACAGCACAGTATAACAACTATTTACATAGCATTTGCATTGTATTAGGTATCATAGGCAATCTAGAGATGATTTAAAGTATACAGGAGGATGTGGGTAGGTTATATGCAAATATTACACCAGTTTATATAATAGACTTGCACATCCGTGGATTTTGGTATCCACAAGGTGTCCTGGAACCGATTCCCCGTAGATACCAAGAGACAACTGTATTTGGAAAGCTTCAGAAGCTTTGCAGATGAATGCAGAAGGCTGGGAGTCAGTGGGAGCTTTCCTAACCTCAGAACAGCCATTCATTTGATCTGTGTCTAGAATGAGAGTTTCTCTGTGTGAGCTATGGGTGATTAATCCATTTTGCCTTCATTCTTCAGTGGTTTGGCATATAGATTGAAGTGTTTTGCTTTTCTATTTATTGGCGGAGGCAAATAGAAACAGAGCTCTCTCTCTCTCTCTTGCAGTGTACCCACACTCCAAAGTGCCATAAAACGACCTTCAAAACTAAACCATCATATTTTCTTGGCACAGGCAGAGCGAGAAACTGGGGATGGGGCTGCAGCTGGCAGTGGGGCCAGGGTGCTGGAGTGGGGGTGTTAGCAAAAGGTAACTGTGCCCATTTGGTTGTGTTCAAGTGCAGACCTCAGTGAATTGAAGTTCTAGCCTCTCAGGATGCCAGACATTGTGGCTGCTTCTCAATCACAGCCAGCTCAGTACAGCCATTGTCACTGAGAGGGTTTACTGTTGTATTTTTTTCTGAATCTGAGCCATTTGTGTGTCACAGTAAGGGAAATAGATTCATGTATTGTGCCTCAAGTATTGCCAGGAAAGCAACATATTAAGCACATACTTAGACCCTTCTTTTTCCTTCTGTTATTAAATTGGAGATAAACTCATATAAAGAGTAGATTCTAGAATGTAATTTGGCTATATTGATGCATATAAGAAATGCCACCCTTTGCAAAATCAACAGGGAGTAAAAGGAAGAGAATGTTTTATTGAGTTCTCAGATATGTTGAGCAAAGTTTTAGTCTCTTGCCTGGTTCTTGATCATCTGTGTGATGTGGTGAAGTCACTTAGCTTTCTGTACCTCTGTTAACATGCCTGTGTCGTTTATGCAGTGTGACATTTGGACTAGAAATGATGCTTTCCTCTTCCAAAGAGTGGCTCTCAATCTCAGTGGGCTCTTTCACACCTCTTATCTGTAAAAAGTTGAAAGTATACGTAATGAATATGTTCAGAAGTCTTTAAAATATTTTCACCAAATGCAGTGCCTCATGCCTATAATCCCAGCACTTTGGGAGGCCAAGGCTGGAGGATTGCTTGAAGCCAAGAGTTCAAGACCAGCCTGGGCAACATAGTGAGATCCCATCTTTATAAAAGATTTAAAAATTAGCCGGGTATTATGGTATGTGCCTGTAATTCCACTACACAGGAGGCTGAGGCAGGAGTATTGCTTGGTCCCAGGAGGTCGAGGCTGCAGTGAGCTGTGATCACACCACTGCACTCTTGCCTGAGCAACAAAGAGAGACCCTGTCTCTAAAAAAAACAAAAATAGGCTGGTTCGATGGTAGTGGGTTATCAGAACTTATTAATGTTAGTGTCACAAAAGTTGGTGTTAACCCCCCACTGCTAAAATCTGACTGGCTAAAAATAGTAAAAATGAAAACAAAAAATGATACTTTGCAAGCCCCCTGATCCTTTTTTCCAAGAGCAATGGTGCACTGGGGTGGGGATCCTGTCATTCAGTGTTTCCTCCCTGGTATCCAGCACAAGGTCAGCAGAAGTGAGTGCTCAGTGAATGTTTGCGAAACAGAACGACGTTTCTTCCCTTTAGTTTTTACGATAATGGAAGCTCTGTATCCTGATGGTGTGGTTGGTACATGAATCTCTTGATGTGTTAAAATTCATTTTATTTTTTAACATACCCTAGAGTTGCTTTTTTGGGTGAACAACTCCTTGAATTTTAACACACAGAACTTCATACCACAAAAAAAGTCCATTTTACTGTATGTTAATTTAAAGATAAAATTTTAAAACATGGCTCCCCTTTTGAAAGAGTCACTTTCAGCACTCTGAAGAGATGAACCAACAACTGAAACTTCTCTCTCCAAAGCATTCTATGCCCTTAGTATAGATGGCTTTTCATTTCCTTCTAATTATAGTTCTCTTTGATTTCTTCATAATTTATTTAAATAAACTTTTTACGCTGAGATAAGGATCTGCGTTTGTTATAAAATACTGCTTTTAAATAATGAGAGAATACTGTTCCCTTCCAATAAGTTTTTCAGTGGAAATAAAATGATTTCTTAGCCTTTCTTGAAGCAGCAACGAACAGAAGTATTAGTGAACAGCATTCATTGAGTGCGGTATGCCACAC
The DNA here is from genome assembly GCF_000001405.40 of Homo sapiens. NCBI lineage: Eukaryota > Metazoa > Chordata > Mammalia > Primates > Hominidae > Homo > Homo sapiens. Next base: position 34,201,251 of record NC_000010.11, on the reverse strand, counting down.
TGCTAGCTCAGTAACCTGCCTTGGTTCCCTTTATCCTCAGAGCTCCCCCAAGGTACATGACTGCATCTTTCTTCGACAGATGAGAACTTAAAGACTCAGAGTGGCCCATAGTACATGGTGATAGAGATGGGATTGGAACCCAGTTCTGTCTGTCTCTAGATCCCATGCCTTTCGTATTCCAAGAGGCCTCCCTGTAAACAGATACAGTTTATAAAGATAATTTGGCAGGTGCGTGTGTCTGCATGTATACACAGGCACTCACACATACATTGGAGAGAGGAAAGGCAGGCAGTGGGGGGCAGGGGGTTGCCAAGGAGCTGCCAGAGAGTTTGTTCAGTGTCTTCCCTGTTTCTGAAATAGCAGAAGCTGATGCAGGAACAGCTACATTCATTGAGATGCCTGTGTCGACCACTGCAGCCAGCTGAAAAACCATCTGCTCTTATAGCCCTGGCGTCTGCATGTGAGCTTTTGTTCCATAATGCAGCAATATCCCTAGAGTGGAGAGAGCCAGTAGCCTAGTAACTAATGCTTTGTCCCCTCCTTTTCCTGTTGTCACGACTCTGTGTCTGCAGCTAGTCCTCTATTTTTTACTGTCCATCTAGTGAGTGGCTGGACCATCACTGATGTGCTGTTGATGCCTTATCAGGGTTCAGTAAGTACTAAGCCATGTGATGGATGGGCAGAGGGCTGGCAACAGTTTCCTCTTTCTGCTACAGACTAAGACTCCTTAACTAGAGATGAGGCAAGGAAACAGATAGACCCCATCTGCTGCCACAGATTCATTTCCTGACTTGCATTTCTTGCCTCTCCTGCGGGTTTGTTAACTCTTCAGTCTTTGGCAAAAGTTCCATTGGGCAGCAACCACAAATATCAGCCATCCCCCAATAAGTTTACTGTCTGCAGGAAAACGAAGATTTTTTTTTTCCTGTTATTGCTTAAGAGGTGTTGGAAGTCAGCAGTCTCGGGTCTTGCTCTAACTGCCTCTAATTAGCTAGGTGACATTATACCAGTTACTTAAAGTCTATAAGCTATATTCTTCCATGAAAGAAGAATTATAAAACTCCCTATCTTACAAGGTTGTTTTCAAGATGAACTGAGATAATGAATTGAAGCCACTTAACATAACTAGAGATCAATTGTGATTATGATTGTTATTTGTAACCAAGATCTACATGATCATAGCTCACAAAGATAGTTCATTTATAAAAATCCACTTTCTTTGACCATGATCTTCACTTACCAATCATGTTTCATGGCTGTCAAGATGATTTCCTCTACTTTACCAAACTCAGGATAATAACACAATATCCTGGAATCACTAAACCGTTTTTCATGGATGTGGTATTCTGTTTTTTTGGGGTCGGGCAGTTGTAACACATTCGAATAGTCTTTGTTGCTAAAGAACCTAGGAGAAGCCAGGTAGAAATTGCTCTAACGAGGGACTTGCCTCATTTTATGGCCCAGTTACTGATTTCTCCGGTTCTCATTAATCACTTGCTCAGAAGGGAAAGCTTGCATCCTTTATTCTTGAAAGTAGGAAGGAGGTGCTCTTGCTCCACAACTAGTAGGAAGTAAATGTTTGATACTCCTATTTTTTTAAATTCTATTCATGCTTTTATTCAGGTTTTTCAGATTTGCTTAACACAGCAGGCCAGGCTTTGCTGAAGGTAACCGGGGTTGGGGGTGCCGCCCATGGCTGTAGGGCAAAACAAAGCTCCCTGGTCACCCTCATGAAACCATGGCCATGACCTCGTTAACTCTGAGCTCTGCCTTCACTGACCAGCCACTGGGGATTGTCAGCTTAGGGCAATTACCCCTTAGTCCTCACACCAGCTCCACGTGTGAGATGCCTGTGGCTTCTCCAGGCTAAGCCCTGTCACCGAACCAAACTGGGTCCATTTGCCTGTTCACAACAGAAAGCCAAACACCAAAGCACTAGGTTTTTATAGCAAGCAAGGTTAATTGTGAATTGACTGACAAGGAGACAGGAAGATATGCTCAAATCTATCTCCCAAAGCTGGGGCCTGGGTTGCATTTTATGAGCATAGGATAATGAGGTCCGATCTGATTGGATTTTGAGATGAGGTGATGCTGGGAGGCACGATCTGATTGGATCCTGTCATGGGGTGATGCCAGAGCTCCATCTTATTGGATCCTGGATCCTGCCATGTAATGTCCACTTCTTAATTCAGTCCCATTCCTTGGTCCCAGTGCTTAGGTTCTGCCCATGGTTGCATGCTTGGATCATCTAGGGATGCCCAGGTTTTGTGACCTTTAACCTGAGAGTCCATGGCAACTGAAAAGCAACTCACAGCTTGGTTGCATAAAAGTTGAACCAGATTGGTCTGACGTTGTTACAGCTGTTCCACAATGGAGCAGGGCTCCTGAGCATTAATGATCACCCATCGTGACACAGTCCCAAATACATGGGAGGCCTGGGGTTAAATCTGACTGTTTGACTTTCCCTCTGTATTTGCCTGTTTTCTGACACCTTTCTAAGGGGTTGACTGTTTGGGGCAATTTTTGTAATCTGTAAAGGACATCAGGGTGCACTTCAGTTGACTGTTGTAAAACAAAATGACAGGTAGTGAAAATTTTCTATCAAAATAGAATAATTTTAACTTTTAAAATAAGGTGGCAGCATTCATTATAAATATTCTAAAATGCAGAAAAGTATAAAGAAAAAATAATAATGACCCCACTACCCACTGACATCTTCTAGGATCATCCTTCCAGTTATCTCTTCACAGACACACACACACATACACACACACACACACACACACACACACACACACCAATTAGTGATTTCAGATAGGCATTCTTATGGATTTTTAATTAACTTTAGTTAAAATTGGTACCCAGGTTGGAACTTAGTGAAATATGATAAATCTGTCTTTTGCTGAGTCACTAAGTGAATGTTGACTGTTTACAGAAAAAAAGACAAAAATGTGAAACTCATAATCACCAGCATTATGTGTGATTTTTATCTTCTTTTTAAAATAGCTGCATTATCCTGAATTTAATATGGTTCCTTAAGATCAAAAAATGAAGTGATTTTAAAATTGGCTAGAAAGTATCTATTTGCTTGGCTTATTGAATTTTTTACAACTTTAATTTCTGAATCTTGCTGTTATCATTGTTAATGTTAGAAGCTGCAATGTGAATAGCAAGGTCCGAAAACCATTTTTCACTTTTAGCTTCTTATTAAATAACAGCAGATTCGGCCGGGCGCGGTGGCTCATGCCTGCATTTTGGGAGGCTGAGGCAGGCGGATCACGATGTCAAGAGATCAAGACCTCAAGACCATCCTGGCCAACATGGTGAAACCCTGTCTCTACTAAAAATACAAAAATTAGCTGGGCGTGGTGGCGTGCGCCTGTAGTCCCCGCTGCTCGGGAGGCTGGGGCAGGAGAATCACTTGAACCTGGGAGGCAGAGGTTGCAGTGAGCTGCGATCGCACCACTTCACTCCAGCCTGGCGACAGAGTGAGACTGTGTCTCAAAATAAATAAATAAATAACAGCTCACCTCCTGCAGTAGGAGCAAAGGTTACCCAGCAAAATATAGTGGAGAATTCAAACGAAGAACTAGTTACCTTGTGTTAAAAATACTTTAAGGTAACCTGGAGGCCTGAATTTATTAGCTCACGCAGCATACACCTAGTCTAAGTAAGAGAGAAGGGATGGAATAATTTTTATGTCCCAAAGTCATTAAATGCAAATTAATGATGTCTACATTGTTGAAGTTTTGACAAAGGAACACATGCTGGAAGCTTGGAGGTTGATTGCTGAGGAGGTTTGTTTGGTGGGAATGGGCGGGTGGCCTGTGTTTCTTCTGAGAGGAGAACGTGTAGTCCTAAGTGTTCATTCTGAACTAGGAGTTCGTGGACAAAAACCAGTCGGGGGAAGGTTTCATTCCAGGCCTGGTCCAATCAGTTCCCTCAGATTGAGTAGTTAACACATGAAGAGCATCTGTGAATACTCAGAAGCCAACTCAATCTTGAGAAGCAAGCAAGCATTTTTCCTAAAAATAGCTGGTATTTGGTCACTGTGATAGATCGTTTAAGATTATGAGCTAAGTGTGTGTACATACACACACTTTAAATCGGGAGGAGAACACAGTTTTTGAAGACCCTGCATTCTTCATATTAATTTAACTTGGTTTTGAGCTGAACATTGCTCGTGTAGTGGGTGCAGATGGGAAGGCACAGGATGGCAAAGCATAATGCCTCCCTGGCCTCCAGATACCACCAGCCATTTCGTGAGGTGGATGGACAGACAAAGCTTGCGGTTCATAGTAACGCCAGTATCAAAAGAATTAGCATGGGAGGCACCTCGTGGGCTGTCACCCAGACACAGGCCTTAGGGCTGGTCTCCTTCTTACCTACATTAGCAATCAGAACAGAAAAGGGCACTCTGGGAGGCCAAGGTGGGCGGATCATGAGGTCAGGAGATAGAGACCATCCTGGCTAACACGGTGTAACCCTGTCTCTACTAAAAATACAGAAAATTAGCCAAGTGTGGTGGCGGGCACCTGTAGTCCCAGCTACTCGGGAGGCTGAGGCAGGAGAATGGCATGAACCCAGGAGGCAGAGCTTGCAGTGAGCCAAGATCGAGCCACTGCACTCCAGCCTGGGCGACAGAGCGAGACTCCGTCTCAAAAAAAAAAAAAAAAAAAAAAAGAAAAGGGTACAAAGTATTTGTAACTCAAAAGACAATACAGGCAAAACTAAGTAACAAGAAATACTACTGTCATGAAAATCATTTCTCTCAAGCATTGTTCAATTTAAGATGGGAGCTAGGACCATCCTGTCTGGTATCAAAAATTGTCATCAACATAAGAACCAGTGCAATATAAGGAGATTCCAAGATATTAAGAATAAAGGTGATTTTTTTAAGTGACTCTCAAATGAGAGTGCTCTTTAACTGGAGTTGATGGGGTATTAACAAGCGGAGCTTAAAGCACTCTATTCAAAGGTATTATGTATTATGTCACAAAGTGGAGATGTGGTCATTGTACGCCACGTAACCCTGCAGAGCACAGGAATACAGAACTCTGTCTGGGTCACTTATTTCTAGAAAGCTATAGACAAAGGAGCTCACAGGCCAGCAACAGAATTGATTAAAGGGATAGGAAGAGTCATGATGAGAGCAAATTAAGTGGCAGAAGTATGAATAATTGGGCTAAGAAAGGGTGAAGTAAGTTTAAAGTAAACCAATTCTATTATAGCTAATATTTCTTGAATGCATATTCTGTGCCCCAGGCACTGCATAAGCCCTTTACGTGGGTTTAGTTTTCACAGCATTTCACTTTCACAGCAACTCTGTGAGTTACCACTGTTATCCACGTGTACCGTACCAGGAAACTAAGGTTTGAGGTAATGGTTAAGGAGCTTGGCCTCATTTTCATAGCTAGCGAGTGGCAAGATTTTCAGGTTTGCAGTGATACACTCTGTCCTGTGCTATTTGATGTCATCACATACCTCTTCCTAAAATTTGGATTGGGATGTTTGTGCCCATCCACATGACTCTAAATACATGTTTTCAGTGTTGCCTCTATGTCACCTTCTGTCCCTTCTCATTCTTCTCGGAACATGTGATGCCTTATATTCTTAGTTATGTAAACATCTTGTCTCTTAAACTGGAGCTGATTTCTTGAGGATGGAGAATGTGTTTCCTGTCCAATACATAAGCACTCCAGAAGTGTTTGCCTTTGATGTGTTTCTTTTGATTATGTCTGTTTAAAGGATTTTTCTCTGATAAGCACCTAGCATGTTACTGTGTGTTGTCAGTTACTACTCGTTTTAGTACGTGTGTGTGTGTGTGTATTTGTAGCAGGCGTTCTGTGCATGTGCATTGTATTCATTATATGCACAGAATGCCAGTTCTAAGTGCCAGGCACTACTTGAACAACAAAGAAAAGAGTAGACACTTTGCTCAGTGTGGTGAAGAAAATCCCCTGTCAGCCCTGAGGATCCTATTACAAGTCTGAAAGTGGGCATACAAAAATAATTAAGTTTGTCTTGAAGTTAGGATTAGAAAAGATGAATATTTATTAAAGAAAGCATAAACATTGGATTAATTGTGTTCAACTTTTTGCAACTTATTTTGCAGCTACTCCGTTAATTATTGATTGCAGTTTTCCTTAAGAGACATTGTTTGGCATATTTATTTGTGAAGTAAAGCAATTTGGATTCTCCTATTAATTTTACATAGAGAAATTACGTTGGTATATCTTGAGATAGGAAGGTACAAAATCAGGACAGGCTTATTCTGCCAGGCCCAATGTGGCACATCTGTTTTATAAGTAAACAGAAGTTGAAATTTTATCTTAGATAAAGTTCATCAAATTTTACTTTTGCTAATACATGTAATCACCTCAGCTATATAGTTTAAGTATTCAATGACAGTAAACTAGTAAGTATTCTTAATAAACTATAAACTGTTAAGTATTTAACTATAACTATCTAAGAAACTCTTAAGTATTTTTAAGCATGGAGATTGATCCCCTTCAGGGACTATGAATAATAACTTACACATTTCATCTTCAGTCCATCTCCCCATTATCCACCTAACACTGCCTTGAACATGGAGGGGAAAAAAAAGTGTTAATTTAAGAAAAAAAAAAAAAAAAAAAAGCTTTGGCATATTCCAGGGTATTCATAGTGATGTCTTGAGTTATTTTACGAAACAGTTCCAACTGATTTCCAGAAACCACAGTTGATGCATAAATTCCCTAATTTGTTTACTTTAGAGAGATCATCTCAAGTGCAGCATCTGTTTTTTGCTTTCTCTGTGCGATCTTGGTTTTACATCAGGAGGAGTGAGGCACAGGGACGTACAAGAGCGGCTCGGGCCACACAGGCAGCTCCTGAACCTGCTGTGTGCTGTGTCAGGAGCTTTCTGAAACAGTGGTGGGTGTGCCTCCTGTTACTGCTCTGGGTGGGCAACTTCCACGTCTGCCTTTTCAACTGTTTCTCAAGGATAAACTCCATCTGCCAGATAACATTATTTTACAACTAGAAGAATGTCACAACTCAAATTTTGCTTAGTATGTCTTATTTTGGAGAAGCAGCTTTCTTCTGTGAAGCTCAGAGCAGTAACCTAAAATTACTCTCAATATGTAGAGGGAGAGCCTTCTGGAAGTGCAGTGGTTATTTATGAAGCTTGGGTGGGGGAGCTCCCTGCCATGTTCCAGTGAAATCGGAGAGATAAAATTTTAATGTTGGAGGCTTTTCTACCATTTTGCTTCTTCTGCAGTCCTTGCAGAAGCAGCTGCTATAGGAAATCTATTTCCAGAGCCCTGTCCAAGCCCATGCCCAGGGTCACAGGAGGAGGAGCACCCCGTAGTTTGTGATGTTAGTAGAAAATTCAGGGCATTGAAAACCAGGAAAGTATCAACAGCCTCCATCTCTGAAAAATAGCCAACTGAATTTTCTCTCATAAAGGGTGGCCCACGCTGGTCCTCCAGCTTCACTTAGAGCTCTTGTAAAGATGGGCAGGAATTATTGTGAATATAAATTCGAGCTGAAGAGAAGAGAGGGAAGTGCAGAAAATCCAATTAACTGAAGCGAAAGTCATACAGAATAAACTACCCATTGCTAAAAGAAATAGGTTTTAAATTGAATGAATCTTTAGAGCAGAATTGATCAAATATGTCCTTATTGTATGAGAAGATGCACTTTGCAAATAATATTTGTCGGGAGGCATCATCTGCTTGAGGATGTTTCATCTTCTTGGTAAGAAGGCCGTTAGAAGTTTGGAGCCTTTTTCATCATTGTTATTAACTTGCAGGGGAAAATCTTCCTATTCCAATATTCATTAAATGGATCTCTTTGTGTATACAAATAGTAAAAGTAGTTTTGAAAGTACTATAGGTAAGCAAGGGGAAAAAATGCACTGTTTGTTTCTTCATAGAACTGACATTTTTATTTAGGGAAAAATCCATGAATTTACAATCTCTCCCTTTCTAGGTTTTTCAACATTTCTTGCAAATTGTATGTAAATGAATGCAAATAAGCAATCCTCACTAGCAAGCTGCTTAGAAGTGTAAAATGCATAAAATTAAGATACTGAGAGAAACGTGCATCTAATTAAGGTAGCATGTAAAGAAATGTTTAAATTCAAATTAGATACTTCAGTGGAAAGAATTTACTTGTTTAATTCAAAAGGTGTTTTGTATAATTCTGAGAAGCTTGTCCTTAGCAGTACTTCCATTTCCTTCAAAGCTCCAAAAATCAGTTTTAGGAGCTTGCCCTGGTTCAGTTAAACTTTAAAATTGGGTTTAAGCTAAGAATTGGAATGTCATAAAAATACGTTCTAGTTTTAATGCCTTTACCTCAAAAACAGACTTAGAGAGGCGGGCATGATAATTTGAGAGTGAGAGTGGGTGGATGTGTGGATCACTATTTCTATCCCATTCATAGAAATGGCACGTGGTACTTGGATTTCATGGGTTCTTAGAAAGCCTGGAGATAACACAGATCACAGGCATCTAGTTATCCCTGGATCTTAAGAACATTCTAGGAGCAAGACAGGAAGGATGCCGGCCTGTGCCATCAACAGCCCCTCCACACTCTGACGTCCAGGAGGTCACCTTTACTCTTTGGGGCCATGTGAGTCCAGTCCAACCTCCAGCTGTGCCAGGGACAGAAGAGGAGGAGAGGAATTTGGTCTCAGTTTAGAAGCCTATTGTTTAAGTAGATGAAAATTTTTTTTACGAAGCATTAAGCAACAAGCAAAGTACTGAAGAAATATAAGATCTGTGTGGAGAAGACAGAAACTGTCTTCTAAGGTTGGTGCTGTTTCTGTCTCAGACACAAGAACCAAAAGGGCAGATAGAAAAACAAGCAGGGCTGGGGACGGTGGCTCACGCCTGTAATCCCAGCACTTTGGGAGGCCAAGGTGGGAGGGTCTCTTGAACCCAGGAGTTTGAGATCAGCCTGGGCAACATGGCAAAACCCTGTCTCTACCCAAAACAAAACAAAAACAAACAAACAAAACCCACAAACAAGAATTAGCTGGGCATGGTGACATATGCCTGTAGTCCCAACTACTCAGGAGGCTAAGGTGGGAGGATCACTTGAGCCCAGGAGGCAGAGGTTGCAATGAGCCGGGCACTCCAGCCAGGGTGACAGAGCCAGACCCTGTCTCAAAAAGGAAAAAAAAAAAACAAGCAGGAAAGTGGTTTTTGCTAGTTTTCAGAATGCCTGATTTTGAAGTGTTCCACTGACCTCCACTTCTTTTAGTGAGAGTTCTTGCTTTCTACCAGATGGCATATTCCTCCAATTTCAGCTGAGCCCGTGTTTTAGCCTGTAAGCCTATAGTCTCTATTTGCTGGCCTCACAGAGGAGAAATCATTCATTAAGTTTTGATCATGTGCAGTGTACAAATTCTCTCTTAGACTCAGGTTCCCTAATCTGAAGTTCCTGTCTGTGTCTGAGCTGGGGAATTAGAAAATGACGCTGAGACTGTTGTTCTTCACTGGGGAGTTGGATCTGCTCTGTCTCTTCAGCGGGGCCAGGAATCCTTCTGAATCAATGCCAGACTTCTTTCATCCTCCCTCCCCCTAGGCTCCCAGACCCCATCTTCACCCCCACCCCCACCCCCAAGGCTGAAGCACAGACCAAACCATGCAGGACTGTGAATTGAAAAGCATCTTCTGGCTGGTGACATCTGTTTCCAAATATCCAGCAAGTCTACTTAGGTTTAATCAGAAGGGTCACAGTTGGTGTTTCCTCCTTGGGCCAGGAGATTTTTCTCCTATGGGACTTGGGCCTGATGCCTTCCAGTCAATTAGAGCTCCTCTCCCTCTTTGATTCGTTGATACTTTCAGTGGCTGCCTCTCAGCCAGTGACTGGTTGGGTTAGTGATTCCTCTACTTATAGCACAGACTACATCTAGCTGCCCACTTCCTGGATACCCCACATTCACCATAGTCGACATATTCCAAAATCAGCTCTATAACTTTCCTCTATAGTGGCTTATTCTCCGCTCTAAATCTCTCCTGGTTAATGATGCCATTATCAGCCCTCTTCTCCTTGCAAATTGCCAATGCTATCACTAGGCCATTTTTATTTCTTACCTGAGTTTATGCAGTAGCCTCCTAGCTGCTCTCCCATCTCATCACACACTTCCTCACTCCTTTCTCCACACCGTTGATGAAACAGCTTTTTCTTAAAACACAAATCTCACATAACATTTCCTGATTAAAGCCTTTCTGATGCTCCCTTGTTAAGTTTTTTCCTGTCTTAAGGGGTCTGGGCTCTATCTAACATTGCACTCATATGTCTCCTCTCCTCCCCGCATTCCACACACCAGCCTAGTTGAACTACAGGACCCGCGAGATGCCATGCTGCCATTTATATTTTTGTGCCTTTGCATATGCTGTTTTCTCTGCTCCTCCCCACCGGCATCCTCCAAGTTGGCCTGGAAAACTCCTACTCACTTTCCTACTCCTCAGAGAGTTTTTTCTTTTCTCACCCTCCCAGGCTGAATTTGTCACGCTCTCTTTTGTTGCATTCCCGGCCTCTGGTTACAGCATTTATCATGCAGTACACTGAAGAGTTGTTTCCTGGTGTATCTCCCATTTAGGCCATGGGCTCCCAAGGGCAGAAATTGTGTTGGGTGAGAAGGTGCCCAGAGATAAGACTACGGCAGTGTTTCTCAAACTTTGTGGCCCCAGGATCCCTTTACACTCTTAAAAACTGTTGAGAACCTCAAAGGGCATTTAGTTTATTATTTGGGTAAATATCTGTTGATATTTCCCACTGAAATGTAAACTGGGAAATTTAAAAATCATTTATTCCTTCAAAATGAACAATAATGAACTTATTAAGTATTATTATAAAATACATTTTATATAAATAACTGTGCAGAATAAAAAATTGTAAGACCAGTGGCATTGTCTTAGATTTTTAGAAATTTCTTTGTGTCTGGCTTATGAAGGGAAGACAACAAGATCCTCCTATTTGCTCCTTTAGTCAGTCTGATTCATTGTGTTGTTTAATGTCTGTGAAGACAATACAATCTAATTGCAGATATTTTTCTGGATCAAAACTTGACAAGTGGTAGTTTCTTACTAGTTATTGTAATGTGAAACCTAAAACCTTAGGGAACTTTTCTTACAGCTACCTTAAAACCGCTCATCTCTCTTGCACCTCCAATAGCCCTTTTGCCCATGAATGTTTTACTTATACCATGCATTGGTCACTTGGAAAATGTGAGACCACTGAGTTATGCAAATCCTCCAACAGATGGTACACTCTGTCATACAATAAAAAAAGATAACAGAAATCTTAATTATGCAACCATCAAAGTCATGATGGTAGACAGAAGTTTTCCAAAGTTCTGATTTTCACTTGAAAGCTCAAATTTTATCATTGGCAACAAATACTGTCAGTGGTTTTCCTCAAAGGGATAGGCTCATTTTGCTCATTTTCAAGAAAATGGCTTTTTAAATGCCTAAGTCTGAATAACAGGTTTTTGTCAGTTGTCCTTTTTTGGGAAAAGTGGTGTTCTGTGAAGCAGGTGGCTAGTTCAGCTCACAACTCAATTGCACAGGTGCTTTTCCTTGAGACAAACATCATACTTCAGTAGGTCATGGAAACATGTACTTGCCTTCTCATAACAGACTATTTAAAAGATACTTACTCAGGATCAGGATTTACCAAATTAATACTTACTGCCTCATCCAGGGCATGCCTAAGTGATGCTGGCATTGATTTTCCTTCAAGTGCTCAGAGGGGCAAATGCAGTGACCACTAGTATCGTTTGGTGACACTGGCTGCCTTGATCTGTGCCAAGTTGCCAGCTGTTTTGCCCCCTCCCCTATGGCGTTTGCACCACCAACAAAGTGTTAACCCCATAAAGAAGGAAAGAAATGTCTTAGCAGCATTTTTAAAATTTATTTTTATTTTTGTAATGTAGAGTCTTGCTCTGTTACCCAGGCTGCAGTGCAGTGGCACTGTTATGGCTCACTGCATCCTCCAGCTCCTGGGCTCAAGGGCTCCTCCCCTCACCTCAGCCTCACAAGTAGCTGGGGACCATGCCCAGGTTATTTATTATTTTTATTTTTATTTTTGTAGAGACAGGGTCTTTCTATGTTGCCCAGGCTTGTCTTGAGCTCTTGGCCTCAGGCAACCCTCCCACCTCAGCCTCCCAAAGCACTGAGATTACAGGCATGAACCATGGCTCCCAGCCAAGAAATGTCTTAGTATTTTTATCAAATACTTTTGACCTCGTAAAACCTCTGGAAGGATCTTGTAGACCCCTAGGAGTCCATAGACCACACTTTGGGAGCCATGGGACTGACTGGAGTGAAGCAGAGGCCCCTCATACCAGGTTGCAGAGTCCATGCTGTGTTGGGAAGGGTGTGGGGGGAGAAGTGCTGTGGTCAGATTTGTTTCTTGGAATGACCATGGTGGCAAGAGAGTGGAGCAGTGGAGCATCTTCTGGGGAGTTGGAAAATTGGAACTGAACATCATTGCTGGAAAAAAAAAAAGCGATTTTAAGTTGCCATATGAATATAGGATGATTATGTAAGCCCCAAATTCTTCAACCCTTTGGAGTGATGTTTTCATTCCAAATCACATTCAAGTGTGTGAAACTAGGTTGAAGTATTTTCTGGTATTATTTCAGAATAGTATTATTTCTATTCTGTGAATGAATTTGGGTGTGTGTGCACATGTGTCGGTGTACGTAAAGCTTGTATGTGCATGTACCGTTGGCTGGTGGGTATCCTGGGCAATTCTTTTCTGGCCCAGGTTGTCTTTGTGTTTTGTCATCAGAAGTGCATTCCTTAGACTCTGCATGTTATCCTGGATCATAAGTAAAAAACGTTTGTTTACCCTAAAGACCTCCCACTCAGTGGAAGCGTGGGAGACACATTCCTGAGTTAAAAAGGTCTAGATCAATATAATATTCAGAAGTAATTGCAAGTGATTCTAACCAACCCAGCAGTGCTTACTTAGGACTGTGTTCAAGAGCCTCCTTGCCTCTTTGTTGATCTCTTTAAATACCAAACAAAAGACAATGAATCTTCCAACTCAGGCGATTCCATTGTGATTGATCTGAGCCAATTTTTTGAGGTAATTGATGATATTGCCTTAGTTGAGTCTGTTAGTGCAAATAATTATTAATCAATATGCTCTCAGCTCTTAGTTCAGAAGATAATTCTAACACATGATTTATGCTGAACATTTCAATTGAGCTACCTTTACAAGAGGAAAATCAATTGGCGAGTGTTCTAAAGCACTTTAATTATCTGCAGCTCCACGTTCCTCCGCAGCCATATTTACCCAGACAGCTAGTTGTCCCATCCTAGAAAGGGTCACAGGAAGTTTTTCATCGCCACGGTAGAGAGATAGTATATCGTTCATCTTAGATTGACTATGTTGGTTTAAAGTAATTTAGTGGAATACCTTAAAATCAAAGCATTGCTGCTTTCCTTTGGAGAGCATAATTAACATTGCCCAGGAAAAAGAAGGAACGTGTTACTGATCTCCATTCAGTTGGAAAACAGTTTGCCAATGTGGATAGTGAATGTCATGTAAGTCAATTTAGCCGTAAAACGTGAGGAGATCTGAATCACAGAAAGGAGGTTAAGGTGTAAAACATTTTAGGGGCTAAATTTACATCACTCCCCTAAACTGTTGTTTAGATTCTTTGTGACTTCCTTGTGCTAAGGCTTTCTAGCATGGAATTTGTTGTTTTTCCCTTTTAGACAATGTCTTGATGAATATTGTGGTTTGATTTTTCCCCCCTGTGAGAGGAGATGCAGAAGAAATTAATCACCACTAGGAATGGGCCTGCCTTTGTTCAAAGTGGAGCTTCCAAGCATCTGTTTTTGTTGTACTTGTGGTGGGTACAGGAATGTGTGGGCTCTGGCCTGGGACTTTTGGACATGTTTATAACAGATGGAAATTTTAAATGACAGTTCCCTGCATTGTCATGGTGGAGCCACTTCAATAGCACTGAGATGCTCTGTTATACTTCTTGCCCAGTACTCTGTCTCTTGCTGCTATTAAAGCATCTCTAAATGGTAAAACGTGAAGGCATTTGGCAGCTTTCAAGGGCAGTTCTTTAACGTCTCCACTCTCTACCCCCATGTACCCCTGGGACCCCCAAAACTTGGACCCAAGACTTCACGTAGCAATAAACTGAAACACCACTCATTGTTCACAGCTGGGCCAGTGCTGGGGCTCCAGAAGGTAATGCTCTTAAGCACTGAATTGTGAGTTCATACTATCAATTAAACAGCAGGAGAGAGGAAAGGGAGGTTTTGACTTGGGATTTTTGAGGAGCGAATTCAGTAGGCATTTTTGGAATGCCTGGCTTGGAGCTAGCTCTACAGGGAAGACCAAGAAAAATGAAGCCCTGCTTTTGCCTTTAGGAAGTCACAGTCCTGTTGGGAAGGGTTGGAGTGGAGAGGGGAGACCTCAGCCATTAAGAATACAGGAGAGAGGGGCTGACACCAGAAGGTCTGTGGGCAGAGACAGACGGCTGAGTCCTTGGCACCCAGGGAAGAGGAAGGAGAGGCTGACGGGTCACAGGATGGCATCTTACATGGCCTTTTGAGGTTGCCACTGCTTATGTCCTCCTCCTGTTCCCCAACTGCTCCCCTCATTCTTCCCTGGGAATGGTAGCTTACTCTGGGCTCATCAGAGGGAAAACAAGAAACTGTGATACATAAATTCTGCAACTGGTTGTGGTCCTGGTGATGACTTCTTCCAGAATGGCTCTCTCAGTCCAACAGTGAGGTGAGATTGAGGGTCGGAACCATTAGGGTACAATGGTCCAAATTCCAGCCTGCACCTGAAAATCCCAGTGTTTGGGAATCTGATTGGGGAGCATCCTGGAGGCAGGCTGGGTTTCTTTTTTTTTTTTTTTTTTTAAGAGGGTCTCATTCTGTCACCCAGGCTGGAGTGCAGTGGTGCAATCATAGCCCGCTACAGCCTTGAACTCCTGGGCTCAAGCCATCTCTCCACCTCTGCCTTCCAGAGTGCTGGGATTACAGGCGTGAGCTACCCCGTCCGGCTTTAGGGCTGGGTTTTGAGGAAGTTGTGTCCTCGTGGCCTGAGCTTTCCTTTTCTTCCTGCATCTCCTCCCCTATGTGATGCCTCCCCCCTGCTCGTTGTTTGGGTTGCAGGGTGAGAGAGAGAACCTTCTCCAAGTCCTGACTGCTCCCTGGGCCCAAGTTCAGGCTGAGCTCCTTCACTGGCCCTGCAATTTTACACATGCCGCTCAACTCCTTGGAAACAAAGGTTTCCTCTCTGTAAGATGAAGGTGATACGTAACCCCTGGGGTTGTGAGAATTAAAGGAGGCACATTTTAAAGCACTTTTTAAACTGTAAAACTCTGCAATATAATGTGTAATATGGATATTCCTATGCAAATATAATATAATATAATATAATATAATATAATATAATATAATATAGAAGATGTTACTGTGTTCAGTTTTATTATTTTACCTGGCTGCCTACTCAGGGTCCTGTGATGTTCTCTGTAACTGCTCTAGTTCAGAAATGAAGCCTCGAGTAGGAGGTGTGGGCACTGCCTGCCCTGGCTTCTTTCTACCAAAGTGACTTAGATGTCTTGGAGCTAAAACATGAGAGGCAAAAAATATCTTAAAGATAAATGCCGTGTCTGTGTTGCATATAAAATTCAATAAATATCCAGTAACTGTTGAGATATGAGCCCATGAACAGAAAAAAGAAAAAAAATCCAGTAAATGAAGGAATTACTTTAAAAGATTTCAGTCTTTTCCTTTTGTCTTTTTCTGTTTTTAATATACATGAAGACTAATTTAAAGACCCTTTTCTCTTTTTAAGTATGTTTGGAGATCTGTATGACAAATTGGCTCCTAACATTGTATAATACTAATGACAGGATATGAAAGACAGCATTCTTTAGGACAAAGGAATGCAGTTTTCAAAGACCAATAAAAGTTGGCAAAGAAATTTGCAGATCAGGACCCAGGACAATGCTTACATAACCTCTCAACTGTTTTTCCAGGTTTGAAGTGCAAATAACAGAGATAAAGACAGAAACTACACATGTAAACTTGATATATTAATAGCTCATCCAATCTACATAACAAAATAAACCAGGGGTCTAGGCCCTAAAAGTGATAGCCGTGGTGTTAGATTTCTGGGCCTCCTTTATTCCAGGGGATGGGGCTCTGACAGGTGAAACACAGCATTTGTTTAAACAGAATAGAGAAAGTCTGCAAAACATTCAAGGGCAGGAAGTAGCAATAAATACTCCTCTGTGCAACTGAAGCAGCACAGAGCTTGGGGTGAGCAGAATGTCATCACTCAAAGTAGAATTTGGCCAGGGCCTCCCAGGGTCCCACCAAGGGATGCAGTGAACTTTCTAAAAGTCAAGACCTCTGTCTTATCTCCTCCAAAAGATGAGAAAGTGAGATGTGAAGCTCCTTTCTGGAGATGGGATATGTTTTTCATGGTAGGTTCTGATCTCTTTTGCAGGCTTTGAGCATAAGAACCAAGGGCACAAAAATAGCTCCTTGAGGGAAAAAAAAAAAAAAAAACCGAAAGGCCTGGAACACAGGATGATGTGCAGGCGTTGGTGAGCTGGGGTTGTAAATCGACAATCCCTTGAACAGAGGAAGACCTAGTTAAAGAGACTTTGGTTTTCTTATAAGGCATGAATAAACGCTCTGGGCAGTCTGCCCCATTGGAAAACAGAATAATGCTAATAATTTGCATTTATATAATACCCCCCGGCTTGTGGATCTACAAGCACTTTGCAAACATTAATTAATTCTCTAAACCCCCTATGAGCCAGGGGGTGCCATCAGTAACTAATCACGAAGGAGGGCAAGTGATTCTTGACAGAGTGGATATGCAAGTTAGAGAACACTGCGAGCTTGGGAGCTGAAGAGGTTGAGTGGAATTTTTATGAGAAAGAACAACCAAGGTAGAATGTTGATCAGACTGTGTGGGAAACAAACCTGGATATTATGACCATAGGTGAAGGCTATCAACTAACAATTCAGTTCCTCTCCTGTTGTTCGCCTCTTCATTTTCAAAGCTCTGCTTATACTTGGTCGGAAACCTCAGTGTGAAGGTCTGGATTCAGTTCACTATTCCCAGTATAAAAGGATGTGCAGACTGAGCACAGTGGCTCACACCTGTAATCCTAGCACTTCAGGAGGCAGAGGCAGATGGGTTGCTTGAGCCTAGGAGTTAGAGACCAGCCTGGGCAACACAGCAGAAACCCTGTCTCTACAAAAAATACAAAAATTAGCCAGCCATGATGGCGCACACCTATAGTCTCAGCTACCCAGGAGGCTGAAGTTGGAGTGATATGGCTCCGATGACTGGAGGAACCCCAGGGTTCTTGGTTTCATGCCGATAGGATTAACGACACGTACATACGTGGAGTGGTTTTAAGGAGGGCAAAGTTTAATAGGCAAGCAAGAAAGAAGAGAACAGCTCCCCCATACAGAGAAAAGGGAGGGGGGCTTGGAACAAAGAGAAACCCAGTGTGCGGCAGAAAAGTGGTTGCTTATATTGGGATGCTGGAGGAGACGGTGTGTTATTTACGTAGCCCCGTGAAAACCTGGCCCTCCCACCTTAGACTTTTAATATGCAAATGCAGACGCCATGATGTTTTGAACACATGGTGTTATCCGCAGGTGGCCATGACACTTGGTACACCTGGTGAGAAGAGGGCGGGAATCACCATGTTGGCCGTGTTAGGTAGACCCAGTTTCTACTCGCCTGCATTTGTGTATTAAAGCTTGCCAGCCTGGCTCTTCAAGCTGCCTTTCTGTTAGAAAAGAAACAGTTTGGAGGTTGCTTTTATTAAACGAAAAACCCTTATCAAGAAGTCCTTTTACCCTTTCTATCTGCCTAAAAATTATTTCTTAATAACTCCTGTATTAGGAGGATCACCCGAGCCCAGGGAGGTGGAGGCTGTGGTGAGCTGTGATCACCCCGCTGCACTCCAGTCTGGGCGACAGAGCAAGACCCTGTCTCAAAAAGATATGCAGCAGCTGGATCATACTAGAAATCAGTATTTCTGTTGCTGTGTTAATAGTCAGTTCAGAGATTCATTCATGCGTTGACTTATTCACTCAGTCACTGCTTTATTTGACAGATAGGAGTTTTTGAGTTCTTGCTCCCCGTTAGACTTGGGGGTTATCCCCCAAAGGCTTATATATGAGAAAAGCAATTCCCTGCTCTTGGTCTAGTGGCTCAGTGATACTTTCTTTCTTCTCTATCATGTATTTTTTGTTTCCCCAGTCTGCTTATCTGACATAGATGTTAGGATAATTGAAATGTTTTTGCAATGTTGATGTAATTTATGAGTAAACATTGCTGTATATATTTGAATTTCTGATGAGAAAGACACTATGCACAGAGGAGAGTAATGACCTGGCGTAAGAGAACCCATTTACACCAATAGTTACGTCTCACTAAATCGGGCCTGTTAGATTAAAGGACTGTTGGTATTCATGACTTTTTTTTTTTTTTTTTTTAAGAAATGTAGTTTGAAGCTAAACCAACAAAGTGCCACTTATTGGTGGTACTGAGGGAGTTTGCATTTACTGAATAGATAAGATTTGTTCGTGATCTTTTGGCTGATATCACAATGGAACAGATAGGTTACTTTTCAGGTCCTCAAAAGTTGGATATACCAGGTGTTTTCCGAAATTGATTCTCATTCTTGTAGATGTCCCAAAAATTCAAGTAATTTGCACAATAAACCTGTATAAATTAGTAGAAAAGCCAATTTCACTTTAGCTCTAAGTGGTAGGAATCAATGGTATATGAATTCTTGAGATGTTTTTATGTACACACACATACATCTCTACTAAAGTGTAAGTCAGATGAAGTGGATCTTTTTTTGTTAAATCATTTTTATGTTACTTTCGAGTTAACTAGTATATGTAGAGAAATCTATGTGTAAAGAAGTATCAATATTTCTCTTCAAGTATTTTGAACTCTAGGACAGATGATGCTAATGAGGCCCGTCCTTGCTGGAGCTGCCTGTCAGAACAGCAAGGTAGGCATGGCCTGGGGCAGGGGAGCTCTGTCTGGTCTGTGGACCATCAATCCAGCGCTCGGACTCCTCCTCCCAGCAAGACAAGCACTTTCTTTCAGGCTGCTGCCAGCTGGTTTTGCTGTGCGGTAGTGTTAAGCTTTCCAGATTGAAAACATCTGGCTTTTCATCAGCGGTATAGACTCAGAAAGAGAGCAGTGTTAGCCGAAGTAAATTCAACAAATTCTTATCTGACACGTTCGGTTTATCCTAATGTGATAAACTGGGGCAGTCTCTGAGGATGAGTCCTGTTTCCAACTGTGCACCTTTTCCCTCTATCCTTACCCTGTCCTTGGAAGAATCTTGATGTTAAAATTTGGGACTGTGTCTTTGTTGGAGGCATCAGATGCACTGTCGGTAGCGATTTCTGAAAGTCCAGAGAGTCATTTGCATAGAGGTCAAACACAATATTTCCTGCAGGAACTTCCTGAATGATGAAGTTTCAGAGCAATCCCATGTAACCAGATGTCAGCAGGTTCCAAAAAGATGACTGGCTACCTGTTGCTGTTACAAGCAGGAGACCTCTAGTGTTAACTAATTTCAGAGGAAATTTGTAAATATTAAGAATAGAAAACTGTGTATGTATCTACTCAACACATATTGAGAAAATGACAGATTGTGGTGATGTGACACTTTGGGTTGTATCTGCCTTTTGAAAGCATCCTTTATGTTTTCTCACTCATTTCTTCTACAGCACTTTATATGGCTTGGTAGGGAAATTCTGAGACTAAAAATTAATATCATCATCCCTCTGAGTTTTTGCATATGAATGCTTTTCAACTTGCAAACTGGTCGTTATACAGATACGTATTTTTGAACAGTGATTTACAAACCCAACTTTTGTTAACTGGATCATAGCTTCCCACTGAGTTAAGGCTTCAGAGCTGGCTGATCAGTGTTTATGGTTGGTCTGGTGTTGTCATTGGTCTTTGCACTTTAGTTTGAAGTACCTCAAGAAGTTAATGACCTGTTAAAAGAAAATCCACTACAGAATATTCTCCTTAAAAGATACAGGTGTAAGCCAGGAATATTTATATTGTGGTAGCAGTAATGTTGCACAGGTATAGTGTGTCAGTTGTACATCAGCACAACAGTCTATCAAGATGGTAGTAATTAGCCCCATGTTACATTAAGGCTCAGAGAGGTAAAGTAGCTCACCTCAGGACACACAGCTAGTCATAAGTACCTGTGTTTGTTGCTCCCCTGGTGACCAAAAATATTGGGCTTTGCTCCTGTTCCACAAGCGCATTGGGTGTTGCTCCAGGGCCTTTGCACTTGCTGTGTCTTCTGTTTGCAGTTCTGTTTTCTCATGTTAAAGAAGTCCTTTTTGTCATTTAGAACTCAACTCCCCTCTCTTTAGAGAGCTCAAGCAGGCCAGCACTTAGACTCCTCCTCCCAGCAAGACACGAGGGCAGTTGTTTCCTTAGATTCCCATTGATTTAGATTTTCCACAAATTTGCACAAAACTTTATAAATTAGTAGAAAAGCCAATTTCAGTAGTCTAGCTTTTTCCAAGTTGTAGGAATTAATGGTATGTGAATTTTTGAGGTTTTTATGTTCACACATGTATGTTTCTACTACAGTATGAGTCAAATGAAATGGTTTAATAATTTTTTCATGTGTTAAATCATTTTTATGTTCTTCTCAAGTTATGACCATGCTGTCACAGCAAAATGGTGTCTCAAACCCACTCAAGAGAGACTCCTTCCTGCAGTTACCTAGAACCAGCCTGTCTCATCTCTCCGCCTCCATTATTGCTATCCTGTATTAATAAGGAGTTTTATAAACAGTGTAATTTGGATTGTTTGCAACTCAATGGAAAAATGCTTGAAGGGGTCCAGGCGCATTGGCTCATGCCTGTAATCCCAACACTTTGGGTGGCTGAGGCAGGCGGATCATGAGGTGAGGAGACCGAGACCATCCTGGCCAACATGGTGAAACCCCGTCTCTACTAAAAACACAAAATTAGCCAGGCGTGGTGGCGGGTGCCTGTAATCCCAGCTACTCAGGAGGCTGAGGCAGGAGAATCGCTTGAACCCGGGACGGGGAGGTTGCAGTGAGCTGAGATCGTGCCACTGCACTCCAGCCTGGGCGACAGAGCGAGACTCCGTCTCAAAAAAAAAACAAAAATGCTTGAAGGGATGGATACCCCACTCTTCATGAAGTGCTTATGTCACATTGCATGCCTGTATCAAAACATCTCATGTACCCCATAAATATATACCCCTACTATGCTCCCACAAAAATTAAAAATTAAAAAAAAAATAAGGCATTTTAACCACAGTCCCTCCTAAAGCACACCTGCTACCTGCACATGTGCCCTTTCTCCTCTTTTGCTTTTTCCTAAAGGACATGGTTGAGAAAACTGCTCTATTAAAATATAATATGGTTCAGTTTGGTGTATATTGTGATTATTTTATTTGCTTTTTTACCTTGGACTCAGTCTTCTCCTTTCATAAACCTGAATATGCATGTTGTGTAGCTTCGCTGGATTCAAATTAGATAATTTCATTTCAAACAGATACAGCCAAGCATATGGTATTTGGTATGAGTTGTGCAAAGAAAGTCAAGTTAGGTTATGAACAAGTGAGTTCTGAGTTTCTTTTTAGCGAAGGGACATTTATTTATCTTGGATTGTTACAGCGATTTTCTGGACTATTTTTCTGTAATTACCTTGATTAATATTTAAGTGGTATGTTTACATTTTGAGTTGATTTATATGAAGCTGTGCTTTTCCTCCACTGAAACACTCAGGTATCTCATATTACCATGATGATAGAAACCATTCTCTGCTCCTTGCTTTCCCAATAGAAGAATGGCAGTTTATCCACGGGTATTTGGAGAAGGAGCAGCATTCACACAGCAGAAATGTTCCACTGGAGGGCTATCCTTCCAGAGCCCCTTGCTAGTTATAGATACCTCCACTTAGGGCCTCTGTGACCTGCAATAAATTTAAAAATACAGTCTCTAAATTTTATATGTGTGTGTGTGTGTGTGTGTGTGTGTGTGTGCGCGCACGCACATGCGTGCTATAAATGAATTCCCTATATGCTATTTCTGTGTTAGAAGGACAGGGAGAAATATTGACGTCTTTTCTTCCTATTTTGGTATTTTCCCTTGCTTTCTTCTCTGCCTTCCTCAGTTCCCCTGGGAGGTGAGGCATTTGGGGCAGGGTCAGTGTGTTTGCCTGGTGGTCTGGGTGAACTTGCAGAGGCCGTCAGCCATGACTCAGCATCAAGTCCTGACACTAATTCTTGTTTCCTGTCACATCCTAACCAAGTCATTTATCTTCTTGGAACCTCAATTCCATCACTGGTAAGGCAGTTATGATAATACTCTGGGTCCTTGTTAAAGTTATGAAAGCATTCTATTAGGTGACCACTAAGCAAATTATGGGAAGTTAAAATTATTGTATCCATTATCACCAAATTGTTTTTTCTTTCTACCACAGAGCTTTCTTTCTTTCTTGGAGCTGGCAAATGTCTACTCCTTTGTAGGTCCCAAACCCTGTGCCTAAAGGTTTAGCATCTCTGTGATGAGTTTAATGGAGGCAGGACCAGTCTGTTCTCCGTTGTGATTGCAGATTTTGAGGAGCTATTTTGAGGAGGATCCAGGAGGTTTACTTTCTTATCCCTGTTTTTCCTTGGGATCAATTCTTACGCTAAAGGTCAATGTTTGTGAAACATGCTGTCCCTCCTGCATTTCTTTTTTGCCCAGGGACATTTAAAGTCATTATCTTGCCTTGAAAAGATTAAAAAATGTTGGCACCTCCGTCTTTGTGGTGCAAAGTGATCTTGGGCTGTTGACCAAGCTGACTTGATCCCTGGAATGTCTTGATCTAAATTCATCTTTTCTTTTGTTGCTGAAAGTTTAGGGTTTCCGCTTGCTGAAATTGGATTTATGAATAAAAGAAGCCAACTTTGCTGTAGGTAATTATGTCAGAGGCAAGTTCATCGGTGTCAGTGTTCATTTTATTAGAGAAGGCTTAGCTTATTCACAATGCATCTTTTATCCCCTTGTCTCTAATAAATGCATGATTTTCAGAGATTTGCAGCCAAAAGTGTGTTATTCCAATTAGGTTACTTATGTCAAACATAAACCTTTCCTGTATATATGTTATTTTTTTACAGCTAAGTTCAGTAGAAAATCCTTATGCAGACATTGATATGTATATTTTAGGTTATGTTTTCCTGCAATAGTATGTCTCTGGACCAGTGATAGTAATTTGTGTCAATAACTTTATAAAGCGAGAAGCAGTTGAAGAAATTAGAACGGCTGAGGGCCAGAAGTCCTCAGCAGGGAAAAGAAACACACGTGCAGCAGATTAAGGGGAAAGGGCCAAGGAAAGCGAGGACCCCCACTTTCTGGTGTCTCTCTGGTAACTGGAAGGGCGGATATGAGCGGTTCGCAGGCACCAGTCTTTAAAGCGCCTGTGATGTTCTCCTGACTGGCGTGGGCTTCCTGCCCTTTCAAGAGAACTCCTTGATCATGCATTCTACTAAAACGAGGCAGCCCTGGGAGGCGAGTCTTGCGTTCTAATTGCCCAGTGGGTTGAGGTTTGGGGACAATAAGTGGATATCAAGGAAAGGTCAGACTTGAAAGCTAGCAACCCAGTGAGCAGACCAAATCGGAGAGAACGAAGAATGACTTTTTTTCTTCTTCTTAATTACTTTGTCTAAGGTAGAGGGTTTCCTTCTTAAACATTTTGAAATCTGGCTGATGAATACTTGTCAAACTGATTTGGGGGGTATTTGTCTAATCTTTTATCTTATTCCATCAGATCATGAATGAAAATGAAAGCTCTGAAAGAGTTTTGCTCCCAATGGAAAAAAATAATAGCACAGGAGCTGCATAGGGAGATGAGGAGGGGCTGGAAAAGTCATGGGGTCAAAGCGGTGCACAGCACATGGGTTATTTTTTGCTACTACCTTCCACATCTGCTGGGCTATGGTGAAATTTGAAATATTTTATATTTTTTAAATATTATATATCCTTTTGCTCTTTCTTGCCTTCAGCGTACCTGTATATGTTAGCCTTAAATTGTAAGACCAAGACATTTATAATAAAAGCAAAATAATAGTATAGGTTCCTTCAATGAGAGGGTAAATCATCCCATCCAAACCAACACACACAAACACAGACCCCACACCGACACACAAACACACATGTACACCACACCACACACACCCCGACACACACACATACCCTGACACACACACACACACACACACAACCTGCTTCTCCTAAGGAAGGACTTTAAAGAGAAAAACACTCTTGATTGTGCACAATTACAAATCACTTTCCATTGACAATTTTGTAACCAAGGAAAGCCCTGGGAGTTCAGTGGCTTTGTCATTTAGAGTTTTACCATTGGCTGACTTTGATCTCCACAGCACAGCCTTGCTTACTCCTTTGCAAGCTATATTTTTTGTTTGTTTTTAAGTGTAGTCATTTTCTGATCTGATTGCACCAGCCTTTCCAAAACCTAAGTCTCTTAACCCAGAAGTCCAGGCCTCTTTCTAATGGTGCTGGAGGAATGATTGGCAAGCCTGAGATCCGGGAGTGGAGATTATAGGGAACGGTACAGGTGGCAGGAGCTGCCCCAGAGACAAAGTCAACACCACTGGGGCCATTATTTTCGTTGGAAATGCGTAAGAAAACCATTCCTCAAAGTGGAAACAATAAACACATTATCTACTTCCACCATCAGCTAATTGAGGCTGTCTCTCAATAAACAAGTGGATTTTCTGCTAACAAGCACATCTGTCTACAACTTTAATCTCCTGTGCTTTTCTGCCCTGTCCCCGTTTTATTTATACTCATTCCAATTTTTCTTAATAATGTTACATATTAGACTTAAAGTCTCTCCTTTTGCATCCTCTTGGCTTAGAAGTCAGTGACTGCCATTTTATTGTAGGACAATTTTTAAAATTGAAATTAAAATTAAATTTGTTTAACTCTTCATTTTCTTGGCTCTAATACGTCAAAGAAGGGAGCCCAAACGCATAGAAAACCTAGTAATTTTAGTGGCATGATAATAGCCTCCTTTTTTTATACTGACACCTTATGGTAAAAATCATGTCAAATTAGAATGATCACTTTTAGTTCAAAAATATGAAATAAAGTTTTAGAGAAACATATTTGCTAAACTAATTACCTACTAATTTATCTATTTGTGAATTGTTCTCAGTGTGTGAAGAATGCTGAGTGACTGAAGTCACCATTTGAAAATTGTCTCAATTCAGTAAGAAGGGAAGAGATTGTTATGAGTATGATGCAGGTAGCTTAGGAACGTAAACACCTGTTCTGTTTAGCAATATAAGGGGGTTTGAATAAACTGACATATGGGGATTTAACACTTAAATTGTTCATATAATTTTACTTTAAAATTCTCAGTCATCCCATAAAACTGATTGTTTTAAACTCCCTTTCCTATATCCTATAATATTCACTTTGTATTTCCTTCTAATACAAGGGAAAGTACTTGCTTTATTAGCCTCTTTAAAATCCAGAACATTCATTTATTATAAATTGTCTGATACTTGAATGTCTAAATAAAATATCCCATTGCTTGCCTAAGGAATATTTTTCCCCAGGTGAAAATATATTTTACTTTATGTGACTGTGATGATAAAATTGCTTAGTATACTTTTTGAGTCAAAAATTCATGTAGACAATTTAAATGTGCAAGTTTATGATCCAGTCTCTGGGGCCCCTGCATTGGCATATGGAAGCATATTTAAGTTTATTTTTAATTTCCTTTATGGCTGGCATGGTTTCTTTGGGTTCTGACACAGGCATAAGCACACACATGTACACACACACTAGCAGAAAGCATAAACAGGGCTTTCCCAAGTTATCCAGGCAATTTTCTGAATGAGTTGCAAAACTGAAATTAATATCTATCTTTAGAGTCTTCAAGGACAAAAGCACATCATCTGCCAGCCCTGCTCGATGCTTAGCTCTCCATGAAGTTAATGTGGGTTTTGTGTATATAAAGGCAAATGATTCTTTTTTACCATGTGCAGTTAAATCCCATAATGGTACATGCTCCGATTTAATTAGTTCTCATCATATAATGGGATGCAGCCAGATTGATACAATTAATAATGATGTTAGTAAAAACTTCCCCATTCTAGATACGAGGAACTCCAGGTGTCAAAATAAGCATGTATTAATTTTAAAATACAATGAATTGGCCTTAAGAAGAAAAAAAATACAATGAATCTTAAATTAATTTTGAAACGAATTGTATTATAAATAAAATAACAGATACTGTTTTTCCTGTGATAACTAAAAAGATGGTTTCCCATTATCAGTGTCATTATTTTTTTCCAGTAAAATCATATATACAACCATAATATAGAAGAACAATCAAAACAATGTTAGTTTACTAGTATACATTTATTTTAAGGTCAAAGTCACCACATTTATTTATTCTTAATATCAGCCTTTGAGAATATTGAGGCACCTCTGTAGACTCATAGAATTCTGAGAAATATTGTTTGAAAAATTATCATCTTCTGGATAGAACCCAAGCTCTTTGATGACTTCCTTACTTCATCCACAACCTAAATTTTTGCCTGATACTGTCCCTTTTATGCCAGCCAGACAGGTGGCCTCACTGTGCACTAAGCACCAGGGTTTCAGGACTCCACGCCCCCGACCTTGAATGCTCTTCCCCTCTTTCTTACACATTTTTCCTGACCTTCAATGTGTAACACAAGCATTTCTTTTCTGTAGTGAATACAGTTTCATAATATCTCTTGCATTGGGATCCTTGGCTCTGTAAACTACTTACCTGCTTATGTGTGTACATCTTATCTTCCCATCTAGATTGCAAGTGTCTTCAGTAAAAAGTAAGGGAAAAACACTTGCACTCTTCTCAAGCTCAACCTAACGCAGTAGTCATGCATATAGTTGTTAATTCTCACCGGATGAATTTATGATGGTAGTATCTTTCCGAAAGTCTGTTTTGAGCAGCCCCACTAGAATAGAGCACCTAAGTGTGTTTCTAGTTGGCCACGTGTATGCTGAAGTACATTTTCCTAATGAAGCATCGTTATGCTTGGTGACATCCCTGACACAGAGGTTTAACGGTCCATCCACCAGTCAGCACATGTTGCTTTCATGACCAACCATGTAACATGCTGATATGAGGAAATCATATCAGATCTTGCCTTGGGGGTGCAGCAGTGTCTAGGTAAAGCTCCCTTGGTGATAGGGACCTAGGGCCTTGGGATTTGGCTGTAGCAAAACTCAAAACAGAGATGGGAGATGATAGCTAGAATTCCTGGGGCCACATTCACCAGTTAAACTTCTTCATTTGCCTTGGGCATTTGGCAAATGAAGCCAGGAGCTCTGATGTGGAAAATTAGGGCAGTGACTGGGTGGCTTATTCAGTAGCAGGTGTGTAAGCTGGTTTTCTAGAAGCTGGTGATGACCTGCCCTTAGAGAGGCAGTCAAATCAGTGTCTTCCTCTTAGAAAAGTGAGAATGATGGCTGGGATGTTGGAGGGTTTGATAAACACTTTTCCTAGCTTTGCCATTGTGATATACAGGTGTGGTATATGTAAAAGTTAGTTTCTTCTATACTTCAGTTTACTCAAGAGGAAAATTATAGCATTCTTCATCTTAACAAGATCCCTGTAAAGTTGCATATATGAAAAATGGGCCAGGTGGAGGAAAAAAGTTACAATATTTACATCAAGCCTGTGGATAAGTATTACATGTGTTCTCAGATCATTGGATGTTTTTGTATGCAGCTCCCAAAGTTCATTCCTGTCCTCAAACCTTGATCCCCACTGACAAACAGAACTGCATTTATTACAACCTGAACACCACAAATCCTGGTACCGTGGACATGGGTTTGCTTATTGCATGGCCTTGAAATATTACAAGCTGAGGTTTGCCAGTACTCTGGTTATTCAGGATGTACAGTTTATTTCACAGTCAACCAGGAAGCCATGTTGCAAGACTTCGGGGTTTTTCGGAAGGAGGAAGACACAGCCGATACCCGCACAGAGATTCAGATGTAGTTGTGAAAATAAGGCATCCATATGTGCAAAATTAATGCCTGCAATAGGGCTAGACGATTCCTGACTAATTAGTCATGCGGTAAACAAAGAAGTGCTTGAATTCAAAACAGGCAATATCTCTGATGTCTGAAGTGATTTGGAAGATTTCATAAAAGGATTTCCCGATGGAGTAGGATATAAACTAGTAGCAGAGCAGGTAGTGATGAATATTTACTGTTTCTTATTTGTTTTCTCATTGTTCATATGTAATAATGAATACATTACTCATTACTTCTAATCAGTGAATATTGTTATGTAAATTTCACAGCAATTATCTGTACCTTTTTAGCAGGATATTTTAACTCCCATTTATGTCATTTTGCTTGGGTGGGTTTTTTTTTTGTTTTTTTTTTTGTTGTTTTTTTGTTTTTGTTTTTGTTTGTTTTTTGTCGCCAAATGATGAATCTCAGAAGATTTGTAACAGAGCATAAACTGACTTGTGCAGTGAGTTGTGACATACAGCATGGGGGATCTGAGTCCTTGCTACTCAAAAGGTGGTCCATGCACAGCAGTCTCAGCATCACAGACTCTCACACCCCACCCCAGACCTGCTGAATCAAAATTTGCATTTTTAAAAGGTCCCTAAATAACACACGTGCACATTACATGGAAGAAATCACTCGTCTCAGATATTTGCATTAAGCCTTTAGTGTTCCATTCTCATTCTGTTATGTTGGAGCTTTTTATAAAATTGTGAAGGTGGGTGTTTAATCTCTACAGATGTAATTTTCTCTGAGCATGACACATTATTTAGTAGAATGAAGTTTTATAGTACTATGGATGAGTGATTCTGACCGTAGTTAAAAGTTTAGTGAATACCTAAACTATTTTCCCAGCACTTGGAGTTTTTCAAAACTCAAGTCATGTTTTGGAAAACACTATTTTCCCTTTTATATCTAAGCCCATATGAATTCAATTTTGTGGAAAATTTAAGCCACATGTTTCTGATTCGTTTACACTTAACCCTTGAGAATGTTGTGTTGCAACAGCAATTGCCTGTCCAAAAAAATCTCTTTTTAGTAAATCTTTCACAAGGGTAGAGAGATTGGGAAAAAGAGAAATGGGAAGAAGTCACTGAAAAGACCCAGAGAAGTTGGGGGTTGGGTTGAGGACTCTGAATTTTTTTTTTTTTTTTTTTTTTTTTTTTTTTTTTGAGATGGAGTCTCATCTCTGTCACCCAGGCTGGAATGCCGTGGCTCAGTCTTGACTCACTGAAACCTCCACCTCCTGGGTTCAAGTGATTCTCCTGCCTCAGCCTTCTGAGTAGCTGGGATTATAGGCACACACCACCACACCTGGCTTATTTTTATATTTTTAGTAGAAACGGGATTTCACCATATTGGCTAGGCTGGTCTTGAACTCCTGACCTCAGGTGATCCACCCTGCCTCGGCCTCCCAAAGTGCTGGGATTACAGGTGTGAGCCACCGCACCTGGCCTGAGGACTCTGAATCTTGATACAGGACTGTGCAGATTGTATTTGTGAATAACTTCTTTTCTGACATCTGAGGGAGGACAGGAGGGGTAGGAGGACCATGTAGTCTCATGCGTTGAAACAGTGGACGCACAGATCCTGCAACATTGTCAAAATCCATGTTTTTACTAAACATACATTAATATTTCTTTCTCTTACTTCTACAAGTTAAATTAATATCACTTTGTGGAATTTTTGGTTTTGGGCTCCAGCAGAGATCTCGTCCATATTTAGTATTAGCCAGCGTCTTAGCAATGTTGACAAAAGGTGAGAGGAAAAATTGCTGAACATGATGCTGCAAAAGCCTCTCTCTATGTGTGATGAACTGAAAAAGGCAACCTCGATTATCTTTTTTGAGCGTTTCAGTTTGAGCTGATGCATAACCAGGGAATGTAAAAGATCCGTTAACCTTCTTTTTGCCTTTCAGTAAAGCTTGAGTTTTAGCTTGTCAAATTATACATTCAATGATTGTATGGATACCATCTTTTTTGATGGATGGATAGTGTGTATAAACGTGTGTGTATACATGTGAGACTATATGTCATGAATAAAGAGTGAGTGTTTATGGTGGAGGAAAACAATGATCAAATTAATCATGTTTTCTATTTAGACATCTATCCCTAAATTTAGTGAGTTTGTTTAGATAAGACGACCTGGCTTGATTACAGCTCTGAGTAGCCATTGGTAAATGAAAGAGCATTTGAATTCCGCGTCTAGCACATTATTCCAGGGAGCCAGCAAATACATATTCATATGACAGATGCACTAATCAAGGCTGAAGGTCTTACTTAAATATTTTAAAAAGCAACCTTGGCAGTAGAAGGCAAATAGAACTAGTCTAGATGGTGTTTTTGCCAGTTTCCCTCTTGCTGTAGGCTTTCTCATAATCCTCTTTTGTTGTGACATGGAATGTCTTTAATCATGCCATGCCCTTTATCTAGAAAGATGGCTTTTCTCCCCCTGCATCAGCTGCCTCTTTCCTTCTAGGATCAACCCAGTGTCTGTCTGTGGTCCTTCCCTGGGCCCCTCTGTCTAGGGTCAGTGTCTACAATCTGTGCTTCCCACACACTCTATGCTTACCTCTATCCTGATGTTTGTCACAGTGGTATATAATTAACTGTTTACATGCCAGTCTTCCCCAGGGTAGTCTCTGTCTTGTGCATCTCTGTGTCTACCACCTAACTCAGAGGAGGCACTCAATGAAGTTATTGAATTAATAGATCCATGACTGAAGAAGTTTCCTAAGGGCCAGGCATGGTGGGCCACACCTGTAATACCAATACTTTGAGAGGCTGAGGTGGGAGGATTGCTTGACACCAGAGTTCTAGACCAGCCTGGGCAGCATAGCAAGACCGGTCTCTACAAGAAATTTTAAAATTAGCTGGGCGTGGTGGTGTGCAACTGTAGTTCCAGCTACTTGGGAGGCTGAGGCAGGAGGATCTCTTGAGCCCAGAAGCTGGAGGCTGCAGTAGGCTATGATTGCACCACTGCACTCCAACCTGGACAACAGAGTGAGACCCTGTCTCAAAAAATAGCAACAACAAAAGTATCCTAAATTAGCTCTGAAAAGCTATAAACGTCTAATAATGTCAAACTTGAGTTTGTGGATTGAGTATATGTTAAGGATTCTGCAAGTGAATCTAGTGTTGTCAGCTCATGTCACACAGAAGCTGAGCCTTGCTTCTCTGGTTACAATCTGGGCTCCTCTTTGCTGGGCACCCTGCAGATACATCCTGCAGGGCAGGGGAGGCTGTCTAAAAGAAGCTGGTGGCCCCCTGTGGCCATCATTCTTA
Organism: Homo sapiens; assembly: GCF_000001405.40. Lineage (NCBI taxonomy): Eukaryota > Metazoa > Chordata > Mammalia > Primates > Hominidae > Homo > Homo sapiens. The sequence goes on along the minus strand of NC_000010.11, from coordinate 34,169,838 downwards.
GAGAGAGAACCCCAGGCAGAGGTATCCAGGGAACCTTCATTCAATTGTCGGAACTTAATGCCATAATGCCTTAACTGTGGTTTCCATGAGTCTATACGTGCCATCTTTCACTCCATTCTTTAGGTTGTTGAAACTGTATCCCAGTTTTAAAGACTTTCACAGATGACATCTTCATCGTTTCCTTCTCTAACCTGTTCCATCGTGTGTTTAATAAGTCTTTCTGTCAGAAAGGTATTCTTTTTCTCTCATCTAAATCCCCACATGCCCATTTTTCTCCATTTGGTCCCTAGTAGTGAGGAGGAACAGCTGACCACCTCAAAGTTTTCTTCTCTGTCCATCCCCTGGCTCATGTATCATCCCCTTAGGGTTTTCAAGTTTCTCATTATATTTGTCAGTAAAACTAAGAGATGAACTTTCAACTCCAAGTTTATCACCAGAATATCCAGCTTCTTTTGTCATCTCCTGCTCTCCTGCGTGTCTTCTCCCAAACTATTTTCTGTTTCCTTTTGTCACCATCATGGAAAACGGAACTTATTCTTTCACTGTGCTCTATATTTTATCTTCTTGTGCAATTGTAAGCATCTTGAGAGTAAAGATTGTACAGATCTTCTTTCTATTTCCTGCAATGCACAGCACATAGAAATTGAATTTCCTGGCAGCTGTAACTGTCTTTGATATACCTAGCCCCGGTTTGTCTGAAATTGATCAAGAAATGTAGCCAGTAAACTTAATTCCTATTCAAAGGGGAAAGTGTGTACTGTGTACAGAAGAGGCATTTTACATAGAGAAGCTCAGCACCAAAATCTAATGTGCAAAAGCAAGATGCAGAGCAGAGAAGATTCTGTACTCTACATTTGAGAGCTCTTTATTTGTCAACAAGGCAGCAGATATTTCTAGGTAGCGTTGGTGCAATCCAGTATAGAAAGTGGATTTGTTGGTATTACACATAATTAGGAAGCAGGAACATCAGTAATTACTGTGAGAGGATTTTGTATGGCATAATTAATGCCCTCAAACTATTTAGAAATTCTTAGATGAAAGAAAATACAGAAGTGGGAATTTTGGTGTTGAAAAGACAAAGGCAAACTGTGTTGGAAATATGTTACCAAACATCATGTTTTATGAGCACAGATTGGCAAAACATCAGGACACAGCTGTTGATTATAGCTGCTCTTTTCAGTAACTGCCTCAGAGCCAATGAATCCTTCGCGGGGAGGGCCTGTCAGGACATATCAGAGTGCAGCTCCTCGCCCTCCCAATGACTTACCAAATCACACGCCTGCCCTAGAGAGACCCACCAGTGTCTTAGGAAGTATTGGCTAAATGGAACCACATAGCAATGTGTGGCCTTGGATATTTAACATCAAAATCATGCTTTGGCAAGACATGTTGGCATCACTCATCAACAGGCTCTCAGTTCTCTGGATTAAAGGCAAAAAATAAAATAATCAAAGTCACTTTAAAATTAGTGACATGTTTTATACTAAGATAATTTTGCAGAAAAACTGCCATTTTAAATCAAAGTACGCAGCAAGGGAGTGATCTACTAGGCTTTCATATCAAATATAAAACTACCACTAAATAACTGTTTCTGAAACTTCATGTGTAGTTTATCATATATTAAATTATTAACATTTCTGTTGGAGGAGGTATTTTTCATAAAATATTTAAGCTTCACATCTCAGAACACTATTTCAACAACAGATACCAAAGCTATAAAATGAATGTTACAGTTCTATCAAATATTCAGCCTTTTCATTAAGGAAAAAAAGAAGAAAAGAAAAAAACCATATTAAGCCATTACTATGACACGACCTTTGCTCAAAAAAAAACTCATGTTTCAACATAACCCTCTTGCACCCCTGGGAACATGAAGGCCAGAGGTCACCCTTTTTTTTGTTCATGGTAGTCCATGATTTGGGGACATAGGGTCAGTGGATATTTCAATTAGTATCAAGAGTTAATTATTGTATCAGAGGACACAAATGAGAAGCTATCAAAATAATTTAATTAGAAAACAAATTAGAAATTAAATACATCTTATAAAATGACCTTCCATTCCTAGGGCAGAGACACGTTCAAGCGTAAACAAGTTATTCTGGCTGAAGTTGATAGAATAAGCTTAGCATATATCAAAGAAAAAACTACCCTTAAGCAAAACGTTTTTCTATTTTATTCGGTTCTGCTTTCCATATGCGTTCTCATATTTTTTTCATTTCAGATGTTCTTCCTTACATATACCTAAATATTACCTTTTGCCATTTTCTACTGCTAACCACAGAAGTAACTTCAGGACTTGAGGGTTTTGGGGGCTTTGGGGTGTTTTTTTTTTAATGTTTCATATTTCTTCAGAGAAGGAAAAAGTCTTGTCATTTATGGAGCACCTTTTCACGAAAACCACGCAGTGCTGTTCCTAGTGTAGACCATTAAAGTGAAAAAGCATTACTGGCAGACTAATTGTGTATGGTGTAGCATGCAGTCTATCACAGTAACCCATCACACACCAAAATGCACATGCCGGCAGACCCGTGCAACGATGGTTGATGTTCACAGTGACCCTGAGGTGTTCTGTGTAATTTTGAGCTAAGGATACTTTATTATAGTCAAACTTTTTGGAGGTAAGGTCTATATGAATACTTATTAGTGAACAGCATATAGTTGGTCATTGTGGGTAAGTGGGAGATTTCCTTGACAGGTTATTCCCTCAGACACACAGACCCAGGCCCGTAAGCGGCAGATTTAGACAGCAGAAAATCCAAGCTCGACGCTGCAGCAGGCGTAACTCTTTAGTGGTACAGCAGGTTTACATCATTACTGCCCAGACAAATTGGTCATGCGTCTTTAATTTGTTCTCACAAATCACTCCCTTCACTAGTGTGATAGTTTTGTTTTGCAAATAGTGACTCTAACAGAGTGTATAGTTTCAGATAGAATATTTGGCATGTTGATGCTGAATCATGCCAGCCACCTTTCCTTAAGGAGAAATGGAGGAAAAAACACACCTTACAACAATCTTTAAGGTTCTCGTTTAGTTGGTGTTCTTAAAAAAGAAGTATTTAAGGAGAATTATAGGTTGGCTATTGTGTGTGTTGTGGGGGTGCTTGCTTGGTGTTTTGTGAGTGGACACTCATCCTGGAAGAAGGAAGGGGCATCGGGCAGTCCCAGCCAGGGTACATGGGTGTAGAGTCCTTTCTGAACTCTTTTTTTTTTTAGACAGGATCTTACTCTGTTACCCAGGCTGGAGTGAAGCGGCATGGTCATGGTTCACTGTAGGCTCAAATTCCTGGACTCAAGCAATTCCGCCTGCCTGCCCCCGCCTTAGCCTCCTGAGTAGTTGGGACTATAGGCTCACCACCATCCCCCAGCTAATTAAAAAATATATATTTTTTGTAGAGACAGGATCTCACTGTGTTACCCAGGCTAGTCTTGAACTCCTGGCGTCAAGCAGTCTTCTTGCCTTGGCTTCCCATAGAGCTGGGATTACAAGTGTGAGCCACCTCGCCCAGGCCTGAGCTTTTTTTAATGCACGTGAGATTTCTGGTGTTTGCTTATGTCAGGGTCAAATGGAACTTTGCCTTGAGACTCAGAGAAAGAATTAACATCCATCAAGACTTAAGAAAGCATAGTCCATGCTTTGGAACACACCAAGCTCTATTGCTAAATTTAATTTTGTTTTCTAATTAATTTTTTTCCAATAGAACAACTTTTTCAAAGCTTCATATTTTATCAGCAATAAAGTACTTCATATCTGTAAGTCCAACTCAGTGAATCTGAGGGAAGGTTTAGGGAAAGAAAGAAACAAGTGACTGATTTTAAAAACAGAATAGCGATAGCATTAACCGATAAAGGGATAATAGAAATAGAGGAAGGTTAGTGAGAAATATAGCTCTTTCTTGTATATGTATATTTCAAAATGTTGTCAACATATTCAGGTGAAACACTTACCAGGTGATTAGAATAATGGTTGTGTTTTTTAGATGAGGTAGATTTCACTGCATGAAAATGACCATTGATATGGGATATACCAGCCAATGAATGAGAACGGAACAAACAAAGAGATGTAAAAGATGAGCAGTAATTTGGGTTGCTCCTCAACAAACATGGAAAATTAACGTTTTAGTCAACAAAGGAGAGCCAGCAGGGTCAAGTTCTGCAAGAAATGTGAAGACCAAAAACAGGCCACTCACTCTATTAAGCTGTTAGAACATCATTTGAGAATGCAGTGGGAGCTTAAGGCCAAATTGTTGGGTGTTGAGAAGGCAGAGAGGGGTGGCACTGGCTCTGTGCATTAGCCTTGTGCAAGAACAAAGCGGTTTTTCCTCTTGGGGCACGAGGACATTTGTCTCCCAGTGGCACCTTGCAAAATGCTAGACATTGAGGAAAATTCCAGTAAACACATGGTTCTGGCTCTTAAAATTTCGAAGTGTCCTGATTTTAATATAAGAATGTTCTGGCATGCTAGAGATAGTGATGGCAGGCCACAGTAAAATTTCTAATATCCTCCACATTCAAAAGGGAAGTGAAGAAGCTGGCCAGCTCAGCAGACACTACTGAAGGGATGGATGTGAGACTCCACGTAAGTTAAAATTGAGATCAGTTCAGCTCAGAAAAGAGAAAACTGGGTGAGACCTAGTTCATATTCTCAGAGGTGCAAAGGGTTTTATAAGGATGAGTCTGACAAGTTTTCCCCGTTTCTCCAGAGACCCAAATAAAGAGAAATTAGTTGAAATTAAAGGAACCTTTTTTTTTTAGTCTGTATCTTAGAAGATAATGAAATGTTAGGGTGGTCTTCTAACAGGGGCCACAAAGAATCTTTAAGAGAAAAAAAGGAGAGTCTAGTATCAATCAACGTTAAATTATCTTACATGCAGTTGGCTGAAGTGACAGGTCATGGCCAGGTGATTTCTTGAGAACCTTTTCAGTAAATGACTTGATTACTATTATGAATACATTTAGTCAGTGCGCTTCAGAAATGCTATTGCTTGTTTTCGCTCATCCCCAAAATGACTATGGAAATAATTGTATATGTGTGTATGTGTGTGCGTCCAGCTAGGAGGGAAACTACAAGTAGTACTTTCTGATTTTTGAAAAAAGAACAACTTTACATACAATTCAGTTTTACATTGTTTCTGCACAGGAAAACTGCATGTCGTCTTCTGCTGTAACTATAAAACACATCCACAAAAGTTGTCACTGGAATTTGCTTAAATGTTTCTCAAAGCAGAAAAAGAAATGACTGGTCTCTGGTTCATTCAGACGCCTGCTTATGATCACAATTCTGTTGTCTTACGTTGTCATATTCTGCTGAGAATAGTTCAACAAATACTACTCTTAGTTGAAAGCTTTAGAATTTTCCTTTCTGGAATATTTACAGATGTGACAAAATATATTTGTTATAAATGTATTCTTATCATATCAAATGACCTGAAATTTGCCATTTTTGATTAATTCCTGGAGATTACAAGAATGATGAGGGCAGTTGCATTCAGAAGTTGCATACAGTTGCCCTTTGCAGAAGTACATGGTGCACATGCTTCAGTGTATTTAATGATGTTAACAGTTCATTGATTAAAGTTCACCTTGGAAATAAACAAACTTTCCTATTCATCTTTCAAAGTTGTTACAAAAACAGAAGCAGGTTTTTTTTATGGCCAATTCTTCCTTTTCTTCCTTAGTTGGTGGCTCTTTGTTTTGAATTCCCATAGTAGCTGTTTATTTTTCCGCTTTGCACAATGTCTGTATTAGTGATTTACTACTCGCTGTCTTTCACAAGACCTATGAGCGTGGTGGTTTAATTAACCATATTTTGTGCATGTTTACTCTTGACATTAAGAAAATAATAATAATTGCTTAAACTAACAAATGGAATATGAATCCAGTTGAGTTACTTTGCTCCTTGTTACCTCATTCCCTCAGGTGTTTATTGCTCTTGTAGCCATTTGATGTGAATAACAAGAATTCATTATTTCAGAGTATTAATGTTACTCATTGGACTCCTTCCTTCTTCCAGTAGATCCTTGCTGTAAAACATCCTGGATTCTCATTCTTCTGCCTGAGCAGTTCCCCCGTAACGGTGCGTGAGCAGATCACATCTCTCTGACAGAAGGGTTTGCAAACTATGCCCACAGACCAGATCCCCAGGGCTATTTGTTTATGCATTTCCTGTGACCACTTTTGCAGTATGATGGCAGAGTTGAGTAGTTGCAACAGACTGACCCACAAGGCCAAAAATATTTATTATTAGGGCCTTTATAGAAAAAGTTTGCTAGTGGTTCCCAGTTCCGCTGTAAAGGATTTTGTCCCTGTTTCTTTCTAGTGTGATCTCCACTCTTCTCTCTTTTTCCGTGGTTGAGTGTTCTGTGTCCCAGCCAAACCGACATTCCTTTCTATTTAACTACAACATTTTGCCTGTGCTATCTTTTCATCTCATGCCCTTTCTTCATCTTTTCAAATTCTGCTTCTCTTTTAAGAACCAGCATATATGCCACCTCACCCAAGAAGCCTTATCTGGTTCCTCCAGCTTGGATGGCTCTAATCTTAGTCTAATTGTTTTCTCCCACGCCTTGTGGGTGTGTCCTCCCCCCCACCGGCTGTGGAGTGGCCGGGAACACAAGCCTCCTCCCCAAGACTTAACTTCCTAGGTGAATACGCAACTCCCTCCCAGGAGTGGTGGCCACTCTAAGTCCTACCAAGGGTATTGGACTGAAACGCCATTGTCTTTCATGTAGTGATGACAAGTCATTTGTTTCTAAAGTCAAAAATAATTACCTAGTGTAATTAGGTAATTATTTATTTTTTATGTAATTATGTAATGTAATAATCTACCTATATGTATAGAGCATTCACTCAGAACCCTACTTGCTGATTTTTGAACCATGTCCAGCCCTGAAATTATGTGGTTTCAGATTCCCGTGTGGTGGTGGCATCTATCTGGGCAGCTCCTCCAGGAGTTGAGGGAGTGGGTCTGAATTCTCACAGTCCTGTTGGAAGTGTGTGGCCAGGCTGGTTCCTTTAACTGCCCATTAGAGTACACTTTCCTTCCTTGTGGGGCCCTTCTAGCCTATCAGGTCAAATTTTTGTGGAGTTTCCTTACTAGTCATTTCCATTTAGTTCACAAAATCAGAATTCAGGTGAATGTAGCAAGCTTAGCTCAATCAAGTTACACTCTCTTCTTCTCTTTCCCAGCACATAACACAATTCTAGTTGATTTATTACTAGCACAGTTGTTCTGTAAGGGCAGGAAGCATACTCTTCTAGTGATCACTTTATGCATAACACATAGCATAGTAGGCACTGCCAAAATGCATATAATAACACGAATATGTGTATATACATACTCACATGTGTATGTGACACAGGATTTTTTAAACTCCTTCACTCAGCTAGTTCCAGGTTCTTGTCTCACGACCACGAAAAATTAGGCATGCGGACATCGAAGAGTGAGTGGAATAGAATTTATTAAACAAAAAGGAAAGCTCTCAGCAAAAAGAGGGATCCTGAAAGCAGGTTGCCAGTTGCCCCCCTTAACAGTTGAATACGAGGGCTTCTATATATCCAAGCTGATGGCGCTGGGTTCCCTGTTTGTATAAGGTTTGAATTCCTGGTGGCTCCACCCCTTCCCCCCAGTGTGCATATGGTCCCTTAGTCTGCTCTGGGCGTGTTCAGGCAAACTCCCTGTGCAGGTTGCCTTATCTGCACAAAACATGTGGTATAAATACTTGGGGGGTGGGTCGGAGATTCTTCAGGGACCCTTCCCTATCTGCCTAGGAGAGTTCTCTGCCTCCTGCCTCTATCATATGTACATATATGTCATGCATTTCCAACTACAATGACTATGTTTCATTCATATTTGTATTTCCTGTAGGCATAACACTAATATTACTGACAAAGCTGGTCCCACCCAAATGGGCTCTTTCCCTGTTTGGTGCTTCAAAGCTAGTACACAAAACTGAAAGCGTCGAGCAGTGCAGGCTTTAATCGGATGGCCATGGAATTGAGTGGGCACTTGGATCACAGATCAGCTTCTCAGCCTGTGAGAGCCAGGAAGTCACAGATATAGGGCATCTTTAATGAATGGGTTGGGCACTAAAAGCAAAGGGAGGAATGTTCGTGTCTTGAAATGAACAGCGAATTTCTTGGAACCAGAGTTGCCACTTTCCTTTTTGTTCTTTTATGTTTTTTTCCAGCTATTGTCATAGTGATTGTCAACCGTCATGGTGCTGGTGGAAGTGTCATTTAGCATGGAAATTAGATTATAATGAAGTTAGAGGTTCTTCAGAGGTCAAGTGGGCCAGCATCTTGGGATTTCCACCAGTCTTGGCCAGTTTGGTTATGCAGGGGATTTGACTTCAGGAATGGTGTTTCCTAAAGTAAAGCAGAATTAAGAAGCTGATCTGTGATCCAAGTGCCCTAGGTCATGTAGGCATTACACTGAGTAACAGTGTAATGTTTACTGTACACTGTTAAAATAGTTGAATTAATCCATTCTTTACTCTCTTAGCATTGAATTTCAGTTGAGCACTCCCTCCCCACTCCCCTCTTCTCCCCATTTCATGCTAATTCTCACTCGATTCTCTTCTTTTTTTTTTTTTTTCAAGACAGGGTCTCACTCTGTTGCCCAGCCTGGAGTGCAGTGGCACAGTCTTGGCTCACTGCAGTCTCAGCCTCCTGGGCTCAAGTGATCCTCCCATCTCAGCCTCCCAAGTAGCTGGAACTACAGGTGTGCACCACCATGTCTAGCTAATTTTTTAAACTTTTTATGTAGAGATGAGGTCTCACTATATTGCCTAGGCTGGTCTCAAACTTCTGGGCTCAAGCAGTCCCTCAAAGTGCTGGGATTACAGGCATGAGCCACCACACCTGGCCTTGAGTCTCTTTTCTAACTATAATACTTCTTCCTAGTTGGCACTGGCCTAAAACTTAACCTCATATGGGATAATTAAATCTTCCTCTGCATGCTCCCTCAGACCTAGGTACTATAAACAGGTTCCAAAGGCACTTCACTCCTTTTCAGATGAGGTTGCGGTAAGTTAATGGCGACACTGTCCTTTAGTCCAGCTGTCAATAACTGCATACTGTGAACGGTCAAAGTTTACATGTTGGTAAGAAGTCTGGGGATGTGCACCATTGTTCTCTTGCTTTATTTTTCCATTGGAAAGCAATTGCTTTGAGCACCACCAACAACAAAAAAAAGATTATAGAAAATTATACCTTTTAAAGGCAATCTCTGCATCTTGTTTAATGCAAGAACACAGTCTGTAAAATGTAGTGTGACTTGCACAGCAATTATTCACTGTGTTAGATCTAATTTCAGAATGTTTCAATTGCCCATTATTTTAGCACATTTTTTAAAAATGTAATCAACAGCAGTGTTGAAACTGAAGTTCTCTTGAAGGCTGATGTGTTGGTGCCTACTGATTGTACAAAGCTGTATACTGTCTCTTGAGTATTAGTGCTTAGAGGACATTGAGATCAATCTGCTTTGTTAATTGAAGCCTTATTAGTTCTACATGAGTGTGCAGTGTGCTCAATACAGTGAATCATCCAAATAACCAAAACTTACTACTTTTAAGAATCAAAGTTTTTCCCTATATTTAGGATTTAATGATTCCCTGCCTTCTTAACAGTGCATTCGAATGATAACTGAACCTTACTTTATGGTTCTAGGCCATCTATTTGCATTGCTGCATTGATTATTCTGTTGAGTTAATAAGACATAAGGAACTGATTGTCCCTATATTAAATAACTCCAAAATGTTAAAATACTTTAGTCTCTTTTGATAATATTCTATCTACTTTCTCTCTAGTCCTCTATGATTTTTCAGTTCTTCCAATGCACCCTTGATGCTATTAACATGCTTATTTTAAACACAAGTTCCTGGGTGAAAATGTTAAGATAACTGCCCTCCTCATAGAGTCCACTCCTCGTATCAAGGCAGATTCATGCAGGGATGAAAAGTATGCACTCTGTTTAATTCCAGCACTGTTTCCTAGTAGCTGTTGATCTTGGGCAAGTTACTTAAGCTTTCAATTTCTCTCTCTTAACCTCATCTATAAAATGGGCATAATAGAACTCACCTACTAGAATTGTTGTGAGGCCCAAGTGCCTAGAATAGAGCCTCATGTATAGAAAGTGCTAAATAGCTACATTAGCTTTGTTTGTTGTAGATACACTAATGGATAAGGACCTTGTTGAAACTGTCTTTTAGTTCAGAGAACTTCTGATTTTGACCAGCCATATTCCAGCTTTCAGGACTTACTAGTTGCCTAGATGTTAGAAGTTGGAACATTTGCTATTCAGATTATCCTATCTCCCACAATTTTTTGATTACCTCAACATTTCTTGGGAGTTACAGGGATGTAAAATGAATAAACTTGGCCTTCTTTCTACCTATGTGATTTAATGGGTAGTTATCCTAAGGCAGAGTGAAAGAGTTATTTGCAAATCTGCCTGAGTGCACACACTATTGACTGTTGTGAATAACTACCATAAACCACAGCATTGAGTGCTTTCCCTACTTACACCAACTCATTTGCTACTCAACAGCCCATGAGTAGCAGTAGAAGCTAAAGAGAACACGTATAACCTCCTCCAGGTCTTTAGCGAATCAGTGACAATGCAGAATCTAAAACCTAGGTCTTTCCAAAACTTCAGAATGAACTAGATTCTTGCCTCCCCTCAAGTTAAAAGAATATGCAACTGTTTGTACAGCACCTTTCACTGAAGTTCTAGTTGAAAGGAATTGTTTATTACCAGTGAATACATTTCATAGTTGAATCTCTGTGGTTGTTTGGTTCCATAAATTCTTGTTTCTTTTTCAAGATTTGAGAATGCAAAATGCTGCAATTCAGTCTTCATCCTTGGAAATATCTGATGGAAAGATATGGGCAGCATCAATGTCTTCAAATTCTGACTTGTCCCAAAGCCTTTCAACCTCACTTCTCTTACCCATCTTTGATAGGTTCAAGGGCTATGTCTGTCCACAATGGAAGTCACAGCCACATTTGGCTCTTTAGCTTTCAATTAATTAAAATTAAATACATCTAAGAATTCATTCCTTTGTTGAATTAGTCACACATCAAGTGCTTAATAGCCACTTGTAGCTAGTGGTAACCACAGTAACTAGTGATATGGAACACTTCCATCATGGCAGACAGTTGTGTTGGACAGCGTTCTAGGAGAATCATCACAGAGATAGTTGCCATATACACACTCTTTCTCACTAGCCAGGGCTTGGGACCCGGTTTCTTATAGATGGGCTGGAAGTCTTCCTCTTGCCTTTCTGAATGAAGCTGTACTGACCCAGTCAGGCCTGGGCAGCAGTCGCTTCTTTAGATCTCCATGGGTTCCACCCTGCGTCTTGCTTAGCTTTCACCCTAGCCTTAGCCACATGGGTAACATGAAATGGAAAAGAATCGTGAATCAAACACACAGAAGCTATCCAAGAAAACCACAGGAGTGGAGATGCCAAAGAGAGAAGAAATGGAAAGAGATGACTTCAGAAGATTCTAGGTTCTTTAATGCCTCCCATTAAAGTTGTCTCCTACCTCATGGGTCTTGGTGACTCTAATTTGTCTTTTCTCTCTCTCTCTTTTGTGGTTTTTGTTTGTTTGTTTTTTATTTGGAGAAACGAAGTCTTGCTTCATTGTCCAGGCTGGTTTCAAACTCTGGGCTTCAAGAGATCCTCCTGCCTCAACCTCCTAAAGTGCTGGGATTACAGGCATGAGTTACCTTGCATTGTCAGGCTTTGAAATTGTCTGAGTAGGCTGACATCAGCAATGTTTAAAGAGAATGAGGTAAAAGGAATAGAAAATGTTTGAGTATGTTGGAAATAGAAATGGTTTTATTTCATAATCTGTTGCAGTTTTATATTTATGTACATTTGTGCTGGTTGCTACATGAAATATAGCGCTTTTATTGTAGGTTGTGGTCAAAGTTTGAAAAATCCTGGGTTAGAATTGTAGTTAACACAATAAACAGAATTCTTTTTCTAATTTTCCAACATCTCTTTCCATAACAGTATTATGCTTGTTTTGTCATATGTTTTATGTCACCGTTTTATGTGTATCAGAACCATGAAAAACAAGTGCTTCATTTGGGCATGTGTCATTGGGAATAGGGAACCCTCTATAGGAAGCAGATGATGGTTTCAGATTTTAAATATGAGTCACAAGTTTGGTAGAAGAATCACACACAAAACAGTTTTATTGTGAAATTTGCAGATTTGGGAATAGGGAATCCTTGCTAGTTAGTTTTATGGGGAAAATTATTGTACATGGACTCATGATAATCTGTGTTAGGAGGTGCAGAGAATATAAATACTTGTAAAAGAAGAAAAAATGGAGAAAAAGGTGCACATGGCTGGACAATGTAGATCAGAGGTCTTTATTTATTTGAGTTCATGGGGCGCTTACTTGTCTGACACTGGCATCAGGGCTAAGGAAACAAAGGTGAATATGACTGGCTCCCTGCCCTCAAAATCTGACTTCTTAATTCCGGAGAGAGGCAAGTCCAGTAAACAAACAGCTACAACGCAGCATGAATCTAAGACAGCTGAGCACAGAGGGCACTCAGATGTGTGGATGCATCTGACTCAGCCAGCAGAGGGATATTTTCATCCTTGGAACCTTGCCTTGTCCAAGCCAGGATCTTCTGCCCCCGCATCACCCTTGTCTTCCCTAGCAAGTGTGCAGATCTCTGCCTTGATAACGCGTGTTCTTTTGTACGTTTGCTGAGATCCATGTACAACTATTCTCAGGGTTTTTAAGCAGCTATAAAATGAGGTTTTTACAATTCAGTTTGAATCTTCTCATACAATAATCATGTTCATGATTCAGCACAGGTTTTTACATGTTGCATTCCTACTCAAGGGCAGGGTTTTTTTTCCCCTCCTTTTTTCCACTGAAAGAATGCCAACAGGAATAAATTGAGTGGGATGAGCCTTCATGGTTACCTTTTTTCTTCACTTGGGTATTTATAGTAAGATGAAATGTGCAGAAGCTGTTTTCCTTTCATATAAACCAAAGATACAAGGAATTTACTAAGTGTCTGGGCAGTCGTTTGGTCTCATGAGAAGAGCATGGAAGCTGCAGGGGCCTGGGCGAGCTCTGGGAGGCTGCTCCTCAAAGTGGGACCACAGTGCCAGCAGCCGCGCTCTTAGTGAGGGCTTGACTTAGGGGTACCATGAGGAACTTTCTCATGCAAGTGAAGTGGTGACTCTTGTTCATCGCTTCCGAGTTTTCTTGTGGGAGCACTTGCAAACAAACCCTTTCCTTTTAAGTTCTTACCTCCTATTGACCATTTTGTTCCAACTTAAAAAACTTAAAAATTATACCTTTAGTTTGACCATGAGCCGTCTCTTTATGAGCATTAGAGTATTGGAAATTGTGATGTTCAGCAAAATCTAGAACACATGGCTGCTTTATAAAAATATGAGATTCATGGCCAGGCATGGTGACTCACACCTGTAATTCTAGCACTTTGGGAGGCCAAGGAAGCAGGATCACTGGAGCCCTGGAGTCTGAGACCTGCCTGGACAATATAACAAGACCCCATCTCTAAAAATATGAAAAAATTAGTGGCTTGTACCTGTAGTCCCAGCTACTTGGGAGGCCGAGGCAGGAAGATTGCTTGAGTCCAGGAGTTCGAGGTTACAGTGAGCTATGATAGCACCACTGCACTCCACCCTGGGTGACAGTTAGATTCTGTCTCTAAAAACAATAATAATCAGAAAAATATGAGAATCAGTCATCCAATTTAATACTTATCTGTAGCCTTGAGGTCACATGGCATGCATAGGCTTCCCACTTCCTGCTGAAAGTACTGTCTTAAAATTATCAGAGTGGGAGCAGCCTCCAGATCAGGTGGGAGCTGTGACCTCTCAGACTGTGCTAAATAGCTGTGTTTGTTGTACTGCTTTTGTAAGTCAACCAAGCCACAGGTTGTGCATTGTGAGTGGACCGTGTTGCATCTGCCTCCTGCCTCTGAATACAGTGGTCCCAGCAATAGATGCTCAATTCTCAGAGCGTCTGCATGACCCCCCATGGTCAGTACTGCTTCACTGTGCTCCTTTCATTGATCCTGTTGTTGCTGCCACGAGAGCAAAATAAAATTAATATAAATATATATGCTACACACACACACACACACACACACACACACACACACACATTTTTAGAGGGCTTGTGGTTTCTGAAGATGATGAAAGAAAAAAAAGCTGTGAAAAGCAAAAATGCCCAAAAGTTCATCTTCTGCCCTGACCCATCACCCTTCTTCAGAGGTACCCAGTACCTCCAATTCCCAAGTCTTTCTGGGGTTCTGCTGAACCAACACGTAGCCGTTTATCCCTTCATGTAAGCTTAGGGTTCTACATTTTCCAATATGCTAACTAAGCCCCATCCATTAGCCTTACAGCTCCTAAAATGTTATCTTTCATTTGCTGTAGTCTCCTCTATTGTTATTCTTGTTATCTGAGTGATTTGAAGACTTTTTATGTCTTTGCTGGCATTTTGGTGGGGTTTTAGAAGAGCGTCGAGGCTGCATAGATGTGTTCGATCTGTCTTATTTATTTGGACATTTCAGCAGCCTCTTTTAAAAGAATAATCAGTCCCCAGTCCAGAAACCCCTGGAACCACTTGGTACTTCTTAAACCTGCCTTCCCTTCACATAGGCTGACCGCTCAACCTGACTTCAATTCCTCACTCCAAACCCAGCCCAAATTTAGGGAACCTATGGAAATGCATCTGGCCTGGTCTGTACCATTTCCTTAAGAAATGATCACTCCCTCCTCTTATTTTCCCCAAAATCATACACTAACTTTATCACTTAATGTCTTGTCTATTATTGTTACCTGACCATTGAGTATAGGAACCATTGTCACACCTCTGTATTCTCAACAATTTACATAATGCCTGGCATTTAGTAGGTGCTTAGTAAATAACAATGGTAATTGTCACTACAAATTACAAAAATATGTTTATAGTAGTTCTAAGTCTCAATCAGTCTTCCCAAATTAACCGGGAAAGAAACATGCTCAGGCAGAACCCATGAGTTTCAACACCTGGAGGTAGTTACTACATTGGCAGAATAGTGTTGCAGGGGAGGGGAAGGGATGGATGCAAAGAAATAAATCTCTCTGTCTCTCTCTCGAAACGTGAGAGGTGGTATGTGAAAGATGAGGGCACTGTCTGGGGAGAAACAAAATCTTCCATGAATGCGCTTTAGTCTTCTACAGGGCAAGTATGACCTAGATATTCAGCAATTGGAATTACTTTTAAACTGCTCACCTGTCTACTGTTGTTCCTTGTTGATGAGGAAAATCAGGTGATGCTTATCTTAAAGATAAGGTGTTTGTATCCTCCCTTGCTCAGGATCCAAGCAGGCTTCATTCCAGGCATCATTAAGTGAGTCTGTTGCCAGGAAAGCTGCAGTGTGGGCGTTCACCATGACTGCTAAATTTGCAGCATTTCTTTTCATTCAAACTCATGGATGGAGGAGAGGGTCTCACTTGTATTTGCCCAACACGTATTATTAGTAGTATTATTGTTTTACATTTCTGCAGTTTTTTTCATGGAAGCCTCACATTCTACTTTCCAGTCTCACAGGCCATCCTCACCACGATACACATGATCATTTAGTAGCAAAGTCTGTTCATCAGAAAACTCTAATTGCTTTATGTGTGAGAACATTAAACTGCAATAAATTTATGGATGCAGCTGCTCCATTACTGGAGAACAAGTTTTATCTCCTAATAAATTGATGTTTCTTTTTAGTGTCAACTAAAACCAAAATTTACACCCAAGGAATTGAACCTTAACATTAAATAATTACTTCAATGCCGCTAGTGGTAAGAAAGGGTACTCACTTCCCAATTCTAAAAGGCCGGAGTGAGGGAAATGGTTTTTTCCTCTGTTAATTGTTTCTTGAAAGCATAATTGCACAAGGGCTTTAATTGAAATAAGCATAGGAGCTATGCCCTTTTAAAGAAGATACTGTAAATAGTGTCATCATTTGGTATGAGTTACACCATAAGGGGAAACACTAAAAGCCTTATTTATGTTGAAGGGTAAGGGGGAAAAAAGAGGTTCACTTTGGTGTTTTGTCTGCAGTTCCATTTAAGATAATGGAATAGATGCTTAAAATTCTCTGGACTTTGATGAATATTTAATTCATCTTTTCTACAAGACGTTTGAATTAAACTGACTACTGATAAAAGATACAGTGTGGACAATGGAGTTATGTAAATTTGGCTTGCTCTGAGGGGATCTGAATTTAAATGGCCAAAGGATGGTTTCTTTTTGTTGTTTATGATAATTCAAATGTACTAATCTTGTAATACTGTACATTAAGGACTTCAATTGTCTGGTCCCATGTGAAATAAGAAATAGTATCAGGTTTACTTTATGTTCATATTATGGACTAAAAGTTTATTATACGTGTGTGTGTCTCTGCACTCATGAATATGTATGTGTGTGTGTGAGGGAGAGCTCTCCCCTAATTCAAATATGACACAGATTAAAATGGCTCCTGGACAGGCGCAGTATCTCACACCTGTAATTCCAGCACTTTAAGAAGCCAAGTTGGGAGGATCACTTGCGGCCTCTCAGGAGGCTGAGGTGGGAGGATTGCCTGATCCCAGGAGTTTAAGGCTGCAGTGAGCTTTGATTGCATCCGTGTATACTCAGTGTACTTCAGCCAGGGTGATAGAGGAAAACACTGTTTCAAAAAAAAAGTTTTCCCCCAATTTCTGTGAATCAGGAAGACTTTAGCAGTTGAATGTTAGAATATTAGCCAAGCTGAAGTAGCCCTGGGCAGGGACCTATACTTCTGCATTGCTCCAAGTCAGCCATCTGCCTAGTTTATTAGCTTTGTCATGTCACTGGATCTCTCTGGGCCTCAGTTTCCTCATCAGTAAAGCGAAGAGGTTGGTCCTGATAATCACAAGGCTACCTTATCATTGGAATGCTCTTTAATTCTGTCACTCATCCCACAACATATAATTAACACCTACATCTTACTTTTCTCTGCCTTTAACCTTCCATTCAGTGCTATGTACGGCCAGTTGTCTGCATGGGAAAACAGGAAAGCAAACAATCCAAGTACAGACTGGATACTGTTCTATGCCAGTTCTATCAATTATCTGGGAAATGATTGAATAATCCTTTTGAAAAAAACATAAAGTATTAGATGCCATGATAGAGATCAGCACACATTGAAGTACTTAATGATGCAATCTGTGACCTGGCTCTAGCATTTTGGAATACAGTTCTGTGCCATATAACCACATGTCAGTCAATGACAGACTGCACATATCACAGTGGTTCCATAAGATTATAATACCACATTTGTACTGTACCTTTTCTATATGTAGATATATTTAGATACACAAATACCATTATGTTCCAATTGCCTGCAGTATTCAGTGCACTCACATGCTGTACAGGTTTGCTGCCTAGGAGCAATAGGCTACACCATACAGCCTAGCTGGGTAGTAGACTACATCATCTATGTTCATATAAGTATACTCTTATCATATTCACATGATGATATTGCCTAACAACCCATTTCTCAGGATGTAGCTGCATTGTTAAACAATGCAAGACTGTAGTTCTAAGGTTGATGGAATTTTTTTTTAAGTCTCTGCTAGCTACAGGGAAATTTTTCCAAAGTAAAAGAAAGATCTTGTGAAAAATCACATAAGAAGCACATTGGGTCTCTGGGGTAAAATTAAAGGGTTCAACCAGAAGACATCCTTCTTCCTCTTCAAGAACTCGGATCTAAGACCTCTGCAGAGCCATTTTTGGTCTTTTAAGAAAAGGCAAAAGTATTATAATATTTAGTTATTAGCATGTTCATTTGCCAAAGTTCTAAAAATTCCTTAGTACTATATATGTATATTTTATAGAATCTTGAGGTCTCTTGAATAAGTAACAGAATATATTTAAAGCCGTCTTGTGGTACTTGCAATCTACTTTTACTATTAAAGTTACTATAAAGATTTAGAGATATTATATCTTTGCCTGTGTGATCCATTGTTGCCATATCATGGAGCCAACTCCTTGGTCAGAAACATAACCTCCAATTATAACATTGCTCCTATGGGAAAATCTGATCCACTTTATGGTGTGGTTTCTAAGAACACATTGTGGTGAAAAGGAGAGGATGCCTGTATTTTTTTAAATTGAAGCTTTTCAACCCTTTATAACATCAGTTATGACTTGGCGAGATGTGAACAATGTGTCGTTTATGGATTGAATTTGAGTGTGGTCTCACGACCTTTTCCCTAATGCATACAAAATGGATAAAAAATGTATACCTCAAACTGAAGCTTTAATTGGAAAATTTGGAGCTGTACATATATACACTCATGTTTTTAGAATAAGGATTTTATTACAACTGTTGTAAAATAAAATTTAAAAAAAAACCTCTCTTCTCTGCAGTGCCAAACATCTTGATTTTCCAAACATCGACTAAAGCCACAGTTATTGATAACAAATCCTGACTTTTCTCTCAAAAATTCAAAAAGTTTACTGTCCTTTGGCTCCTTACTGTCATTAATCAGACTACGTTTCTTGGTGAAATCTTTAATTACATCTTTAACTTGATAATTACTTCTAAATCCTGCACAGAATCATAGTCCTAAATTATAAGGGCAAAAAAAAAAAAAATGAAGCTTACAAAGTTTTTGTTTGTTCGTTTGGAAAGTATTGGTGTATATTGAAGATGTCCAATCAGCTTTCTTTGAAAAATCTCTTTCACAATACTATTCACTGGGCCTTAGAAACTGCATTAACTAAATAGTTCATCTGCAAAGAAATCCTGAGGATATGGTGAACTTGGTCAAGAGAAGGATACAATTTCTTTCCCTCTTTTCATGAGAAATCTAGCCAGACTATAGAAGGGACAAAACATGTATGTGACAGCAGGTATTCATCTCACATTGAGGAAGTAGGAAGGTTAGTCTTAGAGATGGACTTGGAGAGGATAATTATGATAATACTTTAGAGCTGTCATATTTTATGAATTTAAACAAATTTTTAATTTACTTTAGAGTTTTTTGTAACTAGTGAAACCTTAGCACTCATAGAAGTAATTGGATTGGCAGCCCCTGAGAAGACTGTTCACCAGCAAAGCAGATTCACCTGCCATAGCCCAGGTATTCCCCAAGCCTGAGGCCCAGCTGGAGGGAGCAGCGAGATTCAGGTCTCCCACCTGCTCCCAGCAATGAATCTTTTGCGGCAGAGTCCGGCACGTCACCTCACATACTGCTCTCAAACCCAGCACATTGTAACATCCCACGAGATCCCGACTTCATGAGCAAGCCAGGCTTCTTTTTTGCTTCTCTCTTGCTGTGACTCAACTACAATGAAAAGTAAAAATCGTTATTTTCTAAGAATGTTGTTGGTTGGGTTTATCATATATCTCCAGCCCTCTTCTCCATATTCTATCACTGTGATTTCATCCACTTCCATGACTTACATTACACTTGTGTATATGTCGATGACTGCCAAAGCTATATCTTCAGTTTCACTTCTCTCCTGAGCTGCAGGCATGGGTTTCTAATGACCCACTCTATGTCTCTCCCTAGATGTCCTTATTCTTCATCGTATTGAGTGTTTATGAAGTGCCTCTTCTGTGGTCAGCACTGGATTAGATGTTTACTTGTATCTCATCTCATATTATTCACATATACTTGAAGCCAATATGATGATTTCTATAAGGGGTATCAGAAGAAATTATTCAAAATATGACAAGAAACTCTGTGCTTTATATTTCATACTTAACAAATTGGTCATTGTGACCCTCTATGAGTTAAGACCACCTTATTTCCAAAAAATTATTTGAAGCAGCTTCTTAAAATAGCTGTTCAAATGAAGTTTACAAGGACACAAAAATGATAGAAAGAACATTACAAAATTGATATGACTACCTAATTGGAATGACAGAGTAATTATAGTTGTACATCAGTTTAATCTCAGAGTTTCCTGGCAGCCAAGGCAAAAAGAACAACATCAAATCCTTAATCTACGATCAGAGGAAATATGTTAGTTCATGTGGAGAATACTTTCACTAGTGCTGAATTCTAGGAGTATTTTTAATATACATACTTGTAATAGATAAATTGTGAAACAGAATAAGCATTTTCAAACAAAGACTTGTTTGAGATTCATGAATTTTCTTATGCTCAATTCTTTGATAAACGTGAGATCATCTGTAGCAACACCTTCTCTGGCATTAAATTGTGCTGTATAATTTCACTGTGAAGTCTATATACATTATAGAAGAAAAATTATATAACAAATCAAATAACATTTTTTAATATAGCTTGCAAAGACACAGAAATATTCCCATTATGACCATTTGTCATATTGGCTTTTGGTCAAATCTGAAGATATATCATTACATTGTAAAGATATTTTCCTGGGATTTAAGTTAATAGAATTTAGAAGTATGCAGCTTTAGAGGTCAATATTCTTGGTCTTATTACAAATAGTAACATGTTCATAGAGAATTTTGTGAATACAAGAAGAAAGAGGAGACTACCAGGAAAGGGGGAAGTCTGTTTCAAACCTCTCTCAGGATAATCACTAGATGATTTCTACCTAAAACTGCAAAATCAGTTTAAGATTCATGTTTTTATCCTATTATTTATTTAAAAATACTCAAATGGTCATCAATTATTTTTATTGCTGTTTCTGGTAGTGCTAATTTTAATACATACCATCACCATTTTTAATCAATTATAAGATTCAGCTTTTCAGAATTTAAAATCCCTGATATCAAGATACTTATTATACAATGGCATTTTAATTGACAGCATTTTCTGTCTTCTTAGACATTTATAAAATGTGTCATGATCAACGGTTTCTTAAATTCAACAATTAAAAGGGTTATAGTTGTTTACTTCGTAAATACTTCCTACAGTTCTGCAACACAAAATTCAGACCATATTCATTAAAAACAAACAAAAAAAAACTTGATTCTGGCAATAGAGGGATAGAGGATTAATTCTTTGAAGTTTTTGACATATAAAAGGGATTGTGGGGTCTCCTTTTATTGGAAAGACAGAGAATTAACACCTTAACTGAATCCATATTGTAATAAACCCTAGGACTTGGAAACAATGTTGCAAATATTAAGTATCGTATAAATTTATCTCTATGGAAAACATCTTCAACTTCATTAAATGTTCTGTATGATGCCACTTATCTATTTCATGCACCCCCATACCTTCTCCAAAAGTTCTCTAGACAATGTTGCACTGAGACCACAGAGATGGCATTTTTAATGTCAAAACAAAATAACGTAGCAGAAACCTATAGAAACAATGTTGTGGTGACAAAATGAAATGTCAGTGGAGGTCTGTTGTAACATAATGTCAAAACAAAATGTCAGCCAAAATCCATGGAGACACTATTATGATATCAAAATGAAACAATGTCAGCGCCAGTCTGTAGAGACATTACAATATGAGAAAAGACAAAACAAAACGGTATCTGTGGAGGCCTGTGACTTCTGAGGCTTAATGTAGCTTCATGTCAGGTGGTTGGCTTGTGCAAACGTGGCTAATATTTCAGTATGTATTTTCTAAGGCTTTTCTTTTCCAGCTCAAGAAAAGGAATCCCAAAGCGGTTCTTTAGTATAAGTGGCTGGGTTAGGCAATTGCTGATATTTATATCTAAATCTATGCCTGTGTCCGTATGTATGTCAGTGTGTTTGTCAGTATCTCTCTCTATTCATTCTGGGCTTCTGATGCTTCCAAACACATCATTAGTCCCATTTGGTCTTGGCTTAGTTTCCCTACACACCAGTACTTGGACATCGGTTGGAAGTATAAAATACAGGCAAGGCAGTGTTCCAATCTGCTTGGGAAGGGTCATGCTGAGTTTTAGCAGATGTTTTGCTCCATTCTTTTCTCCTCTGTCCTCAGGTAGAAGCTGGCACTGCCCCCTTCCTTACTGAGCCTTGAGGCACCAGGTGGTTTTGAAATGTGCCCCTGAATTCCTGTGACCTTTGGCCCTAGAGCTCATGATCTGGCAGCACCTTGGCTGGGTAATACTAGTACTCTGTTTTCCCAGCCCTTTCATAGGAGCTGAAAGATTTTTTTAAAAAATTATATATATAAAGAGAAAAACAAATATTTTAAAAATCTATAATCATATTAAGTTGGGATTTTTTTCCAAAACAAAGTTAGTAAAGTATCAAATTAAAGTAGATATCATTGTGAGACAAATTTTATTATGTAGAGGCAAATTTAGACATTGTAAAGGGAAAATTTTACTATATATATAAACTTATAAAGATCAAAAGGTTTTTATCCACATATTAAGCAATTTGAGTCTGGAATTAAATATTGATTTGTTTTTGTTTTAGAAATTTGAAAATCCCTGAAATTGAGAGAAAAAAAGTCAAACTAGAGAAAAAAAGAAAAAACTCTGCCACAATAGTAAAGATATATTTTTCTCATTTTAATCAGCTGCAGTATAATTTTAAAATCATGTATTAAGCAACAATACAATAAAGTCTCAATTAGCTAGAAACCAAGCAAACCCACAGTTAGCCAATATGTTTCCAAATTACACTTTTAGAAACAAGAGGTAGATACCTATAAAAGTGCTGTTATCGGGGTGAGGTGGGGGGTCTGTCAGAAAAATAGTGAGAAACCAAAAGAACTCAATTTCGTCCTTTTTTTCTACAAAGTACTCAACAGTGAGTCATGAAAATCTCAAAAGTTTTTTTTTTTTAAGTTAAATATCCATTATTCCTTCTTTTCAAGATGGATGAGACCTTTATTACTTTCTAGAAGGATTTTCAAACACAAGGATTGAAACAAAAAAGGCTTTCAGTAAACCTTTGGCTAATCAGCTTACCACTCGGTTCTTCTAAGACTGTGATTTTCAGAAACTTTAATCAGGTTCAGTTTACTTGTATCGATTTGCACGCCTTAGCCACAAAACTACAATATCTACTGGTGGGGATGTGCTGGAGCCTGAAATTGTATTCTTGAGGCATGCGCTTCCATAGTGGTGATAGGAGCATGCAGTGGGAAAAGTGGGAAACGTTCTTTGTCACCAGCATCAGTGGGATACTCCTGAGAGATCAGAATAGGAGCTGGTCACTCTTTAGCAGGAGAACGAAGAGTGAAGACCAGCAAAGATTGAAACAGAGGATTAAAAATTGTATGTCACAGTCACCATATTGACCAGCAGAAGTAAATGTGGGCAAAAACTAAAGCCAAACTGTGATTTTCATCACATGTCAAAGAAAGGAAAACTAGTTTGAGTATAGCACCAGGTCATGTGCTTGGGAGAAAAAGTGTGGAGGACTCGGTTAAATCTTTAAAACAGTATTTGTATTTGGAGCTTTGTAGATTACAAACTCAATGTTTTAAAAATGTACTCCCTAAATTAACCATAAATATTGTAAAAAAGTAATACAGAAATTATTCCTAAAGTGTGTTAGGAAGTGGTGGACATAATTCTGTAATTATAACCAATAGCTGTTACCATTTTGGAACATTTACATCCATGTCTTTCGTCTACTTAAAAAAATATATAAGCATCCATATACCAGTTTTATTCTTGAAAAGACATTTAAGCTATTTGAAAATAATTGAGAATTAAGAATAACAGAAATTAGAAAGTCTAACATTAGAGAGTAAAGCTATTTCTTCCTCTTTTCCTTTTGGAAATCACTCCAAAACAAGAAACAGAATGAGATATAGAAATAGTAACTCTATTTTTGTGAAAATGGACATAGTTAATATAGAATGACAGAATCACACTGGAATGTCAAGAATCAAGCTTATGCACCCCGCACCAAAGATTGCTAGATTCTCTTCGGAAGACATGGAATTGCCCTGGAAAAGGAGTCCACATACACTGTCATGAGAATTCCCAACCAAAAAAGTGACACTCTGCCCAGCCTTCCTGTCCACCATTTCATAAACCCCCCTGAAGCACACAGTGACTAATCTGCTTTTTAGTGCTTCACTCTTAAATATAAAAGGGCAGAAAAACATGTGAAACATTTCAGAAAAGCCATAATTGTGGAAGACAGAGTCCAAAACAAACAACGTTTGTTTGTTTTCTTTAAGAACTTGGAGGAAACATAAAATTAAGAGAAGAGAAAAATATTAAGGAATTATAAACAGTAATTCTGTGAAATAGAAATGATGTTAAAACCATCAAAGATGAACAGGAGGCTATTGAAAGGATTATTGAGTAAATGGGAAAGAACTCTTAGAAAATAATAAATACAATATCAGTATTAAGAAACACAATAGAAGGCTTGATAGATGAGGTTGAGAAGTTTCCCATAAAGGAAAACATGAGCTATAGGACAAAGAGCAGTATAGTGAGAAAGAAAGGAAGTGAAAAGTTCATTCTGGGAGGTCCAATATTTAAAGAAAACAATTTCTAGAAAGAGAGAACAGAGATAATAAAGGATAGATTATTAGAGAAATAACACAAGAATCTTTTCCAGAACTGGAGAACTTAAGATTCCAGATTAAAGAATCACCTAGTGCTGAGCAAAATCAATTTTTCAAAAAGGACAGCATTGTGAAGTTTTGGAATACCAGAAAGAGAAGATCCTGTAAAAAAAAAAAAAAAAAAAATATATATATATATATATATATATATATATATACACACACACACACAATGAAGAGTTGAGAATCAGAATATAATCAGATTTCTTCACATCAGTCTTGTAAGCTAGAAGATAATAGAGCAACACATTCAAATATTGAAGGGTAATGTTTTGTTACCTGAAATTCCATACCTAGCCAAACTGTCAGTGAGTGGTAATGATAGAATACATACATTTAAAGCATGCAAACGCAAAATATTTTAGTTCTAATACCCTTTTAGGCAGCCACCGAATGTGTGCTTTAACAAGTCCCAGGACTTCTGCTGTGCAGAAAACCAGGAAGCAGGCAGCCTAGATTGGCGTATGTGGTGGGAGCTTTTGAGGTTAGAGGGCTCCAGGAAAAAAATTGGGCTTAATAAGCCATGATAGACTTGTTCTCCTGGAAATCTGAAAAATCAGATTGTAAAATCATTTTCATATAAATTTTGCTATAATTATATTGGGAAGATGTGGAAGATGGGAATTTGGAGTCAGAATTTGGATTTGAGTGTAAGAGAGCTAATGCTTCATCTACCTTTGTAGGAAGTCAACAGGTGTGTTTAACAGTAATAAATCAGGAGATAGTGATATAAATATATTACCCAGAAATGTCTAAATACCAGAGGAATTTGGTTAGACATGGCTTATTATTAAATTCCTAGCTTTTGCTTTGTGTAATAGATTCATACTGGCAACTTACATTTAATAATATTGAGCATGGCACTTTCATCATAACTAAATGAAAGTAAGCAATGAAACCATCACTAGCAAGAGTGTATCACAAACCAGGAATTACAATGGATTCATTCTGAGTATCTCAGGTTGAGTTAAAAAGAAATGTCATAGAAAACGACTGAAAGCTTTAAAAGTCTTGGGGTTGGGTGGTCAGAGAGACAAGATGTGATGAAGCAGAAGTTTCATTTAAGAAGTTTCTTTTAATGATTCTTTTAAGGCTTTTAGCATTTTAAAATATAAACTATGCACATGTAGTATTACTTTGAAAAAAAAATGTAATTGACAAAAGAATGTTGCAAGCCCTTTCACAATCTATCAGTAACTCCAAAATCTGTCAATAACTCCAGTTTTCAAAATCTATCAATAACTCCAAACCAATATGGTCACACTGTTTTTGTTTTCCTAATATAATAATTTAACTAAATCTGAAATGAGAAGTTAAATTAATTAACATTTCTATGTCATTTATTCCCTCTCTCCAGATAAATAATGGCCAAGTTGTAAATAGAAAAAAAAGCTCAGAAAATTATTAATGAATAATTATGAAGTTCATCAAGAGCATAAATAGAAGTAAAAAAATCAATCAGGAAGAATATTTTAATGATCTTTAAAATGTTTTAAAAACAGTAATACAAACTCTTCATTAATGGTTTCTTTTTAGAAAACTGGTTATTAGATGTATGTTTCACTACTTTTATTCTAATTCTCAAAGAAGTTTCAGAGTTAGCCTCTTATGAAACTTACAGGTGATATATCTCTTGTTACATTATTTAATATTCTGAGTCATTTCAAGAAAGTCTGTAGAATTTAGCCATGATTTAGAATTATGACATGATTTGGAATTAAGTACTGCATTGCACTGGAATTTTTTCTTTTAAAAAAACATAGCTTAGTTTCGTATAGTGTTTTGCAATTATGCTGTCATTAAAGACAGAAAGCAAAAACAAAGAAAATGTTCGCCTTGAATTCTTTGTAATCATTTCATGATTAAAGAATTAAAATAATGGTTCTATAATTAGTTTCTATGCCTGAATGATAAAACCTTTCTAATATGAAGAAGAACATGATAATCATTTTATTGTGTCATCAAAACCCATCAGGTTTTGTAATTTAATTTCCATTGCCTTTTTATTTCAGTTTTTTGTTGTTGTTGTTGTTGTTTTGAGACAGAGTCTTGCTCTGTTGCCAGGCTGGGGTGCGGTGGCACGATCTCAGGTCACTGCAACCTCCACCTCCTGGGTTCAAGCGATTCAGCTTCCCAAGTAGCTGGAACTACAGGCATGCACCACCACACCCAGCTAATTTGTATATTTTTAGTAGAGACAGGGTTTCACCATGTTGGCCAGGATGGTCTTGATCTCTTGACCTCGTGATCCACCTGCCTTGACCTCCCAAAGTGCTGGGATTACAGGCATAAGCCACCGCCCCCAGCCTTTATTTCAAATTTTTATAATGTATTCCTGTTTTTCACTCTTTTTAGTTTGTCAAGATTTTTCACCTGTAACATTGAATTTCATTTGCTCTTTAATCAGACACCTAAATGTATATTTTAGTTTGAGGCACAGACTTCAACTGTGGGTCACAACTGGCTGAACTTTGTATCCCCAGTGGTTTTATTGAATGAATAATATAATCCACAAACTTTCTTCAGTTCTCTAACCTATTAGAATCCCTTACACGTCCTTGCCATTTGTTAGAGAATTCAAGAAAATCACACTATGAAAAGTAAGTGCACTTTGGGCATTAACCATTATAACTGCTTTCTTGCATTGTGCCAAGAAAAATGATGCCTGCCTGCCTTCCTGCCTTCCTGCCTTCCTTCCTTCCTTCCTTCGTCCTTTCTTCCTTCCATCCGTCTTTCCTTCTTTCCTCCCTCCCTCCCTGCCCCCCGCTTCCTTTCCTTTCCCTTGTTTCTTTTCTTTGTTTCTTTCTTTTTCTTTGACAGAGTCTCGGTCTTTCACCCAGGCTAGAGTGCAGTGGTGCAATCATGGTTCACTGCAGCCTCAAACTCCTGGGCTCAAGCAATTCTCCTGCTTCAGCCTTCCAAGTAGCTGGGCCTACACGCACCACCACACCCAGCTAATTTTTTTTTTTTTAGAGATGGGGTCTTGCGATGTTGCCCAGGCTTGTCTCAAACTACTAGCTAAAGCGATGCTCCCATCTTGGCCACCCAAAGTGTTGGGATTACAGGGATAAGCCCCGGCACCCAGCCAACATTTTATTTTCTAAAGTGCATTTAAATTCATAGGTATACCCCGAAAACATTTTCTCTCATCTTTTACTTGCTTAAATCTATGTTAAGATTGCCTGCTAGGGAGTCAAGAGACTTGGGAGGCCCAGACCTCAGCCCCTGCCCTTTGTCCACGTACCTCACAGGGTCTTGAGGAAGTCCACCATCTTTGAGGTTTAAAGCTCTTAACACACATTCTCACAATAGTCACTCTTATTCGAATATGGTTTCTTAAACCAAAACCTTGATAATTAGTTTGACAATGATAATTTTTAAAAACTTGCTAAGCAGTGTTACTTTAGTGCTGAGTTTTCAGTAGATGCCCCATTGGAGGTATGGCTGTGATAGATTCAGCTGTCCTTTTGAGTAGAGACCAGCTTGGATCATTTTTGTGACACTAGGTAAGATCAGCTACCTAGGGCTTTCTTGTGTGTATTTATTGCTGGGTCCTGAAATTATGTATGTCTTTGCGCTTGCATGTTCTCTGTTGCTGGAGGACTTCCCCTCAAAAAGTAAAACTAAATTTTTCTTACTCCTGCCTGAGACCAATGACAAGCTAATAAGGAAGAGTGATGAAAGTAATAAAATAGGGCGAGGGGTACATTCCTGAGGTTTTGTTGCTTATAAAATGATAGTCCTGTTACCCAGAGACCACAGAGGGACTTGGAGTAAGATCTAGTCCTGAGGCTTTCCGATGGAGAGATGACCTCCCTGTGATCCATAAAGCATCTGGAGAACTGGAGCTATCACATCAGAAGCAAATGCAGGATTAACAGCTTTGGAGACCACCTTTTTAACCCAGAGAGCATAGCTGTATGTTTTTAATTTGTTATGATTTATTACACTGAAATTGGTGTGAAATGGACAACAAATCATGGGTGTCAGAATCTGGAAATGAATTTTATCAGCTGAGCAAAGTGAGTACCTTTGGGATTTGCATGAGTTTCTCATAATTCTTTTTATATTACAGATGATGAGTAAAACTGTGAAAATAAACTGAAAATGACATGATATTTCCTAAGTAGTTAATTTCACATGTATACATAGACACATATAAATATAGCCACTTAGCCTCAGTTTAGACTTTCTCTATAATTCAGGGTGATTTGTACATAACCACAGAAATATTTGTCTAAAAACCTCAAAGTCAGTATCAAGACCATTTGTGCAATATCATAAATGTCTGGGATTATCATAGAAAAATGCAAAGACTATAACAAGATATTTACCAACTATAATTTTTTTCAATGTTCAAATTTGGAAAAGAGAGTTTAGACTTACATACCAGTATACAAGTGGTAAGATTAAAGAAGGATCCATCCCAAAATTTCAGATGTTATAAATACCCTGAAGCATCACAAAAAAAGCGGCCCTTGTTAGAAACTAACTTTGCATGCATAATTAATGTGGGCACCACATTCCTACTTCACAACCAGAAGAGAAATTGAATTCAGGTGTTTGGTGAACATATGGGGGATTTACTGTGAATTTATGACCTGTGATTTGAGTGTAAAACCCCAAGATACTTGCTGATAAAACTTAATGAAGCTTGCGCAGAGGAGCTATTTTTATTTGTAGTTTGATAATTGATACATTTCTTGGTTTAACCCTCCCACCCTTCCTCCATTCCTCATAAGTCTTCCAGCCTGAGAGATAGAGCCATAGTGAATAGCCACAGTCTTTTTAGCCAGCTTGGCCTCATGCTTAACTAATTTGAAAGTTCACAGTTTGCTTTTCTGTGACATTTTAGTCTGTTCTTTCCCTTCTCTCTTAATTTAGCGATTAATACTTTTTCACAAACTGTACAGGTGATACAGGTGACAGGAGGCACACCGTGTGCTTTGAACAGGTACCGTGGGAGAACGTGCAAACGCTTTCACAGGGGGTGACATCAATTTACTATTTCTTAAGAAAGCAAAGATAAAGGCATAATACTGCTCATCATTAAAATTTAGACAAATCCATTGCCATTTAAAGGTTTTTTCTCCAAGAAGAAACACTTCAAGGGGCAGGAACCTGCCACACATATCCTGACCATGTCTCTCTGCTTCAATGTTTTTATCTAGGATTTTATCAAGAATGCTCCTGATTTGAGAGCCAGGAGAAAAATATTCTAAAAAAAAAACAACGAAAAACAAAAGCAAATGACAAGTGTTCCATTTTAACACACGGGGTGTAATGGGTTTAATGAGAAACCTGTGTTTGCTCACTAATTTACAGCAATTAAGAACTCAGTTCTGACATCTGTAGATTAGAACTATTTATCTAGAGATCAGGCATATTTTATGGAATTGCTAATCAGTATAGAAAAATATCTAAGTGGGAAGCAGGTTGTTTACCTGCCTCTCTGAATGGTGTCAATATCTGGTAGTTCTGTATCATAGGATCCCTTTTTAGTTCAGTGACATTTATCCCCCCAATGCTTTAGTCATCCCAGTTCAAGAACTTGTTTGTATCCACTTTGTCATGCTGACAGTCTGTCTGTTTTGAAAGGATTACAACTCTGTACATCCATGGATGACATCACAGTAAGACATTGCTTAATGATCTGAGACGCTGGTGGTCACTGCTGGCTGCCTGTTACTACGGCTTCATGACAGGTCTGCCCTACATCTGTTTCTCCCGGAGTCACTTTTTGCCTACTCCAGTCCTGGTGTCTGCTTTAAATGACATCCATGAAATAGCTGAAGTTTGGACTTAACCATTGGTACAAGTAAAATAACCCAGATTATTTTTTTCCCAGGATACAAGAAGAATTAGTAATTGGGCAAGGAAGGAAAAAGTGCTCTCATTTTTCTCCAGTGAAGATGAAACAATGTTCTTGGAAAGTGGGTTTTTTACTAATGGGCTGGATCTTGAGTTCTTCCATTTGTGGAACTATGAAGGAAGTTAGTAAAGAGATAAATTTTTCTTAAATGAGGGGACTGAAGTGCAAGAACCTCCTGTGAAGATTGAGTTGTTACCCAAGGACATCATCAAGGCTTGGAAAAGTCAGGGTTGAAGAAAATAGGATCTTTGAGTATAAGTGAATTGAGTCTTAGAAGCTTTAACCTACTATCTTCTCCTTTCTATGTGTGCTGAGATGCAGACCATGATGATGTTTCTTAAGTTGTAGGACTTTGAATGCTGGCTGGTGAAAGAGAAAAGATTTTCTTAAGCAGAGAGCTTGGCAGCTAGCAGAACTATAGAATTTTTTTCTGCCCTGTGATGTGTACATGGGAAAACTGTCTGAGTGATAGAAATGTATCAATAGGAAAAAGCTTTTTTCTTTTTTTTTTTTGGAGTGTGGTATTGCATTATTTCCAGGATTGTTGATACAATTTGGAAATTAACTTTTTGAATTTTTTTTTAATTGGGAAAAGAATAATGTTCCTTTTTCATCTGCAGTAATTGGATGCCAAGTGCAGGTGTGAAATTCACTAGCATTTGGAATAGAATTTTGTACATAGGCCAAAAAGTAAATTGCTAGGGCTGAGAAGTAGATAGCAAAAAGAAAATGGCCAAATGATATAAGCTGATATGGTTAACAAAAAATCTTTACCATGTACCTGTGCTTTTGTAAGTAGTGGATTTGAAGGGGCATCTTTTAAGTCCTGAGCTCTTGGCAAACTAAGTAAATCAAATGTTAACAGGGATTACCTTTTTGTGAGTTGTGTGTTTGACCCAGATCCCAGCAGGTCATCAATCTCTGCCAGAAAGAGAAACCAGTAATGAGCCCTTGAGTTCAGTTTTACCGAATCACCTGGTTGGCAGGTATATTTTCACCAGGCTCCAGGAAAGCACTCACATTCTTGCCTTGGTCTCTCAGGAGGCTGACTTTCAGAGATCACAGAGCCCTAGTGAGGTGTTTTGGGTGCAGTAGCGGGGAGGTCGACAAAAGGTATCACCCTAAGCAATTGAATAGATTTCCATGGGACATTCTTGACTATAGACTGGTATTCACTGGAAAGCACATTTGATTGGTTTCATGTATTAAGATCTGGCAGTGAGCATTTTTCAGTTACATCTTCTGCAATAGTATTTACTTTGTGCAATTTTTCCCAGAGACCAGAACTTTGCAGTGACTAATTCTATGAATGATCATGGTAAAACTCGCTCGTAAAATGTGATGCCTGTCTTTGATTCCACTCTTCTAACAACATGCTTTTGCAACAAGCACCATTTGTTTGGTTCCACTTGTGGGCAGGGCCTATGTGTTTCTAGGACATTAGGGCCACCTTAAATCCATCCATACTTTATTTCCTTGAATTTAACAAGAATGTACAGCCCCCATAATGCTGTTTAAAGTGATGGGGTGGTAGTATTGGTGTGGGGGCGGTCTGAGGAGGGAGGTCTAGAACGTTTATTGCTGCAGTGCTGTCACATAGCAAATTGCCTAACCTAGTGGCCTCTAATAACAAGCATTGATTTTTTGCTCAGACATCTACAGAGAGGCTAGGGGTTGGCTGATCTAGGCCAGGCTCCACTGGGCTTGACTTATAAGCTGCAGGTTGGATTCATATTCACTCCATGTGTCTCTTAGACTGTGGGCATGTTCTTGTTATGGTAGAAGTCAGGAGCACAAAGAATACACCCAGCATACAATCAGTTTCAAACTCCTTTTGTGTCACATCCACAAACATCCTGTTGGCCAAAACAAGTCACATGGCCAAGGCCAACAACAATGGAGTGTTCGTTTTCTTTTGCTACAAAACAAAGTAACACAAACTTTGCAGCTTAAAACAACACATATTGATTATATCACCGTGTCTGTGGGCCTGGAGTTCCAGCATGACTGAGCTGGATCCTCTGCTCAGGGTCTCCCTCGGGGTGCAATCAAGGAGTCAGCCAGACTGGGTTCTCACACAGAGGCTTCTACTAGGGAAATATCAGCTTCCCTGCTTCCGTCATTGTTGACAGCATTGTGTTCCATGCAGCTGTGGGATTCTTGGCTCCTTGCGACTTCAGTACCAGCAAGGAGAGAGACAGAGGCATAAAGAGGGACACCACGATTGTAACCACAAACACTGCGTGATCCCTGCTGCATTTCTCATTGGTTAGAAGCAAGTGCACAGCAAACCACCATGACACACGTTTAGCTAGGTAACAAACCTGCACATCCTGCACATGTATCCTGGCACTTAAAATCAAATTAAATCTTAAAAAAAGCAAGTGTGGGTTCTGTCCACATTCAAGGGTAGAGGAGTGCATAAAGGTGTGAACCCCAGAAGGTGTGGACATTAGGGCCACCTTAAATCCATCCATCACAAATATTTGCTGATCAATTTGTTCTGCCACAGGGAAGTGACATACAAGATATGTACATGTTGAATGGCTATGATGAAGGCACAAACCTAAGAGAGAAAAGCCCATACACATGCCGATTCTGGTAAACTCTGTAAGTCAGTATTTGGGTCAGGGGACAATTACAGGTGAACTGAAAGGAAGAGATGAACATGGGCTGGAGTAGTGAGGAAAGGCTGCAAGGAAGTGGATTGATGTCTTAGACTTACTGGTAGAATTTGGAAAGATGGAAGGGAAAGAAGAGGGTATTAAAGAAAGAAAAACCTGAGCGACTGTATTTTCCTCTCTTCTTTGGCAGCTTTTCTTCTCCTGTACCAGAGTTTATAATCATCTCTGCCTTCTGAACAATGTGGAGAGCCTGCCACAATTCATTTCCTCCTCCTGTCTACCTTCTCTCTTCCTTTTCTCCCCCCTGCTATGGGAAGCATAGTGTATACCGAGACCACCTTACTTTAAAAAAAGAGTGGTTACTTCTCCTTTCCATTGAATTCTGGATCTTAAAACTACTCTCTTCCAGGTTTCCAGATTCCTTTTGCATAATTAAAAATGCAAATGTTAAAGCATTTTTAATCCATGAAGAATTAATCAGTCACATCACAAACTCCTCTCTTTCAGCATATACTGCTCTGAATAGATAGGTGAGACTTCAAGCCTGCAAGGAAGGATACCCAGGTTCAGGCTTAGGCAGCTGGGAAGGAGGGGACAGTTTAGGAGAAACAAGACTATCTGGACAGTGCCTGGTTATCAGTTTTAACATATTTTGGGGGACTGTTACTAGAGCACCACCAGCCTTATTATTTTGGTGCAATGAAAGTAAATAGCCTGGAGAAGCGACAGATAAAATAGGCAGCGTCTGCAGAATGTGAACCAGTGGTTACAGGCTAGCCAACAATGGACAAAATTGTTATTTGGCTTACCTAGAATTTCAAAAGTAAAGTAAGTGAACATTTTAAATTTGGGAGAGAAAGCTGTCTTTCTAGCTTCTCTTAAATAAGAAGCAACACCAGGCCAGCATCCCTTCATGGCAGTAGTCTACTAACTGCAGGCATTATCTTCAGAGTGTTGTCCATATACCTGCAGTATGTTCTGAATTCATATACGTGTAAGTTCTTGGGCCCTGCACTAGACTGACTCAGAATTTCTCAAGGCAAGCCTTGGCAATCAGTATTTTTTTAACAAGCTCTTTGAATGGTTCTCATATACACAGTGCATATAGATGAGAACCGCTGTTGTAAGGTTTCTGTTCCCTCTCATCGTACCTAAGGAAGTGGTTGAGTTGGCTTGCCTGTGGGGCACAGGTGCGGGGCAGGCTTCAGTGATTCCCTGCAGATAGGCTCATTGCTCCTTTTAGCCTGAATGGGTATCCTTAGCCACATTCAGGAAGCACATAGTAGTATCCAATTTGAAGATGTAGAAGCCTTGTACACCGCATGGTCTGCCTCTGACATCAAAGACTGCAATCCCCGTAGTAATTATGGACGTTCCATATAATTCAGGGTCACATAGTTCTGTGCACGCTGGGCTAGGAATCTCTGTAGTGTGTGATCCTAGGTACCCTTCCTTAAACCTGTCAGGAAAAAACAACAAAAACCAAAACCCAGATCATTACTGAACCAAAAGCAAACCCTCTTCATTTAGTTAGAACGTGAAATTAAGTTCCAGTTGGGTACAAAGCCAATGTGTTGGTGGAGGCTGAGTGTTGGTATTGGACTAAAACTGTCTTATAGCTGTCTGTGTGGATGTTTTATACAGAAAGTATCTCTCTGTTCCTCTCAGCATCCCTGTGTAGATCCCACTCATGTGGACTATCTGTAAATTAGGATTTCTGACTCTTCATTAAGGGTTTTATTGTCTCACCCATCTGATCAACTTGGATGGTATTTTTATTATATTTCTCACACAAAAAAATCATGACCAACTTTAAGTTGGCAGTGAACCTAAATATAAGTTGATTAGGATGTGTAGGGATGAGTCACTATTGCTAATGAATATTTAAAATTTCCTTTAGCTTTCTTGGCAGAAGAGCTCACCAAGAACTTTAAAAGTCCAAATTTGAATTATTGGCTCATTATAGACTGGCCAGAGAGACAGAACTGAGCAATTGTAATGGTTTCATCTCTCAAAGCCAGAATTTCACCTTCAGACTGCCAATTGTTGTTCCCCAAGGGGGCTTGACGGTCTTCCAGTCTTTGGAAATCATCATCCATCATGAAAACCATTGCAGCCTGTTTTCCAACTTCAGCCATTAAGTGGTTTTGCCAGTCTTAGACAAGTCAGCCAGCTTTCTCTAGAGTATTGGGAGAGAAAGAGCAGAGGAAAAGGGGGTGAAACCAAAGGTCTGCCTAGCTCCCCAGATTTGGAAACAAGGGCAGGAGTGACTTCCAGAACTTATCTTTTGCTGTGAAAAACACCAGTGTCACCAGAATTTAACATTGAGGATACTCGGTCAACTCCCTTTGTCGGGAAAACAGACTTTCAGTGAATTGCAAATAGTAGGAGGTCAGTTTTTATCAATGGTTTCAACTTCATGATCCTAATAATTATGGGCTTAAAACTCTCTGTGCTGCATGAAAATAACAGAAGAATACTTCTGGTTAGATTTGTAAAATACTTTGTCAGTCAAACCTCCTATAATCCTCCCATAAAAGCTATAAAGTATGCCAGGAACAAAAAAGCACAGGTGGAAAAATGACAGTGAGATTCGGGAATGCCCACTTTCCTGTCTCTTTTGTCTTATGAAGGTAACCATCCTCACTCATGCCTACACCATTACGGTTTCACATAAAGAACAGAGTGCTTTTTAGATTGGACAGTGCAACAATATAGGACACTATATATTTTTAAAGCCAGTAGGAATAACAACCTGCCTGTCTCAAAAGTGTGGAGGGACATTTTGAAGTGACGTGGACTGAAGCCTTGTGTCGTCAAGCAGCCCAATTTACAGACCTGTTCACCTTTAATGTTCCAGGCCAATCAGTTCAGATTTGTCAGAAGAAAAGCAAAGAAAGACAAGCTTTTATTGACTGAGAAAATAATCAAATTGAATGTATTGACAGTATATTCTAGAAGCTCTAGTGAAATTGATACATGAAGGTACAGGGGCCCCTCCCAATATGTTAAATGATGAAAGACTATTCCATATTTTTAGAAGATGTTAACATGATGATCCTGTACATGAACATGTTCAATTTTAGATGCTTAAACCTTTGAGATTCTTCAAAATATGTGGAATTATATGTAGACTTATGTCCGTTTGAGAATTTTACGTACTCTACTGTGACAGAATTTCTCTTTCCAAGCTACCTCTCACAAATCACATCACGCAGGAGGGGTGCAGCCAGCAGAACCCTGGCACACACTGAGTAACCAGGGCAACATGCTTTTGTGAAGAGACCTGATCTTCCGAATAGCTTTGCAGCTTTCCATTCTGCTAGCAGCTTGGAGGGTATATATGATAAGAAGAAGATGTGGTTCTTGTCCTCAAGAAGTCTGACGTTCTGTTGTGGAGGCAGTAGATGCCTGATGGGCTTGAATAGCTTTCCTGATGAAATGAGAGAGTTCCCTGACTCCCCTCACAGGACATGCAGCAGGGGTGTGTGGCTTGTCTATTTGACTGCTGTGTGTGCCCAAACCCCTTAGGGGAGGGGGAGCATGCAGATGTACAGGTACGGGAGCCGGGGTTCCAGCCCCACGGTAGTGTCTGGGTGTGGGTGCCTGCAGCTCCTGAAGCTCCAGTGGGCATGTTGCAGTGCTCTTTTAGCTCTCCTGTCTGCAGATGGCTTAAGTGTTAACCAGCCCAGTGCCCCCCTTGGTACCCAGGCCCTTGTCTGGCATCCAGGAAAAATCAGGTCCCACAGGGTCTTGTAAGATGGTGAATGTGGGGATTTTATTGGGTGATGGAGGTGGCTCTCAGTGGGATGGATGGGAAGCTGGAAAGGGGATGGGGTGGGAAGATGATCTTCCCCTGGAGTTTGGCCATCCAGTGGCCCAGTCTCCTCTCCAGCCATCCCCAGCCAAACTCCTCTTGACATTCAGATGCTCCTTCTCGTCTCCCTTCTCTGCCGCACCATTCTGCCACTCTTCTGCCCTTCTGTTTGTCTGTTCATGGAGCCTGGGGTTTGCAGTTTATATGGGTGCAGGATAGGGGGGCGTGGTGGGCCAAAAAGGCAACTTTTGGGTGCAAAAACAGGAATGCCTGTTCCCATTTAGGGTTATGGGTTTCCAGACTTCTGAGGGTGGGACCTTTGCTGAGGAACCGCCCTCTCCTACCCAGTATTTCCCTGTCTCCCGTCCACGTCACTGATAGGATGAAACTTACTGCTTTAGTGAATGGCATAGACCAAAAGTGCTGTGAGATTTATGATTGATTTAATTTTGGTCATCAATCTCTATTACTCTTGGCGAAAATACTCTTTTTAAAATTTGTACTTTACAAATGAAGAGCTTTGGAGCCTGATACATGTTTTACAAAGTGATATGCATGGCATAGTGAAATGAGGGTTGGACTGGGAGCCAGAAAATCTGGATTTTGGTCTCACTTTCCCCACTGGCCAGCTGGGAGATCCCCAAATGAACCACTTATCTTCTTTAAATGTCAGTTACTACATTTGTAAACGTGTGCGTAGGTGGGTGGGTGGGTGGGTGTGTGAAATACTACCTTCTGCACCTATCTTATAAGGTATTTCTGAGAATAAAACAAAATTCAATACTATACAAAAAGAAGGCCGTATTGTTATTAACTAGATGGTTAAATGAAACTACCACTTGAACTTATTTTTAAAATGTTTTTCATTTTTGCTGTGAGAATTGCATTTTATTTATAGACCTCTGATGACTCATAAATAGGAACCTCGTATTATGAAAATATTGCTGTGCATTTGTGCAGCTATATTTCATGGTGTCCTCTCACTTGATTATTACAACTCAGATATTTAGAGTAAAATTATTATCTCTACTTCATATATTTAAAAAACTTCAGCTTAGAAACATTAAGTACGTTAGTCTAAGAAGGTACAGAAGCTAGGACCAGACCCTGTTGTTTCTGACTTTTAATGCAATGTCCTTTCCAAAAAAACTTCCCTGCCAACACCTTGCCAGATTACAGAAAGGAAATGAAACTTTTAAAGAACAGTGCAAAAAAAAAAAGAATATCTAAAAATATTGTTTACCCTCTCAAATATCTGTCTAAAATACCTCAATAAGCCTTAATCCTAAAACCAAAATGAAAACATATTTTAAATGCCCACATATTGTTTTAAAAATTCACTTTCTCTTAAATGGCGTCATTTCACAGCAAGTTGCCATGTTTTGCTAGCAACTGCAGTTCACAGATAATATTTCTGAAGGGTATTCACTGCTGCCTCATCTCTCTTTCAGTAACAGATCAACTCCTAGCAATCATGATCGGATACAGCGTCTGAGGCAAGAATTTCAGCAAGCAAAGCAAGATGAAGATGTAGAAGATCGTCGGCGGACCTATAGTTTTGAGCAACCCTGGGTAAGTAATTGGTTCTTCAGCACGGTGAATGGTCCTACAACTTCCCTGCAGCAAAGGCCACTAAGCTATGACCTCAATGCTCTATGAAACGAGACAAGATGGAGCCAAATTCCTTTGACCTTTAACATATTGACCTTTTCCTCATTTCCATCTGGGTTTCATCATTGCTAATTTCATTTTATATCTTGTTCCACCATCTGTCCATTGCCTAATAGGTTTCACTAGCCTTATGACAAGACATAGCAAAAGTATTCTCACTCTCAACTAAGCATTTTTTAAATTTAGTAAATATTTTTCTGTAGATACATATTCTCAGAATCAGAGCCAAAATTAATTTGTTCAGCACTTCTCCATTGTGCCTGTAATGTACAAAGTACAGTGTTTAGTAATTCTTTTTTTTAAAGAGATGAGGTCTCGCTTTGTCACACAGGCTGGAGTGCGGTGGTGCGATCATAGCTTACTGCAGCCCCAAACTCCTAGGCTTAGGCAATCCTCCTACCTCAGCCACCAGAGTAGCTGGACTATAGGCAAGTGCCACCACACCTGGCTAATTTTTTAGTTTTTTGTAGAGACTGAGTCTCACTATGTTGGCCAGGCTGGTCTCAAATTCCTAGGCTCAAGTGATCCTCATTCTTCAGTCTCCCAAAGTGTCAGGATTACAGTTGTGAACCACTGTGCCAGGTCTAGTAATTCTTGATTCTTTAATCTTTTGCACCCCCCATGTGTGTTTGTTGAATCCATCTTATTCCAGTTCATCCCCCTCATAGCCACCAGAGTGAAAAAACTTCAGATGGCTTTCTCAGTGCCAGAACTGTGTTCTGATCTTGTGTCTCACCCTAGAGATGACAGCACTTCTGAGAGTGGAGGGGTTGGGACAGATTTTTTGAGATGATGGGGAGTTTGAAGAATTTCTTTGGGAGACTTGAGAGTGAGTCTGTTAGAGGTGAATAAATAAGCTGCTTAAGGTAGGAAACTCTAGCATGGGGTATTAGGAAGTCCAGGCAGCATGGTAATTTGACCTAACCGGCAATGCTTAGAAGACTGGGAATAGAAGGAATAAATTTGTGGATTAATTCTTTAGTGGGGGTTGGAAGATAGACATGGCAGAAAGCCAAGGGAGGTGCTGGAGTCCTACCAAGGATACTGGGGAAGCATCGTGTGGTCCAGGTGGGGTGGCAAGTATAGCTCAAGGAAGGATTAGCCTCACAGCCTAGCAGTGTGCAAGAGGGCTCAGGATCTAGGGGTTCTCAAGCCTAGGAAGTTGTGGTCAAAACAGTGTATTTTTTGGACTCTAGGATCTTGGAAGTAGAGGCGATAGTTCAGACGATGTTGAGGTC
This sequence comes from Homo sapiens, assembly GCF_000001405.40. Lineage (NCBI taxonomy): Eukaryota > Metazoa > Chordata > Mammalia > Primates > Hominidae > Homo > Homo sapiens. Next base: position 34,130,125 of record NC_000010.11, on the reverse strand, counting down.
TAAGGCCTGCCATCTTTGCACGTGAGTTACAGAAGTAGAGCGGAGATTAGTGTCCATAAAGTTGACAAGTTCAGTTCAGACAAAGTGTTGGGAATATCATTTACTAGATATTTGGAAGAGTAGGACAGAAGGAAGAATGGTGTTATAAAAGGCTGGAGGCCAGGCATGGTGGCTCATACCATCACCCCAACACTTTGGGAGGCCAAGGCAGGAGCATTGCTCGAGCCCAGGAGTTTGAGACCAGCTTGGGCAACATAGGGAGACCCCATCTCTACAAAAAAAAAAAAAAAAAAGTTTTTAATTACCCGGATGTGGTGGCACATGCCTGTGGTCCCAGCTACTCAGGAGGCTGAGTTGGGAGGATTGTTTGAACCTGGGAGGTTGGGACTGCAGTGAGACCCTGGCTCAAAAAAAAAAAAAAAAAAGAGGCTTGACATTACAAAAAAAAAGGAACATTTGATTTGAGGAAGGGTAAACTACCCAGCTGAGAGGTTGGTTATGTTGAAGGGAAGGGGAGATTAAAGGTAGAAATGTAGGAAGAGCCTTCAATGCTAGATTGAAAGTTTGAAGAGAAATAGTGCTAGGAAAGAACACTGGCCCAGTAGCCAGGTGGCCTGGCTCTTCCGGCCTCAGTTTTCTTATCTCTCAACCAAGATTAGAATAAATGATTGCAGGCCAGGCACAATGGCTTGTGCCTGTAATCCCAGCACTTTGCGAGGTCAAGGTGGGCTAATCACTTGAGGCCAGGTGTTCGAGACCAGCCTGGACAACATGATGAAACCCCATCTCTACTAAAAATACAAAAATTATCCAGTCCTGGTGGCACATGCCTGTAATCCAGGCTACTCGGGAGGCTGAGGCAGAAGAATCACTTGAACCCGGGAGGCAGAGGTTACAGTGAGCCAAGATTGCACCACTGCCCTCCAGCCTGGACGACAGAGCAAGACTCTGAATCAAAAAAAAGAAAAGAAAGAATAAATGATTGGATGTCAGTTACTAAACCCTTGGATGAAATGAAAGTTTAAGAAGAAGCTAAATGTAAAGCAGATGCAAGTAGAACCCCTCTAGTTGACTACAGAGGCTGGATCCTGTTAGCTGCTGCTGAAGATCAGAGCTTCTCAAAGTGTGGTCCACAGAACAGCACCTTTAGCATCACCTAGAAACTTGTTAGGAATACATATTCTTGGTCCCTGCATTGACCCTACTAGATGTAAACCTTTACGGGTGGGGCCCAGGAATCTGGTTTTTAATGAGCCTTCCAACTCATTCTGAAACAAGTTCAACTTTGAGAATCACTGTTCTAAAGTCTAGACGATCTCTGAGGTCCTTTTTGGTCCTGAAACCCAATACTCACAATATATTACTCTACATAAAGCAAGAAACCTATAAATGCTGCTCATTAAGGGATTTAGTGACCAAATTAGGGTTTGAGGAAGATTAATTTTGTGGAGCAAAGGCAAAGAGGAAAAAATGGGAGAAGCAGTACTACCGTTGGCCCTTAAACAACATGGGGGTTGGAGGACCATCCCCCTTCCTCCTCACACACACAATCAGAAATCCCCATGCAACTTCTGACTTCCCGAAAACTTAACTACTGCACTAATATCGCACTGTTGAACAGAAACCTTACCAGTAACATAGACAGTTGATTAACACACACTCTGTACATTTTATGTATTATATGCTGTATTCTTACAGTAATATAAACTAGAAAGAAGATGTTATTAAGAAAATCATAAAGAAGAGAACATACATTTCCTTTTCTTTAAATGGAAGTGGATCATCATAAAGATCTTCTCCATTGTCTTCAGATTGAATAGGCAGGGGAGGAGGAGAAAGGAGTAAGTCTTGTCTCAGAGTGGCAGAGGTGGAAGAAACTCTGTGTATCAGTGGACCCTCAAAGTTCAAACTCATGGTGTTCAAGGGTCAACTGTAGTTTGAAGAGCTTTAACTTAGTTCAGGTGAGGAAGATGGGGCAACTGGCAATGTGGGATCAGCATCCAGGTGTAAAAGCACCTCATGAAATCAATTCTTGCCTAACTTTGGGAGGTTATAAAACAAGTTCCCTGGAAAATCTCTAATTGTCTTCTGCAACAATATTACTATTAATGGCATTTTTCTAAGGTATTTAGTTCATTTTCCTAGATGATCAAGTACATTGAGTCATTCCCATGTAGCAACATGACAGAATTATGTTAATCTGCTTATATTGTTTGGCATAATTGACTCAATCCATTCCTACTACATTTCTTGAAACAGGATTCTTTTGTGATGTGTGATAAATTCTTAACTATGTATATTTACACAAAGAGGCTGAAAAGAGTAATGAGCATGGTGTCAAGCTGAAGGAGAAAACAGCAGCTGAATATGGAAATAGTTAACACACATGCACACAGTTCCAACCTGGCACAGCCCCGCCTGAGCTTATCATTCTCCATACCATGCCATGAGGAGCAGTGTTCGCCATTTGACTTTGCCTGGGAATGTGGATTCCAAACCAGCATCTTGACATTTACTCTTTAACTAATTATTTAATTCATCAAATTCATTGAGTTCTTACTATGTCCCAGGCATTGTGGTTGGTATGGGAGAACAAAGATCGAAAAGAAAAAATGCCCTCAGAACTCTCCAGTAGAACTGATAAAAAATAAAGGAATACTTGGTACCATATAGCAGAGGTAGGCTAGGGGTGTGCATGGGGTGTTGAGAACCACGGAGCTGTGAGGACCACATCAGTGTGCGGTGGTCAGAAAAGGCTTGAAAGAACCCCTCTTTGAAATTGGAATATATTTTAAATATATAACAGAGAAGCAGACATATGTCTTTGAGAACTCAGATTGATGAGTTTATTTCTGGTTTCTGACATTGTATCCACATGCGAGACCTCCAGGTTTGTTTGAGGCTAAATGAGTATTTCCTACGTCTTAGTATCTAGATGTTTTTCATTGGGAAAAGTGAAAATGATTTGAAATTCATTTTGGTTTCTTTATAAGATTTTAACTTTGAATGGGAACAGTGAATAGGCTGGAATGCATTTCTATGTTATCTACTTAATATGAACAATCATGTTAGGGAAAATGTTTGAAAAAATCTTGTACATTTGGAAACTCAACTACTGAAGGTCATGGACCACATTATTATATATCAAAATGCCATAGCAACTTCAGACAGACAACTTGGCTTGTATTAGCATTTCCGGTAATGAGTGAGCAGGGAATTATTTGGATGACAGGCTGATTACCTTAGAAATGGAATCATTTCCTAAATTATGGGTCACAAGTTGACCTTTTCTTTTTTTTTTTTTTTTCATTTTCAAGAAACTGAGATCTTGCTCTATTTTACTGATCATGTAAATGAGCTTAAAGTGACTGGAATTCTACTTAGTGTATTAATTTTCATACCAATTCTTATGGTTACCTTAGGAAGAGCTGCTCAGTTGTTTAAAATGTAGCTTGGTCTATGGTTTTAATTATCTGTTTTACAAAATGAGCTTTTTGCATCTTGGAATCCTTCTCTTCTCTTATGTATTCTGACCTTGAAGGGTCACTGTATTTGGAAGGGATGGGACCATGATCTCATTCTTTGGAATGGTTTGTAATCATTTTAGTTTTAAGGAACCACAAACTCACCTTCAAGCTGTGTGTACAACTGAGCCCATATTAGTTGAAATTGTCATGCTTGTTAGAAATGCCCACACACAAAGTGCAGCCAGATGTGTCACAGAGAAAAATATGTAAGCCAATTACTTTACATACAGAGCAGGATGCTGCGGAAAATTCATCCAAGTAGCCCTTTCAATCTACCTATTTTGAAAATGTTCTCTATAAGCTCTAGCAGTACAGAATGCACCTGTTCCTGGGCCTTTGTTCAAAATAATGTCTGGGCCTGAGGGAGCTGATTTGTGGCACAAAAGGTCTTTAGATGAGCAGAGGCCCAGAAAATTTCCTTAGCTCCATAATTGAAGTGAATTCTCTCCCAAGTTGAGCAAGAGAAGAAGAAAAGGCAACTTCTTCCTCACGTAGTGCCAGGTGCAACATAAATAAAGCAGCAAGTTGCTTTAAATCTTTCTTAAGATAATGGAACAATAGGTGAGGTTAGGGTTATTATCACAGAGCTTCGATATGGACAGGACTTAGTGTTGCTTTTAAAAGAACTAAATTGCAGGCTGCAGACGTAAGTACAGTATGCCGTAAAAACTTTGCAGATACCTGAGTGTTGCCAACAAGGAGACTTGCTGGCTGAGACGACTGATAGATGGGATAATGGAGCCTTTAATAATAGCTGTATTGCTAAATCCTTTCCATCCCAGGTTGGGAGTGACTGAAAGTAGTTTAGTCCTTCAGGTAGAAAATTGATACTCTGCAATGTGAATATCCTCTTCTCCCTCAAGCTTGCTTGTTTCCTAGCTGTCCGTCATTCAATGAATAACAAAATCTGTCCTTTTCTCCCTTTTCCTGTTTCAGACTTTAATAGCTCTCCCTGCCCTCTTAGGGCTCTGCCTGCTTTAATTGGCAAGGCAGTCATAGCACACAGCCACTCTGTACCACTAGATTGCCTCCCTGTGCCTGGGCAATTTCAGAAAATGGTGGTTTTCCTTTCGTTTCCATCTTTTTTAAGACTTAAAAAGTATCTGCTCTCATTTTCTCCTAGCGGCCTCCATGCCTTGACTCAAAAAATGCTGCCTTAGTTGACAGCCTTGAAATGAGTATGACCCTAGCTCTAGTTGGGTGGAAATCACCTCGCATAGAAATAGACCTGGAGGGCCGGGCACGGTGGCTCACTCCTATAATCCCAGCACTTTGGGAGGCCCAGGTGGGTGGATCCCGAGGTCAGGAGTTCAAGACCAGCCTGGCCAACATGGTGAAACCCCGTCTCTACTAAAAATACAAAAATTAGCCGGGCGTGGTGGCAGGTGCCTGTAATCCCAGCTACTCAGGAGGCTGAGGCAGGAGAATCACTTGAACCCAGGAGGCTAAGGTGGCAGTGAGCCAAGATCACGCCATTGCACTCTAACTTGGCGACAAGAGCAAGACTCCGTCTCAAAAAAAAAAAAAGAAAGAAATAGACCTGGAGATAAGCCATCTGCAGAGAGGTGCCCATCACACATGGAGAGAGCCTCTGTACTGTCGCAAAGTCAGCACTTTATTCTGCCCTGTGACCTGTCCCTCAGCCAAAGGCTCTGTGACTCATGGCCATGCTATGCTCAGAAGCCCTGTGTGGTAGGAACTCCTGAAGCTACCTTGGGTTGCCATTAGCCCAGATACTAAAGTGCCTGGCTTGTTTTGTAGAGCAACCTTTTTATTTTCAGTGTTCCTATTGCTTAAGATGGGGGCGGGGATAAAAGATCTAAGCACTGGTGTGAAAGATGAGGTGAAGACAAATACAATTAAGACCAAAACATTCATTTCTAAAAACTTCATGAGGGAAACGGGTGTGCTTTGCAGTCTTTTCAGCCATTACTCACATCCTTAGGAGCAATTAAGCTTTTCAACATTCAAGACCCACAAGAGTTCAGTCAATAGTTACATAATTATGGCATGTGTGGGTGGGTGCGGAAGGCTGGGAAGGCACGATGGGTAGACAAAAGTTAACGTTGTTTTGATTAAAGGTTGTACATAAGTCTACTGAAGAAAATAATTACCAATATTAGCACTGGCCACTTTTCAACAGAGTCAACAGTTGACACTCTTCACATGATTTAATGGCATAAAAATGATTTCTGCTCCCTACCAAATCTTTAAATTGCTACTCTTATCAGAATATGGAATTCCTATTAGGGTCACAGCTCATGTGAATTGCTAAAGTAAGGATTGTGAATCTCAAGGGAATGCCATTAGTCTTTTTGTCATCAGCATCATTCTCACCATCATCTTCATCACAGGTTTTCATCCAAAGTGCCTGAATGTTTTGTATTTTACTTTTTGTTTTCTATATGTGCCCTTGGACATACAAAATTTTGCAGATTTTTATCATTCATAATTTAAGGAGAAAATCTGCTCAAAGTGATCCTTTATAAAAATATTACATATGTGTGTGGATATATATATACACGTGCACACCCACACATACTTACACACTATTTTCCTTATCTATAAGAAGAAAAGTGATAGATTATTTGAAATTATTGAATATTCTATGTATATGTTAATATAACAATGATTTTATTTCATAAGTGGCAGCACACTCGCATATTAAGCTGTCAAAGTCTTACAGTATTACCTAGTTCTAATTAGTACTGAAACTTTGTACTGTGGATATTCATGTTTGTTCTTTACTCTGTTAACTGTCTATTAAATATTTCGTTTTGTATTTTCATTTTTTTCTATTTTTATTTTGAAGCAATGATTTTATTTAATTAAGAGAAATGCTTAAAGACTTAATTCATAAAACACCGTATGAGACCATTACAAGCATGTAATCTCCAGCACTTTGGGAGGCAAAGGTGGGAGGATCACTTGAGAGCAGGAGTTCAAGACCAGCCTGGGCAACACAGCAAGACCCTGCCTCTACAAAAATTAAAAAGAAAAAAAAAATTAACCAGGCATGGTGGTGCATACCTGTAGTCCTGGCTACTGAGGACAGCTTGAGCCCAGGAGTTTGAGGCTGCAGTGAGCTGTAATTGTGCCACTGTACTCCAGCCTTGGCAACAGAGCAAGATTCTGACTCTAAAATAAAAACAAAATGTTTAAAAAAAAAACTGTGGAAAATATTTTTTTATATTTTACCCTACTAAATGATACCAACATTGTATAGCTTCCTCAAGCTTGAATTATTATCCCTTTATAATCTATGAGAAAGACAAGTACTTTGTAGTCCACTTACAAAAAAAAATACATATTTTTCACTTGTGGTTTTAAACATAGGCCATGAAGAGATTTACATATCATGGCTCTCCAGCATCCTGTGTAATATATACTCGTGTGTTTATTTCCATCTTACAATCTCTATTGTTATTATGGCTCTGGCAGCCATGTTTTTTTTTTATTTAAAAGGTCATTGCTTGTAACCAATTTCATCACAGGGTTATTTGTAATTTGCACTGTTAGAACAGAGCTTCGCCTTGTTCTCTGGTGAATCTCCAGAGTTATTACAGTTATGCCTGCGCAGGTATTTCCCTATGTGGGTGTTACTTTGTCGCTGCAGTTGTTGATGATATTTTATTTGAAAACATACACTTCTCTGTGAGGTTACAAATTACCTCTTTTCTTCACTTTATTTTTGTGCTTGGACTCAGATACATTATTTTGTTCATGCCATAGGGATTGAAGCCACAGTGTGTAAAATTCCAGATTGCCATTGTAATACTGTTCATCCAGTTTTTGTTTTTAAGAGGTCTTCATTTAAATTGTGAATTAGAGGGGTGATTTTTATTCAGGTCAAGTGTCAAACTTGCCGGGATGAACTTATTTAGTTGTTGCTCTGGGCTGGTCATGTATGCAATCTTCCTTGAAATATGTGACCTGTTAGAGGGTTTTATCTTAAAGGTAAGAGTGATTCTGTTTAGTAACCCACCCTTTTGCAAGTTCTAAAAAGAGAAATGGAGTAAACTATTAATGGTGAAGCCAATGTTTATGTTTCTTCCTGGTGAGCATGATAGTATGAAATATGTCAGTTTGCTGATCCCAAACTCATTCACTCCTTTTAAGTTTTCAGACCCCATATGCTGATAATGTCATCATTGGAATGTATCCAGATCCAACTAGATACTTGTAGCTGATAAAGTTTGAGGCGAACAGTGTCAGAAAACACACAGCAGAGAAAACAAGTCCTTCAACTTCTTTTTTCTCTGTCAGAAGCAAATTTTCAGGCCTATGGGAGAAACAACTTAAAAATACACCTGAAATTTCTACAAGACCTTGCAATTTCCCTTCACATCTCCACAAGCAGCTTGTCACAGAACAGCACGAGCTTAAAAAGCTGGTTACTAAATCCTGCTGCAGAATGCCAGATCTTTCAAGACTGTTTGACACATGCATATAGTTTACACTGAGTGAAAAGGAAAGGAAAATGTGGTTCTTTTGAGGGTGTAAAGGAAATGGTGTAGTGTTTTCTTTCTGTCCAGTGGTTTATCTCAAGCTTCCCATTGCTCACCGTGACAAGAAAACAGCTCAGTTTCCTTTTTGGCCAGCCTCATCAAGTGTAATGGAAGAAAATGTCTGTCTCTTTTAATGCAGTTGATGAACAATTGTTTGCATAAGCAGAACTCGCTCAGCGAAGTGTTTTTCTTGCTGAAGGCCTCACTGATGTGTTATTTGAACGGTGTTGTGAAGCGGGTCTCTGAATACACATTTGTTCCAGTGAGTGTGGTTATAAAGCCCCTAGTAGAGACTGGGGTATTGTAAAGCCTAATCTCCTCACACATTATTTTTGTATCGGGATATTTTTAATATGCTCACTAACTAAGCCCATATGCTTTGAAATGTTTGTCCTGTATATTGCTTCATTACTGCTTATCAACAAGTAAGGTTGTGCTGGCTTTGCAGAAAGAGAACAATAGATGATGCTTGATTTCTTTCTGTGCTGGCCAAAGCCAACCATAGGAGCCATTCTTTTGGTAACAAGGCTACCTGTTATCTTACAGCTCGCCAAATGAATGTTCAGACTCTGTTGTTTTAGAAAATCATTATCAGGGCAAAGTCTACCATTAGCTTTCAACTCTAAAAGAAAATCAATAACTTGTTTCAAACAGACATTCCTCACTCAGACTATGCCTGTTGCACAACGTTGCATAACAGAGGGGGAACTGAGGGTGGCGAGTACTGAAAAGGATCACTTAAGGGGCCTACTGCTGATGCTGTGACAAACCATTGGGATGTTTCATAAATGTAGAGGCACCATTGTATATTTTGAGCACAGCTACTTTTATTTCAAAAGGCCAGATCTAGAAGGTAAGGTAACCATTGTCAGTGAGAAATTGAAGCATCCCAGAAACCTGATCTATACCATGCGGTATACACGTTCAGTAATCTGATTTCGGTGAGAAGCACCAATCACCAGATGACTTGCTGACCAAAGTATGTTTTTTCTTTTCTTTCTTTTCGTTTTTCCTTTTTTTTTTTTCTTTTTTTGAGACAGGGTCTTGCACCATCACCCAGGCTGGAGTGCAATGGCACGGTCATGGCTTACTGCAGCCTCAATCTCCTAGGCTCAAGCGGTCCTCCTGTCTCAGCTTCCCAAGTAGCTGGGATCACAGACATGTGCCACTGCACCTGACTAATTTTTAAAATTTTTTTGTGGAGACAGGGTCTCACTGTGGTGCCCAGGCTGGTCTTGAACTCCTGAAATGGAGTGCTAACCAAAGTATTTAGTTAGAAGGATTGAAGTGTTCTCTATAGGGGATGATTAACTTAGGTAAATTGCCATTTCCTAATAACTAAGGTAAAATGCATTACCTAATAACCAATTTAAGTAGCGAGTAGCTTTTGGGTTTGTTCTTTTGATAGGCATTTCTGTTCCCTGTTTGGCTGCCATCTGTGGATTGCAGGAGACCTGTTGGTACCTAGTTTAAACTAATCTTGGCTTAAAATTTCACTGTCATCCTGTACTAGAAAGGGAATCAGCTATACTGTATCCTGCTGTAAAACTAAAATATATACCTACCCCCCAAAATTCATCAACATGGCCACCTCACAGGTGTGCACTCCTGGACTTTCCCTCTTTTGAGAGTTGTAGCAAATTTTTATTTATTTATTTATTTTTGGCATTAACATCTTCTAGTTTTTGGAAGAGCCTCATTCTTATTGTATCTGCTCTGTGTATTCTGGAGAGAGGTAAATGGTGTCTTATGTCAGCATTTACCAAGCCTCATTATAAAGACTAGACGCTGGGTTTAGTGGCTTACACCTGTAATCTCAGCACTTTGGGAGGCTGAGGCAGGATTGCTTGAGGCCAGGACAACATAGGGAAACCCCATCTCTACCAAAAAAAAAAAAAAAAAAAAAATTAGCCAGGCATGGTGGCCTGTGCTTGTAATCCCGGTTACTCGGGAGACTGAGGTGGGAGGATCACTTGAACCCAGGAGTTCAAGGCTGCAGTGAGCCATGATTGCACTACTGCACTCCTGCTTGGGTGACAGAGTGAGATCCCATCTCTAAAAAAAAAAAAAAAAAAAAAAAAAAAAATTAAAGAAGACTAGAAAGTTTGATCTCTTCAATTTAAACCACATGCCAAAGCCAAAATCACAGTTTAAGAAAATTGAGTGTTTATGGGCTCATAAGAGCAAATATATGTATGCCACTTTTCTCAAAGAAACGATTTTGAAAAACAAATCACAGAATTTTCAAAATTTTCAAAGTCAATTCATAAGAATCGAAATGGAGTCAACCAGTTGTGTGATCTGTACAGAACTTTCTGGTTAACGATGTGCTTGTATTTTCCTCTTCCAGCCGAACGCACGGCCGGCGACGCAGAGCGGGCGACACTCGGTGTCCGTGGAGGTGCAGATGCAGCGGCAGCGGCAGGAGGAGCGCGAGAGCTCCCAGCAGGCCCAGCGCCAGTACAGCTCTCTGCCTCGGTATGAGGACGCTTGGCCGAGCCTCCAGATCCCCCCGGCCCTTTAAGATCCCCCGCCCTTTAGGAACGCGCTCCTTCCCAAGTCACTGGGGCCTCTCCAGCTTGCCCCTGGTAGCAACAGAGGAACCAATAAATGTCCCGTGGCTACTGTTCCTTAGCGTGGGGGGCTGTCGTACTGCGAGGCCAGGGGAAATGCCCATTGCAGGAGATGCCAGTATTTTCACCCACAAGCTCCCTAAAAAAGTGAAGCGACTCGTGTACTGGCTTCTTAGTATTGGCTCTCCTGCTTCCTGTGTGGACAAGACAGTATCTTCATCTGAAAAATGGGAAGATAACCCTTATTTGGCTTAGCACATATGGTTATTAGAATAAATGATACTTCATAAATCCAGAGCTCCATAAAAGGATCGAGAGTCAGTGCTGCATACGCCGTGGTTGTGTGGGATCCATGGTCCCAAACCTCACTCTCTTACTGTCCCATCATCACTGCTCTCACCCATGTTTAACTTTAGAGGGTCTCAGGGATGTTGAGCTTGTTAGCTGGGAACCAAGCAAGAAACCCTTACTTGCCTGCTCCCCAGGGGAGACGCCTTGGCCCAGTTCTCCGACAAAGGCCTGCAAGGGTCTCAGGGTGACTGAGTGCCAGTACATTGAAATAGTAACTATTTTTCCATCAAAGTTTTTCTTCCAGGCATAGTAAAGAATAAAAATGTTGAAAAACATTCAGCTTTTTAAACTTCCCAAAACAGGTGACTCCTGTAGTCACAATTCTTATAGGCATTTGTTGCTGTATTTCAAAATCAGGTGACAAAGACATATTTTAAGTGGGAAAAGATTCATTTGCCATGTTGATATCAGGTAGACTTTTGACTTTGAGCAAAACAGTTTTAGGGAGTTAGGAGACAAATGCTTATCTTGACTGACCAGTGTAGAGTGATCTTGATCAATTTCTAATAAAGATGAGTCCTGGCCAGGCACGGTGGCTCAGGTCTGTAATCCCAGCACTTTGGGAGGCTGAGGCAGGCAGATCATTTGAGCCCAGGAGTTCGAGACCAGCCTGGGCAACATGGCAAAACACTATCTCCATAAAAAAATACAAAAATTAGCTGGGCTTGGTGGCACATGCCTGTAATCCCAGCTCCATGGGAGGCTGAGATGGGAGGATCGCTTGAGCCTGGGAAGCAGAGGTTACAGTGAGCTGAGATCACACCACTGCACTTGCCTGGGTGACAGAGCAAGACCCTGTTTCGAAAAGATGAATTTCTTTACATGTTAAATAATCACTGTAACAACCACAACGGACTTCACCACATGGATACAGGTCAGCCAAGGGGACATGGATGTGAATGAGTCTCCATGGGGATAAGTGCCATCTATTGTAGCAGTTTATTCATTCAGTTGTTCTTTTTCAATCCATAAGGCTATATAAAACCCCTTTGAGTACTAAATTATTTTTTCCTTTAAAGAGGAGAATTGCCAGGTTCTTTAGCCTGCTGTAGGTAAGAGTCATTAAAGTTTTGGTCTTTATAGGACCTTTGAGATAATCTTATCTTACAAGGAAACAGCTCAGAGTAAGTAAATTTCCCCCAGCTCACACAGCTAGCAAGTCATTTTGCCAGCATTCAAACCTGAATCTGCCCATGCCCTAAACCATGATTTTATAAGGCCCGTTGCTATCAAGGGCTTCTGTTCCCAAATTTTTTGAGACAGAGTCTTGTTCTGTTGCCCCGGCTGGAGTGCAGTGGCGCGACCTTGGCTCACTGCAACCTCCACCTCCCAGACTCAAGCAATTCTCATGCCTTAGCCTCCCAAATAGCTGGGGTTACAGGCGTGCGCCACCTCGCCTGGCTAATTTTTGTATCTTTAGTAGAGAAGGGGTTTGCCATGTTGTCCAGGCTGGTTTCGAACCCCTGGCCTCAAGTGATCTGCCCACCTTAGCCCCCCAAAGTGCTGGGATTACAGGTGTGAGCCACCACACCTGGCCCCAAATTTGGGATATTAACAGGTGCAAAGTTCCCCTCAGTGCTCTCCTGCCCTCAGCATTTAGAAGGAGGTCACTGTGTGAATCAACCCAGTGAATCAAATGCCTAAGCACTTGAAGAATTAGACATCAAGGTTGGTCTGTGTAAAATCCACCCTATCCCCCACTCCGCTACCCCCCTGCCCCCTCCCCACTGCCCTCCAGTCTGTGTGGCTGCATTCCATCGGAAGGGTGAGCTGACAGTGTGGACGAATTGGCCCACCTGGCATGGCCCTCCCTGCACGACCACACGGGTGGGCCAGGGCACTTCATAGCTTGTGTGGATGGTGTTGTCAGGGCAGGGGCTGTGTTCTTATTTTTATTGGCCAGTTGTTTGGCTTCATATATTTTGGCCGTGCCTGAGAGTGTCTCTAAGGATTGAAGGAGAAACATAACAAAGTGTGTATAATGAGAGCAGTGATGTGGGAGCTGCCAAGGGCTGAGAAAGGGAGGTGGGAGAGAGAGCGGTGGGCGGGCCGGGAAGGCAGGGCAGTTGCCAGGGAGAAGGGGCACTTGGGTCCCAGTCCTCAGAAGAGGCAAAAGACAGAGGCAGGTGCTTCCACTGAATTTCTCCTGGTTGCATTCCAAAGTAGCTCATGCATTCCCGCCGAACCTTTCATCCTCGCCTTCCCATTCCTCTCCCTTCTTTACTCTGAGCCCCGACATCTCTTCCCTTCTCCGCCTCTCCCTGCGGAAGCGCCTGGTAGAGATATCTATATTTACACGCAGAGGAGGGTTGCAGCCGCTACCGCTAGTGCCTCCGCTGTTATTTAGTGGTGCCCTAAATAACTACAGCTTTCCCTCTGGGTTAATTGTAGCTCCCTATTTTTAGTCATTTTATCCTATTTAGATATGAGAAAAGCAGACATCCTCAAATTAAAGAGTTATGTAAGTTTGGGCAGCGGAGGCTGGTAGGTTTCTGCAGTATCTTCTTGTCTTCCTTTAGAGAACAATTTATCAATGAGAATCTTCCTGTTTGTGAGGGAGATTAGGAACATAGAACCCTGCGTTCGGCTTGATGCCTTGCAAAGCAGCCCCACTCTGTGGCAGGCTGTGTGCAGAGATCTGAGGGAAGGGAAAGAAAGCAAACAGGAGGTCAGGGGGGACTGCAACCACCTCCGTGAGCTTGAGTCAAGTCCAAGTTTCTGACATGTGATATTCTTCAAAGACACTTGACCTCTGCTTTTCGGATGTTGACAATTAACAGAGTTTTGTCTAAACAAGTTGGTATGGCATTAGAAACCAAAAAGATTACACACAGAAAAAAAGTATAGTTACAAAGTGGAGCGTAAAATAAAACAAATGGTCTGGGCTTTGTATCCGTTGCATTAGATAAGGTGGTTTGAATTAGAGGCATGTATATGAGAAAGAGTGGTTTGTAAATTCTAACTGTAAGTAAGAAACTCTATGGACAGAAATCAAGTTACATTTTGGCATGTCAATGAGAAACACTGGCCAGGTGGTAACACTAGTTGGCAGGAAAAGGGACCTGTGTGGTGGCCCCACACTCAGTTCTCAATCAGAATAGGATTTTTGTTTGTTTTTCTTTTTCTAAAATAATTTATTTTTTATTATAAATTATAGGCTGGGCGTGGTGGCTTACGCCTGTAATCCCAGCATTTGGGATGCCGAGGCAGGCGGATCACAAGGTCAGGAGATCGAGACCATCCTGGCTAACACGGTGAAACCTTGTCTCTACTAAAAATACAAAACATTAGCCAGGCTTGGTGGTGGGCGCGTGTAGTCCCAGCTACTCGGGAGGCTGAGGCAGGAGAATGGTGTGAACCCGGGAGGCGGAGCTTGCAGTGAGCCGAGATCGCGCCACTGCACTCCAGCCTGGGCAACAGAGCAAAACTCCGTCTCAAAGAAAAAAAAAAAAAAGAAAAAAATTATAAATTGACAGTTTATAATTGTATAATTTGTGGGGCACAAAGTGATGTTATGATTTATGAATATAGCATAAAAGAATTAATTAAGTTTAATCAAGTTAGCTAACATATCCATCACCTCAAATATTTACTCTCTCAGCAGCTGTGAAATGTACAATACTCTGTTATTAACTATACCTACCATGCTGTGCAGTAGAACAGAAAAATTGCTCCTCTGTCATTGAGATTTGTACCCTTTGACATCATCTTTTTTTAATTCCTAAATTAGTTTCTTTCCTTAATATCCAAAAGGCAGCCCCCAAAAGGAATAGAGGCGTGCGTAGTCACAGGCACTGGTAGAGAGAAATAAGGTTCTTGGTTTGGTGTTTCCCTTCATTTTCTTTTCCTGCCTCTCCATTTCTTCTTCATCTTTCTCCCCTCCCTCGGCTCCGTGTCTGCTGTGGTCTGACTTCCTCGAAAGCCTTGTATACCTCACCCTCCACGCTGTGTCTCTGCACCCTCCCGCGTTCTCTCCACGAGGCCCATTTGTTATGTCTCCAATCTACTTCCCAACTTCTTAGCCTCGCTCCCTCTGTCTTCCTCCTTCTGTCTGTGTCCCCCTCATCCTGGTGGCTTAATGGCTTTCCTCGGGCATCAGATCTTTGGTTTGAGTCCTCTCCATGCTGATGGTCTCCAGGCCATGTTGGAGGTGGTTGTAATCTTTAGGTGATAATCTTTAGGTGATAGTTATTGCCAAACCATGGTACGTGGTAAGTGCTTTGAGTGGATTTAGCAATGTCCAGGGGCTCACTGCAGGACCAAACAATCCTATATGTTGGTTATAAAGAAATTCAATGAAAGGAGATTGATATTTTGTTGCTGTTGTTACCCATGGCCTTAGCCAAGGGCTCACAGGACAGTGGGAAGAACATGGGCTTCCGTCTGATCTCTGCAGCAGTGTGCCAAAGTTGCCCTCGCTTAGTAAGGGTTCCTTTCTCCTCTGATGCTTTTCTGTGTCTTGGCATCTCTACTCAATCCCTCCAACCAAGGAAGGGAAAGCTAACTTTAAAAAACAATTTTTGGCCGAGCAGAGTGGCTCATGCCTGTAATCCCAGGACTATGGGAGGCTGAGGTCGGCAGATCACTTGAGTTCAGGAGTTCAAGACCAGCCTGGTCCAACATGGTGAAATCCCATCTCTACTAACAATACAAAAATTAGCCAGGTGTGGTGGTTTGTTCCTGTAATCCCAGCTACCTGGGAGCCTAAGACAGCTGAATCGCTTGAACCCAGGAAGTAGAAGTTGCAGTGAGCCAAGATTGCACCACTGTACTCCACCCTGGGCAAAAGAGTGAGGCTCTGTCTCAAAAACAAAATAATTAAATTAAATTAAAAACAATTTTCTTCTTTGGTCAAAAAGATGCCTCCCTAAGTCCTGAGCCTTTTTTTCTTTTTCTCCTCTTTTAGAGATGAGGTCTCACTTTGTTACCCAGGCTGCAGTGCAGTGGTGCAATCACGGCTCACTGCAGCCTCGACCTCCTGGGCTCAAGCAATTCTCCCACCTCAGCCACCCAAGTTGCTGGGACTACAGGCACCCACCACCACACCTGGCTAATTTTTTCAAAACATCTTTTGTAGAGATGGGGTCTCACTATGTTACCCAGGCTGATCTCAAACTCCTGGCCTCAAGCAGTCCTCCCACCTCATCCTCCTAAAGTTCTGAGATTACAGGCCTGAGCCACCACACCCAGGCTCAGAGCCTAATCTTTGAAGGCAGAGTGACTTTGTCTTCAAACTACTCCTCCGGGACCTATTAGTCAATCACTTACTGAGTGCAAGTCACTTTTCTAAGCACTTTACATGTGTTATTTCATTTCTTTCTCCCCACAACCTTTCAGGGTTAGAGATTATGCCTGTTTCATAGGTAAGGTAACTTGAGCCCAGTGAGCAGAACTCGCCCAGTGTCACACAGCCAGCCAGTGGCAGGCTCAGGATTTGAATCTACGTTGCTCTAAGCCTAAGCCACTCCCACCTTGCCCAGCTGGATGCTTAGTTTCCTAGTGTAGGAAACTCTTATTGTCTGTTTCCTTCCCTTGGTCTCTACAATTGGCCCATTTCTCATTCTCTCCTTAATCAAGAGCATATAGATACTGCTAACTTCCTTACCAAGGAATTGTGTGTGTGCGCATGTGTGTGTGTGTCTATGTGTGTGTGTGTGTGTGTGTGTGTGTTTCTGTCTTATGTGCATTTTACCCACATATCTTACTTCAGACCTCAGGGCAGTCTGCTTCCTTCTCTCTATACTGATTAATTTGAAGAAAATTTTAGCTACAAAAAATTGGTTCTCCCACATTGTTGTAATTTCCATCCCTAACAAACCTTTAGTGAATTCTCCCTGTTTAAATGTAGAAAGACTGTGTCTTCCGGGGATGATGCAGAATCCACTTAGGGTGCACAGCTGCCGTAGAGCGAAGCCTGGGGCTCCATGAAGCTGGGGAGGAAGGGGGTTGGTGGATCTTAGTAGGCCAGAGATGAAAAAGAGGTGAAATGTCTGCAGCCTATTTCTGATTATCTTCAAACTGATAACTCATAAAAGAATCCCATTTTTGTTGCTGTAATATCAGTCACAAGTTCCTTGTTTTAATTAAAGTTTCATGATTAATGTCAAATCCCTGGTTTCATGCCGGCATTTTCCAACAGTCTTGTCTCTGGGTAGATTAATTTATGACTTAAGTGAAGATAATCAGTGCTTTAGGCAAATAAACTATTCCATCACATCTAAGGATTCTTGCCTGGGCTGACTGTACAAATGGTGCAGTCTTCCGTTAAAAGAGACAGACATGCTATGGAATGCTCATCCAGTCATCGTCATAGCCAGAGGTGATGCTGGACATTATGGTCATTTTCTTTACTGAAAATGTTCCCAACTACATTTTAGGCCATATGGAAAATGGGTGCATTTCACTCCAAACCATATTGATGCAATTGTGAATGTTCAAAAATGCAAATTGCATCATTCCTGCGGGAGATGCAGTGGCTTCCCAGACCTTCTTTTCCTTCCGTGAAAATCTTTGTGAACATTCAGCTGTGTTGTGTGTGTTGATGGAGAGGGTTGAGCAATACATACTGTCGCCAAATGATTTTCTTATTGATAAATGGAGCAATATACTTTGTTTTATTACTCAATTGTCTCTCCCCCTCTTCCATTTTCAAGGCAAAAAAATTAGGGCATGTCTTCCTTTCTGGCACAGAATTGTTTTATTTCATCATAGCCAATCTTATTGTAAATTCATAAAACCATCTAGAGACTTGATAGTAAATTAAAGATGTTTCAAAACAATAATGTTTCCTGGAAATCATGCCCAACTCTGTTGCAGAAGTGGGAAGAATTTGAAATTTCCATGTGACTCTGATTTACTTGCCTATCCTGGGGTGACAGAAAGCAAGTTAAGTAGGTCACCCTGGCCTTTGGTGAAGGTAAATGTATAAGAAAATAGTGCTTACTTTACAGACTTCCGGACTCTCCGTCCAATCTGGATGAGCAGGTATCCCGGAGAGTGTAAGTTGCTGACATACACAACTTGAAAGCCAGAGCTTTAAGGGACTGCCTGTTGCATTTTTTATCATAAAGGAGTCTAGACTTAAATCTTTCATAACCGAACTCATACTGTAATCCATTACATGTACTTCATATTAGCTAGCGCTTCTGGCATTATGGTGGCAGCTGTGTAAAATATTTGTTGTGCTTGTTTAGAATTGAATTGTAATGTTCTAAAGCGAGCAATTATTCCTACCATGGAAGCTGCCAAACCTCTAATACTTCTATACTTTGCCAGTGTGTCTAAATTGCAGGAGATATTGGTACCCTAAGCAGAACAGACACAACCTTCTCAGACACAGGAGGATGACCCTGTTTCTAAATAGCTGCACAGTCTAGTTCTCTCTCCTGTTTACTCGTTGTTAGTTTAGTTGTCTAAGACTATGCGCTTGCTGAGGACAGTCATTTTTGAATTCTCCAGCCCCTATCGCAGTGTCTGGCATGTGATGAGAGAACAGGAATATTTGTTGAAAAGTGAAAATGCATATTCCATCCCATCCTGCCCCCTTTCCTCCCTCTCCCTCCTTCTTCCTACCCTCACACTAACCTTTGGGTTTTGCTTTCTAGGCAAAGCAGGAAAAATGCCAGCTCGGTCTCCCAGGACTCTTGGGAGCAGAACTACTCCCCTGGGGAAGGCTTCCAGAGTGCCAAAGAGAACCCCAGGTACTCCAGCTACCAAGGCTCCAGGAACGGCTACCTGGGAGGACATGGCTTCAACGCCAGGGTCATGCTGGAAACTCAGGAGCTCCTTCGCCAGGAACAGAGGCGGAAGGAGCAGCAGATGAAGAAGCAGCCTCCTTCCGAGGGGCCCAGCAACTATGACTCGTATAAGAAAGTCCAGGACCCCAGTTACGCCCCTCCCAAGGGGCCCTTCCGGCAAGATGTGCCCCCCTCCCCTTCTCAGGTTGCGAGGCTGAACAGACTTCAGACTCCTGAGAAAGGGAGGCCCTTCTATTCCTGAGCACGCAAATAACGGATGCTTCATGTCGCGCAATAAAAGACATTTTCCTATGAAGACTTGTATTTTGGGAGTTTTTTTAAAACCTCGATGGTACTATGGAGTATTTCTGTTGTTGGTATCAGTGCCTTTAAGCGGTGTAGGCAAAGAAATGGAAGGCCTTAATGTCTTTGCCACTATGTCTCAAGTGTCTGTTTCATGGAAGGATTTCCCACCCTGTGACAATCATCTGTTTGAGGTGTTCATATGCTCTGCGCCTCTCCACAGTACCAGGAATCTCGGCCCTACTCATGAGTTGTCCGCGGCTTGGTTGTAACATCCCTGCACCACTTGCAGTGACAAATTCACCTGAAGTGGAGGATGACGTGCGGCCCTGTTTCTCCCTCTAAGTTCTCTTAGCTATGGGATGACATCTTAGTCTCTGGTGGAGGAAAAGTGGGCGACATACACCAAAAATTGGGGCTTTCTGGTACTTCACAGCACAGCCATTTGTCGTACTTTGTCATCACTGTGGTTTTCTCTTTCCTTTCTCAGCTCTTTGTGACGGGAGAGTCGGTCATCCTATTACAGAAGCTAAGCCATAGTCCAACATTGTTTGGTCACCATGGGGGTCCTTTTGTAACTGCCTTATGACTCAACATTACCAATAAAGTGATGATCCTGGTCTGCGTTTATACATACGCTTGTTCGGTCCTGTTCCTGACACGTGGGTTGAGTCACCACAGCTCTGTGTGGGGAACGTGGGAGACAGGAGTGGCTCCTGCCGGGGGAAGCTGGGCCTGCCATTGGCCCTGTGTCTATCATGAGGGGAGAGCTAAGAAAGAAATTCTCCTAGGAAGAGCTCATGGCCCAGTACATCCTAGTAATTATTTTAATTAGTTTTTGTTCTGACAGCTTGTCAGGAAGGGCACAGAATGGGACAGAGATAAACCAGACAGTCATTTTGATCTGCTCTCTACGGTTTTTCAAGTCAGAGGCAATTGATGCTTGTCTAATGCATCCACACACTGCATGTCTGACTGGCGATGCCGCGCTCCTAAGTAGTTCTGCCATGAAACATAAAAGACAAAGGAAAAGCCGTTACACATCACACAGAGAACATTTTCGGGTCCCACAGCGGTGGTGGCAGGAAGCTCACTCTCGCGTCAGTATTAGAGTGTGTGTGTGGGTCTCGGGGATCTCGGTGGCTCCCATCTTCCTTCATTGTTCTGAACATCCTGTATTGTAAACCATGGCTGGGGTGCTAAAGTGCCTGTGAATCCCGATGTGGAAAAAGCTGGAGGTGAAAGCTCAGCATACCATGTATTTACTTTAAAAACAGAAAAAAAGACATGTATGGATATGTCTATTTTTTTTTTATTGGCACATTGTATTTTTGTGTTGACTTGTTTTTAGAAATGATGTGTCCACACACGTACCCGTGTCTCTTCTGCATTTCTGTGTCATGGTTCTGTTTCTTAATCACGTGCGGCGGTGTCTAAGTGGTGTTACCAGTGTACGCGCAGTGACCTTGGATGACAGTGGCTCTTTCTCACAGCCTCCCCTGAGCTGTGAGAAACAGCTTTCTCTGTACATATGCAACTCCTAATAAAAGGCATATTTCTTCCTGTTCTTTTGGTGTCTCTGGTGTTCCTGGGCAGCCTTGCCTAGCTGGGCTTTTTTAAAAGGTCTATTAACAGATGTGATTTTTTTTTTTTTTTTATATTTAGAGAAAGTTGGAAGTTTCCTCACATCTGAGGAAAGTTTGCAGGAAAGGGGGCAGGAGAACCCTGGGGCCCACTCTTGGATGAGGATGGAGAGGGGGGACTCACCTGTCCCTTGGAAAAGATGGTCCCCATTATGACATCATTCTCACTCTTAGTCCATTAAGACAATATACAGTCTTACAGTTGGAAGTCTCAAAGTGGGAAGTTTGCAAACACAGGAACTGGTGGTTGATTGCGTATTTGAGCACCTGAGGAGAGAGGGGAAGGGGAGAGACAAGAACCTTCATGAGTCCACTGCAAGGCCCAGGCTGCCTGAAGAAGCCTGAGGAGTTCTGAATTGAAGGAGCCAGTACAGCTCGAACTAAATGAATGAAAAATTATGCAGAAAGCGACATGATAGTCCCATGACTGCCCTTTGGACCCTTGGAATCATCCTAGCAAGCCAGATGTTTTGATTGAGTCCTGGCCTTGAGTCCTGTGAGCCCAGAGAAAGGTCCAGATTCGAGTCCACTTCCAGTACAAACCTGGTTCTTATTTCCCAAATTACAAAGTAAGGCTTTGCTATTTCTTTAAGAGGGACGCCCACAAATATGCATGCGGCATTTTGAAGGCATAAAGGGTGCTATGTCCCTAGGTATGTCTAGTGCACAAATATAGGAGATTTGGTCCCCACACAAATGGCAGACTTTGCGAGGACCTGTCAAAAATGCCCTCTTATGGAGCACCTAGCATCAGTGGGTTGTCATAGCAACGCTCATCCTGTCACTACATCCAAATTCTATCACCTCGAGATTAGGAATGAGGGGTGCATGGCAAGCCGAGGCAATACCACCTCCTTGGTTCTTTCAAGCATGCCAGGTGTGGGAAGTGAAAAGGGAAGATGGACAGGTTTGTTCATTTTCTCCCTGAGCAGGAGGCCCATTGCTAATGCCAAAACACATGGCTTATTTGTCTCAACTGACAGCGGACAGCAGAGTAGGAGAGGCAATAATCACATGTTGTGGGGACCCAAGTCACAAAGGGACCTGTGGGTTGAAACTGACAGTTTGAGCGGCACTGGGAAGAGAAGTAGGAATGGTCCACAGAGAAGTCAAAATAGGCTCCATGAAGCAACCTTGACTCAGCGGACCAGCCTCCTGGCTTCAGGACCTTTTGCTAAGACACAAGGGTATCCCCTGGGAGGGCGTGTCCCAAGGCGGAGCCGGCCCGGGTGCTGTCAAGATGGGCACTGGAATCTGCCCAGCAAAAATTGCATGAAAGGGGAGCCAGGGAGACCCTGGAGCCCACTCTCAGATGAGGATGGAGGTAGGGGAACTCACCTGTCCTTTGGGAAAGATGGTCTCCACTATGGCATCATTTCTAAGTCCATTAAGACAGTATATAGTCATTTGTATTAGAAATTATAAAAATAATACTGCATAGCATATCTATATTATATGTAATTGAAGCACTGCCATCCACCTTCTCTTTCTGTGGTCAGACCGACGGCAGCTCAAAGGTCAAAGTATTAGGGTTCAATCACTTGGCGGTTCATGGTCCAATGACCACAGCTAAGGAGGAGTTCACCAAGGGTTTCATTATTGGCAACGCGTGAGGAGGATGCCAGGGATAGTTCCCAAAAGCAGTACCTCCCTGAACGAGGTGAAAACAGCTTTTATCGGGCTGGTGAGCTGAGCTGAGTCATCATATGTCAAGCTTGTCCAATCTGCAGCCCAAGGGCCACATGTGGCCTGGGATGGCTTTGAATGTGGCCCAACAAAAATTCGTAAACCTTCTTAAAATGTTATGAGATTTTTGTTTGCGATTTAAAAAAATTTTTTTTTAGCTCATCAGCTATCGTTAGTGTATTTTATGTGTGGCCCAAGACAATTCTTCTTCCAACGTGGCCCAGGGAAGCCAAAAGATTGGCCACCCCTGTGAGGTGGAGTAAGGCTGGTGCAGGGACAGTCATTGATCATGCTTCTACATCCTTCGCATGGGTAGAAAATGGCAAATAAGTTCCTCCCTGGGCGGAGTGTTTAGTGCAGTAAGGAGAAGAGTTCACCAAAGTTCCCTCCAACTAGGCACCTCTGGATCCAACTAGTTTTTATTTTGCTGGGTCTGGGCTGCTTCCTGGAATTTTTGTGAAACAAGGAGAACTCAGGGTGCAACAGTTACCAGTGGGCACTTTTCCACAGGCTGCCAGAAAACCCGGGGACCCTGGGTTACAAAAGCACCCCACAATTGACAGGGCTGTCCCAGAACAGGCGGAGAGCAGGACCCCAACTTCTCTGGGTTTCTGCCAATGAAGTCCAGTAGATCCAATGAGAGAGGGTAAACCCAGTGAATTTTCTGTTTCATGGAGTTTGAAAAGGGGTGGAAAATAAGCAAACCACTTTGTCAGGAATCTTCTTTGTGATCGTTGGCCACAATAAGTATCACAGCGAGGAGACAGCCGGTGGGAGACCAGGCATCCCGGTGGCTTCTCTGTCCACGCCATTGCCCTTGTTTCACCCACATATGGCAGTCGTCAAGAATGCTGCCCTGCTCCAGTATTTTTTATTAGAAAGTGCACAAATTTGTACTTTCGAATGTAGTTTTGCATATGTCGTTCTATATTTGGTTATTTTAATGGTTTCTTATTTCATACGATGAGTCCTTAAAGCTCAGGTGTTTCTGAAACCAATCTAGGATGAGGCAGGTAGTTCTTATTTTCTGGCTTTGTTTGCTAGTCATGGAAGAGTAAGTCATGAGGTTCAACTACCCGCCTCCAGGTACGTTCCATTAGAAACGTCCTCCTTCCAATAGCACAGTGTACCATACATTTAAATGTCTAGTTAACAGTCAGCTTTTTTCTTCTGGGGTGGGGAGGAGGGAACAAAGATTACTTGGATAATGACATGTCAGGTAAGGAGATAATCTTTTCTTCAGAGACAGGATATCATCTTAATAAGGCAGCTAATAAGAACGTTCACAGGTCAGAAAGTGAGAGTGACGGAGATGCTTTAATGGAAAACCACCTTCAGCTCTGAGTAATGATTAGATCACAAAAGCTGGTGGAATAAAATTGACTTTTTAAAAATGTGTCAGGGATAAGGGTTGTAATTCTGAACATAAGCTTTAAAGAATTTTTTTTAAACAAGAAACGGATATTCTGCTTTGGTGCTTATGGGGGAAAGGAAAGATTCTCATTGCAACCCACATAGAAGGATTTTTTTCCCCTTGAGACAGAGTCTTGCTTCCTTGCCCAGGCTGGAGTGCAGTGGTGCAATCTCAGCTCACTGCAACCTCAGCCTCTTAGGTTCAAGTGATTCTCCTGCCTCAGCCTCCCAAGTAGCTTGGATTATGTGTGCACCACCACGCCTGGCTGATTTTTGTATTTTTAGTAAAGACGGGGTTTCACCACGTTGGCCAGGATGGTCTCAAACTCCTGACTTCAGGCAATCCCCCTGCCTCAGCCTCCCAAAGTGCCGAGATTACAGGGGTGAGCCACCACACCCAGCTAGATGGGTTCTTGTCTCCAGAATTTAGCATCTTCTCCGCCAGCACGCATCCTTCTCCTCTCCTAGACTTTCATATTCCATTCAGCAAAGTAAAAGCCTATGGATGTCCTCTGTCCGTAAATTTCGTTGCCTTCAGTTAAGCCCCATCATAAGCCCCATCACAGGGAATTTCACTTTCACACTTGATCTTAGCCAAAAAAGGCTAAGACGCGATAGGGAATTTCACCTTTAAAGAATTCCATTATGGATCCCCTAAGATCGAGAATCCTTTTCTGAAGAAGATAACCGCTTTTTCTCATATTTTTTTCCCCTTTCTGAGCTCCGATTTAAATCATCAGTTTTTATTTCCTGATTTGTGTGTTTTTTAAGCACATTGTATCTGCGCTGGCCTGCCCCACTCCGGATGGGTCTGTTTAACACTGGTCATGGGAGTAGAGGGCAGGAGGCAAGGAATTGAGTCTTCCCACTGTGAAGCTGGACAATTCCTCATCTTTCCTGCTTAGCACTTACTTGCTCACAGGATCAATTAAATGTGTGAAAACACCTTTTTTCTGAATTGCACGGTGAACTGCTGAGTCACCTCACACCGTTGCTGGCTTAGAAAAGCCATTTCGAGTTTGTTCCTAGATGCTGTGGATGCCTCTCAATGATCTGATCCTGCAGGGTGTCAGCAGCCTCAGCGGATTGTCTGTGGGAGGAAGGGGCGTGAGCAGGGGCCCTTCTTCGCTCCCTGGAGGCAGTCTCCCCGCTTGCAAGAAGGTTCCTTCTGAAACCGAGGTTTGGCTTCCATGAGGGATTTTATGATGCAAATATTTTAAGTACAACTTTGAAGGTTTTGCCATTAAAAACAGCTTCGCATGGCTCTGGGCCCAGCTGACTGCAAACTATGAGGGGGGAAAGTGCCATAGATTGCTGGCACTCTATGGCAGGAAATAGAGGAAGGAAAACAACACAAATTTCTAAACCAATCATGACCCGGGCTAATGATCTGGTTTCAGGGTTCAGTTCATATCTGACTTGCATTTACCCGGCTCGAGTTGTCAGCAGCAACGTATCCATTGCAGTTGTTTATGATGGGATTAAATGGGTAAAAACGTTGGCTGACAACCCTGAGATGGGTCAGATTAGGGCTCGCCAAAGAACGTGGGGTGTTTTGGAATATAGCAAACCTTTGAACTCATAAAGCCTCAAAGTGAATTTGCTGTGCACATGCCCTGACTTGGAGCTCCATTTCCAAACTTGCTTTAATTTTATCTGCTTGGCTTGACTTCTATCCAGGCCCAAGGGGCCCCCATTCCGGTCCCAGCAACCAAAGCATTCCCGCAAAATATGAACCCGCAAAGTCCACAAGCTGCTCCTGGCTTCTTACTTTTTTTGATTGATTTATTTGTGTAGCACTTTACAATTTGCAAAACGTTCCCATCTTTTCTTCTTGAGTCCCCAAACCCTGAGAAGCAGGGTAGAGAAATGATAGTTCAATTTTACACATGAGGACACTGAGAAACCAAGAATTTGAGACTTGCCAGGTGATGAGTGGCTCAATCAGAACCCAAAACTCATTGTCCCAACTGTGACCCCTACTTGTGATACAAAGGTTTTATCAAATAAAAAGATTTTACTTTAGGCAATTTTAAATGCCTTACTTGATGGTCATTGTACATTTCGTTGATGGGAAAAAAAGTACAACATAATGTATAAACAATTGCAAAATTAGTAATCCTTTGAAAATTAATTTTATGGGTACAATGAAAAGTTCAAACCTTTAATCCCAGCACTTTGGGAGGCCAAGCGGGAGGCCAAGAATTTGAGACCAGCCTGGGCAACATAGCAAGATCCCCATCTCTACAAAAAGTAAAAAAGCATTAGCCAGGCATGGCAGCATGCACCTATAGGCCTAGCTACTTGGGAAGATGAGATGGGAGGTTTGGTTGAGCCCTGGAGTTCAAGGCTGCAGTGAGCTATGATCACACCATTGCACTCCAGCCTGGGCAACAGAGCAAGACCATGTCTTTAAACAAACTTTTTTTTTTTTAATTTAAAGCTGGGCACGGTGGTTCACACCTGTAATCCCAGCACTTTGGGAGGCCGAGGCAGGTGGATCACTTGAGGTTAGGAGTTTGAAACCAGCCTGGTTAACAAGATGAAACCCCATCTCTACTAAAAACAACAACAACAACAACAACAACAAACAAATTAGCTGGGTGTGGTGGCACATGCCTGTAATCCCACCTACTAGGGAGGCTGAGGCAAGAGAATCGCCTGAACCCAGGAGGTGGAGGTTGCAGTGAGCCAAGATCACGCCCCTGCATTCCAGCCTGTGCAACAGAACGAGACTCTGTCTAAAAAATTTTTTTAATTTAAAATATTTATGAATCATAATACTATTTATATTATAAAATTACATATTATATATGTATGCAAACACATTATACACATATACATATAATGGTTCATTCACACTTCAGGCACTGGGTGTCATAAATTTGCAAAGTCTACTGAAATAGACATTTTAGCCAGGCTTCCATGTGGATGTGCAGAGCCTCCCGGGCTCCCTTGCTGGTGACCGTGGTTTCATGCTCTGCCTCCTCTGCTTCAGTGTTTAAGACCCTCAGACCAGAAGGGGTTCATTTCTAAGCCAGGTTTCAAGGTTGAGAAAAGGAAGAGTTAAGTGAAAATGTTGGAAACTGAGGAGGATCTGAAACACAAGGAAAACAGGGCGCTGCGGAACACAGAATGGCCACAATGAAACGCCAGTTCCTCACAGGCAGGCTTCTGTAGCAGATGCAAAAAAAAGGCCTTGGATGCTAATCCAAAATAGAAAAGATCGCTGGGAGATTGTGAAACAATAACAATTTGCATTAAATCATCAGCTGCTTTCAGCACAGATGGGAAAAGCCTGTTACAAAATGTTGTAAGACATTTGCAGCGGCTTTCAAGCTGGACAGGCATTAAAAACATTCTTGAGCTTTTCATGTTGGGAATAAAAATGTAAATCATTTTTAGCGAGGATTTTTTTTTTTTTACATACCATTTTGTCTTTGTATTTTATTTTATTTTGGGAAAGGAGACGACATAGTAATAGCCAAGGGGAAATGATCCATTTACAGAGTTGGATAGATAAAATTTATCTTCAAAGAGGTAGAATATTAATTATGCATACATAGAAAGAAACTTTGAGCTCTGAGACATTCCCAATGAAACGATGGCTTATTTCACTCAAGATCCTAATCAAGCACAGTTCCCGTATCTGAGAGAGAAACACTGCCAGTTGCTAACATGCCTGCTTTTCTGGGTCAGTTTCAGAGCATGGAGGCAGAGTTGGGGAAGCCGACTAGGACTGGAGGGCCTTGCTCTGGAAGCTCTCTAGGACTGGCTCACGGCTTTGGCCCTGAGAGCACGGGCGCTTCTCCTCCATTGCGCCTTTAAATGGACTGCGGGGGCCGGAAGGCAGGAGCCAGGAGCTGATGCAGCAGGCCCATCTCCCGTGATCCCACGCCCCTGGAGAAGAGGCTAGACAGCCACAGACTCTCAGCGTCTGGAAGGACTGGCTGGCCTAGGGAAACGAGTTTCCAATAACTAATCCAGCTGAACGAGGCACTTCCCTTGGCTCTGGCTCTCCTTCCCGTAAGCCAGGAAATGTTCTCTCCATTCATTCGGGGATGGCTCATCAGGGACTTCTAATCTCGGACTGGTTACTCAGCAGACTATGCTGGTATCTTCTGCTGTGTATCCTAAGTCCTTTCAGTGGTTCCCTCTGGACTAATTGATACTCAGAGATATCCTGTGTGTGTGATTTGTTCAAGGTAATTGTAAGGCCACAAAGAAGCCAATATTGATTTTTTTTTTAAGATGCCACTTTATGTGGCTTGAAATTTACTATGTAGAATATGCAGTCAGTTTAGGGAAAACAATTATCTCATATTCATTTACTCATTCATTCATTCATTCATTCATGGCTCCTGCTGTAGGCCAGGTGCCATGTATATGCTGGAAACTCACTAGGGAATAACGCAGTCTTACACTAACGGGGAATAGCCAGGCTGTGTAACGTTCAGACAGTGATGCTTGGTGCAGAGAAAATAAAGCAGGATTCAGGACTAGGATGTGAGAAGGAGCAGACGGGTTGGAGTTGGGGGATCCGTGTTGTATGAGACTAGGGTGCTTTCAGTAGAGACTCTGGAGGGAATACTGGCAGGAGTGACATTGGTAGGAGTGGCCTGGGACACGGTGGTGGACACGAGGCAGAAGGCAAGATAGAGAGTGAGGCAGTTAAGGAGCAGGGAGACCAGTGTGCTGGAGGACACCAAAATCATCATCAACAACAAATATGGTTGCAAGACAGCGATTCAAATGCTAAAACCTTCACAGAATACAAGCCTATGGGAGATGGTGAGAAGGAGTGAAATAAAGTATGGTCTAATTACAAGCTTCGAGGGAGAAGGGGAGGCATTCCTGAGAAAGGAAGAACGATGACCTGGAAGTGTCAATGGGAGTAAGAAAGACACCTGTCCCATTTCCAACCCCCAAATATGTGCGGGGGGAGCCTCCAGCAGCCACCACTGGGAAGGTGGCCGGTGTCAGTGAGGGCAAGAATAGGGTGGGGCTGCACAATCCCTGAGGGAAGTGAGACCACCTAAAGATGGGACCTAGAAGTCTTGGGCTTCCTTCTGACATCGGAAGCAGAAAGGGGTGTGGGGCAGGATGTGTCATGGGGTCTCTGAAGGGAGGCAGATGCTCAGCTCTAAACACTGCCCACCCCTAGGAGCTGAGGCAGGACTCACCGGGAGCATGTGGGCATTGTGCCTAGAGGTGGCTGTCATAGCTCCACCCATCATAGCAGCCCCAATTCCCACTCCCGCTTCCCTGCTGTGTGTCTGTGTCTTGATGATAGACATCACTCGTTCATTCATTCATTCATTCAGGGCCTACAGTATACGAGACAATGTCTTCATCACTGGGCATTCAGTGGTGAACTAAAGACACCCTGGGCCGGGCGCAGTGGCTCACACCTTTCATTCCAGCACTTTGGGGGCTGAGGTAGGTGGATCACTTGAGCTCAGAGTTTGAGACCAGCCTAGGCAACATGGTGAAACCCCATCTCCACAACTATAGCAACAACGAAGAGACCTTGATGTTCTCATAAAAATGACAGTCCAGAGGCAGGGGCAAACATTAATTAAGTAAACACACTACTAGATAGAGTACATTATGTTGTGACAAGAGCAGTGAAAACAGAGTTGCTGTGATGGAATAATAGGGAAAGGAGACATAATTAAGATAGGAGCCAGATGCTGTGGCTCACATCTATAATCCCAGCACTCTGGGAGGCCAAGGCCAGAGGATCACTTAGCCTGGGCAACATAGGGAGACCTCATCTCTACAAAAAATTCAAAAATTAGTTAGGTGTGGTCATGCGTGCCTGTAGTCTTAGCTACTTGGGGGGCTGAAGCAAGAGAATCCCTTGAGCACAGGAAGTTAAGGCTGCAGTGAGCCATGATTGCGCCACTGCACTCCAGCCAGTGTGGCAGAACAAGACCCTATCTCAAAAGAAAAAAAAAAGACAGTTTTGTGAGGAGTGATTTGTAAACTGAGTCTTGAAGGATTGGAAAATCCAACAAGAATTTGGCAATATATCAAGATCCCAAAAACTTGATCCCCTGTGACCCCGAGGTTTCATTTTCTAGAATATAGCTGATGAAACTCAAAAGGTAGATTAGATAGAGATTTATGCCCAAAGCTGTTAAAAAATATTGTTTATAGGCCAGAAAAATTGGACATAAACATCCCAAACTAGGGAAATGGCTAAGGAAATTATGGCATAGAATGCAGTAGTGTATTATAGCTATTAAAGTTAATGTTTATGAATAAATTCCACCAATATAGAAATATAATCACAATATAATGTTCAATAAAAGATACTAAAATATCAAATTGTGCCTTCATCATGGCCACATGTATATGCATGTATATGTGTAAATGTGTGTGTTTAGATACATATGTGTGTTTATGTGTGTGTGTGTGTGTGTGTGTGTACAGAAAGGAAAGAAATAACCCCAATATTAACATGTTATCACCAAGTGTTTGGATTACGTAGCAAAGCTAAATCGTTTTTCAGCTGCCATGGACACCCTCAGGTTAAAGGTCATGGAAACTGAGCCTGCCCTGATGAGCCCAGCGTGCAACCTCATGCAGAACTTAAGTGTTCAGATGGAGGAGTGGGGACTGAATTAAGATGCAAACGCCACATGACAGGAGCCAGGATCCAATCATGTCATCTGCAAACAGAGGCAATTTAATTTCCTCCTTTCCTATTTGGATGCTTTTGATTTATTTTTTTTCTTGCCTAATTGCTCTGGCTAGGTCTTCTAGTACTGTGTTGGATACAAGTGTTGAGAGTGGGCACCTGAGTCTTGTTCCTGATCTTGTTAGAGTAGCAGATAGCCAGAAACGAGCAGCCCAGGGAGCCCCCTGGGAAAAGAAGTCTTGGAGATGTTGCCCACTGGCAGTCAGCAAAAAGGGCAAGATCACATCTGGTCTTGTGGTTGGGGCTCCTCCAGCCCTGAAGGGGATTTATCAAGCCCTAGCTGGAGGTAACCACGCTAAGGACTTTCCCCACTGACGAGCACGTGCACTCCTCCAAAAACTCACTCTAGAATAGCTTTTTGCTCATTATAATAGTAAAAAGAACACCCCTGGATGGAGATTTTAAATGCTAATGAGACACACGATGTGTGTACTGGCATGTATAACCACAGAGCATGTGCGCCCAAAGGGACCTCCTGAAACAGGATTGTAAAGTGACACCCCCTCATGCCCCTTCATGAATAATCATGTAAGAGTCTCATGAAGGGCATTTCCCCAGCACTAGTGGCTGCTGGCTCTTTCTTTTGTGCAGCCTACTCTCTCGTCTTTCAGAGCTTACTGCTTCTTTAGATAAACACTGCTACTATGCTACTATGACTTTTCCAGCTGGACCAGCCTGGAACATTTTCCATTGCTCTCTAGGCATGTACTTTATCTTCCTTCAATAAACTCTGCTGCTTAACCCTTGCTATGCATCTCTTGGCTGAATTTTTTCTTCCAGGTTAGGCAAGAACCGAGGATTCCCTCACTTCCTGATAAGTCTTAGAGGAAGAGCTGTTAGCAGCAGACTTGTCATATGTGGCTTTTATTATGTTGAGGTACATCCCTTCTATATCTATTTTGTTGAGAGTTTTTAATTATGAAAATATGTTACATTTTGTCAAAATCTTTTTCTGCATGCATTGAGATGATCATATGATTTTTATCTTTTTATTCTGTCAATATGGTGTATATGATTTATTGATTTGTGTATGTTAAACCATCCTTGCATCTCCAGGATAAAACACACATGAACATGGTGTATGATCCTTTTCATGTGCTTTTGAATTTGGTTTGCTAGTATTTTATTGAGGATTTTTTGCATCTAAATTCATCAGGAATATGGGCCTGTAATTTTGTTTTCTTGTAGCATTCTTATCTGGCTTTGGTATGAGGATCATACTGGCCTTGTAAAATGAGTTTGGAAGTATTCCTCTTCCTTCAGTTTTTTGGAAGAGTTTGAGAAGGATTGGCATCAATTCTTCTTGAAACTCTTGGTAAAATTCACCAGTGAAGCCATCTGGTTCTGGGCTTTACTTTGTTGGAAAGCTTTTGATTATTGATTCTATCTCCTTAGTTGTTACTGATCTGTTCAGATATTCTATTTTTTATAATTTACTCTTGACTGGTTCTCTGTTTTTAGGAATGTATCAATTTCTTCTAAGTTATTCAATACAGTTGTGTGCCACATAACAATGTTGTGATCAGTGATGAACTCCATATATGACCGTAATCCCATAAGATTATAATGGAGCTGAAAAACTCCTATTGCCTAGTGACTTCATAGCCATTGTGACACTGTAGTGCAATTCATCACCTTTTCTTTGTTTAAGTATGCAAATTCTTACCATTATGTTACACCTGCCTATAGTATTCAGTATGGTAATAAGATATACAGGTTTTAGTCTATATTGTATAGCCTCAGTGTATAGCAGGCTATTCCATCCAGGATTGTGTAAATACACTCTATGATGTTTACACAGTGACAAAATTGCCTAACACATTTCTCTGAATATATTCCCATATATGGCATATAACTGTTCTTACTAGTCTCTCATGATTCTTTGTATTTATTTGCTATCATTTACAATGTCTTCTTTTTAATTTATAATCTTATTTATTTGAGTCTTCTCTTTTTTTCTTGGTAGCCTAGCTAGTTGTATTGATTTTGTTTATCTTTTCAAAAAACAACTCTTAGTTTTGTTGATCTTTTCTCTTGTCTTTCTATTCTCTTTCATTTGTTTCTGCTCTAATCTTTTTTCTTTCTTCTGCTGACTTGGTCTTTGTTTATCCTCTTCTTTTTCTAGTTTCTTGAGATGTGGAGTTAGATTGTTTCTTTGTTTTCTTTTTTCTTAAAGTAGACATTAATTGCTAAAATTTTCTAACCATTGCTTTTGCTGCCTCCCATAAGTTTTGGTATTTTGTGTCTCTGTTTTTCTTGGTCTCAAGATAATTTTTGATTTCCTTTTTGATTTTTTTGTTTGACCCACTTGTTGTTCAGGACTGTGTTGTTTAATTTCCACATACTTGTGAATTTTCCAAAATTTTTCTGCTTCTTGATTTCTCGTTTATATTATTGTGGTGAGAATAAAAAATGATTGAGATGATTTTTAATCTCCTTAAATTTGTTAAGACTTGTTTTGTGGCCCAAGATCTATCCTGGAGAATGTTCCATGTGCACTTGAAAAGAATGTGTATTATACTACTAATGGATGGAATGTTCCGTATATGTTCATTAGATCCTCTTGGTCCAGAGTGTTATTCAAGTTGCTGTTTCCTTATGGATTCTCTGTCTGGATGACCTATCCATTGCTGAAAGTGGGATATTGAAGTCCCTTATTACTGTGTTGTTGTCACTTTCTTTCTTCACTTCTGTTAAAATTTGCTTTATATATTTAAGTGATCCAATGTTGGATACTTATGTATTTATAATTGTTATTTTATCTTGATGAATTGATCTTTTTTTTTTTTTTTTTTGAGACAGTGTCTCACTCCGTCACGCAGGCTGGAGTGCAGTGGTGAGATCTCGGCTCACTGCAAGCTCCGCCTTCCGGGTTCAGGCCATTTTCCTGCCTCAGCCTCCCTAGTAGCTGGGACTACAGGCACCTGCAACAACACCCGGCTAATTTTTTGTATTTTTAGTAGAGACGGGGTTTCACTGTGTTAGCCAGGACGGTCTCGATCTCCTGACCTCATGATCCGCCTGCCTTGGCCTCCCAAAGTGCTGGGATTACAGGCGTGAGCCACTGCACCCGGCCAAATTGACCTCTTTATCATCATATGGTGACCCTCTTTGTCTCTTTTGACAGATTTTGATTGACAGTATATTTTGTCTGATGTAAGGATAGCCACCCCTGCTCTATTTTGGTTTCCCTTTACATGGAATATGTTTTTTCATTTCTCACTTTCAGCCTGTGTGTGTCTTTAAGGCTAAAATAAATCTCTGGTAAGCAGCGTATTATTGGATCTTGCTTTTTAAATCCATTTAGCTACTCTGTGTCTTTCGATTAGAAAATTTAATCCATTTCTATTTAATGTAATTATTAAGAGGTAAGAAAATACTATTGTTATTTTGATTTTGTTTACTGACTGTTCTTTAGTTTCATTGTTTCTTTCTTCCAGTTTGCTCTCTTCCTTTGTGATTTGTTAAACCTTTATATGGTATACTTTGGTTACTCTGTCTTTATGTTTTGCGTATCTACTAGAGGTTTTTTTCTCTATGGTTACCATGGGGTTTGTATAAAACATCTTACAACATTCTAATTAAGGCTGCTAACAACTTAACTTCAATTACATACAAAAACTCTACACATTGATTACTTCCCACTACATTTTATGCCATTGATGTCACATTTTACATCTTTTTATATTGTGTATCTGTTAACAAATTATTCTAGCTATAGTTATTTTTAATACTTTTGTCTTTTAACTTTTATACTAAAGTTAAAAGTGATTTACACACCACCATTACAGTATTATTCTGAATGTGATTATGTATTTATCTTTTCTATGTATTTACTTTCATATGTTTTCATATTGTTACTGAGCATTCTTTCATTTCAACTTGAAGAACTACCTTTAGCATTTCTTATAAGGCAGGTCTCATGGTAATGAGCTCCCTCAGCTTTTATTTGTCTGGGAATGTCCTTATGTTTTTCCGAAGGACAGTTTTGCTGGGCATATGATTCTTAGGTGGCAATTTTTTTCTTTCAGTACTTTAAATATCTCATCCCACTCCCTTCTGGCTTTCAAGGTTTCTGGCAAGAAGTCTACCTTATGGGGGTTCCTATATATATGATTAGTTTTTTCTCTTGTTGCTTTCAAGATTTCCTATTTGTCTTTGGCTTTTGACAATTTGATTATAATGTATCTCTGAGTGTTCTTTTTTGGGTTTATCTTATTTGGGATCCTTTGAGATTCATGCATCTGAATGTCCATATCTTTCTTAAAATTTCAGTTGTTTTCAGACAGTATACTTTAAAATAAGCTCTCTTCTCCTTTCTGTCTCTCTTCTCCTCCTAGGACTGCCATAATTTATATATTCATATGCTTGATAGTGTCCCATAGGTCCCTTATGCTTTTTATTTTTTTGCTCTTTTTCAATATTTTTCTTTTTCTTTCCTCTAATTGGCTAATTTCAAATGACCCATATTTGAGTTTGCTAATTTTTTCTTCTGCATGATTTTATCTGCACTTGAAGCTCTCTATTGAAGTTCTCAGATCTGTCACTATATTCTTCAGCTCCAGGATTTGTTTGGTTCCTTTTTATGGTTTCTATTTCCTTATTAAACTTCTCATTTTGTTCACACATCATTTTTCTAATTTCATTTAGCAATCTATCTGCATTTTCTTGAATCTTATTGTGCTTCTTTAAGATGATTATTTTGAATTTTTTTCAGCCAATTTAGTGATATCCATTTCTTTGGTGTCAGATATTAGAGCTTTATTAGTCTCCATTGGTTGGTGTTAACTTGATTGTTATCTCTGCAGCCTTGCATTGGTTTCTGTGAATCTGAAGGAGCCACACCTTTTCAAGTCTTTACAGTCTGGTTTCGATAGGTAAAGTCTTCGTCTCGTGTACCCAGGATGAGAAGATTCCCTCCAGGTTTGCAGTCAAGTGGGCGTGGAGCCTGGTCATGGGGCTGCTGTTGATTCTTCAGTGGGGTCCAAGGCTGGTGGGCCTCTTACCAGGTGCGCTAGTGGGTGTGGATTCTATCTGGTTTCTGGGTAGACTGGACTACCTCCAGTTCCTTGGTCAGTAAGGCTGGTGCTGGAATGACAGTCTGCTTCTGCAGAAAGTGGGCCTCCTACCAGTTGCACAGACAGGTGTGGCTTCCTCTGGGTCTCTAGGGGGGCTTTCCTGAGCTACTGGGTAGGCCCCTAAGCAGAAAGTACTTGCTTTGGACCATGGCTGAGAGGGACTGGGATTGAGTCACAGGCTGCTTTGGGGTCTACAGCTGAGACCAAGGTCTGCAGGCCTGCCTCCAGAGTCATGGACAGGTATGTCTCCTGGCAAGTCCCTGGGCAGGAAGGACGGCCCTCAGACCGCAGCCGAGAGGGGCTGGAACTGAATTCCGTGGCTGTAGTGCCAAATTTGGCTGGCCTGCCTGTGGAAGCGCAGATGGGCGTGCCTCTCTCTAGGTCCCTAGATGGACAGGACTGCTCTCAAACCACAGCCTTACATTCTGATCATCTCCTTTCTTCTGCATAATTCAGTGGCTAGACCAAGTGAGAGTTCTCTTGCATTGATGAACTCTTGGTCTGATCTTTTCTGACTGGCCTTGAAAGATTTTAAAGTTTAATCAGAAAAAGAACTGCTTAAGAGCTCAATTTTTACAAATACCAGAAATAAGGACCTTCACAATGTCTGCTGATTGATATCCAGGATGGAGAGTGAGACTCTAGTGGAGGAAGAGGACCCGAACTTTCTGTGGAATGTAGGCATTCTTGACAGGGTGGACCTCCTGAGAGCTCTCTCCTCTCATTTGTGGCCAAACCACCACTTTTCCAGAATGTGTTGCTGAGATGATTATTTTTTCCCTGGAGCTCAAATTGACGGTGAGCCAGAGACACAGAAAACTCATGTCACATCCTGGGAACTGAGGAAGCAAGTTTTTCAGCTTATCCTTGGAAGGATGAGGAGATGAGACAAGGGATGGGAGCCTGGGGCTTATGCTGCCCTTTGAATCCTGAGCTGACAAGAGGTTGAGGCGTCTAGAGCCACATGGTTACTATTTAATGATGTTGGCCATTAGGAGACCATCTAAGATTCATCTTCTGCTCAGGACAGCCAACTTTCCTTTTGAGTCCGGGAGAGACTGGTAAAAAGGCTGGCATTGGCAGATGGCCTCTTGGCACAAGTGTGAGAATTGATCACCCTTGAAGGGGAGGAAATGCTATTCCCTCTCTGATTAAAAGTCTCTTACAAAGGAGAACAAAGGCCGAAGGTGGGCGGCATGGTTAATAGCCTACATTAAAGAAATCTCTACATTAAGGAGTATCTGTTGCCAGAATGTACTTTCTGATTGTTGCCACAGCGTAACTTTAATGGATCCTTTATTATTCTCTTTTCCTTTCACATGTTGTCTCCCCTACCCTGACTTAATCATTGTGCATCTTCTCTGAGACCATTTTCTTTATAGAGTTTTCTTTGCTAAGATCTATGGTCTTCCTGTGAAAATGGAATCATCAGCTGGGGAGAAAAAAGCCCCACTGCTACCAGGATTTTTAGAGACACACATTACATTCCATTTTGGTGAATCTGAAGGTAAGATTTCCAAAGGGGTATTGCAACACCTTATAAAGTGATTTTCCCACATGCCATAGGGCTCAGATCCATTTAAATCCAGATGAAACTTTGGATTATTGTTTTTAAAAATAGCTGGAGCCCTTTGATATCCCCTGTGTACCCTGTGTCCTTCCTCTCAGCCTAGCTGGGAGGCAGGATTCCGCTGCCTGCATTCCCCCATATTGATCTTTTCACTCAGCTAACCTCGAGGATTCGTCTAATCCCAGTCTTGTGTTTTAGGTTTATTTCTGGCTTTGGTTTTACTTCTACCCTAAGCAAGTCTTTCTTTGGTCACCAGTGCTCCAATATTCTTTGGTTTGACCAAACAGCTCAGCTGTATCTTTTCAAGTGCACTTCAGGCTTGGATCACACTCTGCCATCCCCAGATGGCACCTGGGGCAGTAATATCCATCATTTCTGATAGGTTAACTTCGTGAAATTAATTGACTATGAAATTAATCTGGCACCTCCTGGGTTTTTTCTCATAGTAGGCACTCAATAAATATTTGTGGAATGAATTCTTTGCATGAAGCTTTAAAGGAATACTTTTTTTTTCTTTTGCTGTAGAGTCTTTCTCATTTTCCTTTTTGAGCTTAAAGCAAACATGGAATGTTTCTGTAAATGATAATAGAGGAGGAGAGCTTATGGGGAAAGAGATGTTGGTGTGAGTCTGAAGTAGAGAAACTTAAGAAGAAGGCAAATACTCCTGTGCTCTTGAGTGCACTGGGGAGTTACCCCTCCTGAAATTCCACATATTTGAATAAAGTCGAATTGAGGGAATACTGACCCTCTCCTTCCTGTTTTTGAATTTGAGATCCCTTCCCTTCATTCATCCCTGAAGTATTGGAGTTCCTCTAGGATTGGTGCCATGCCCTCTTCTCTCTCTGTCCCTTTCCTGACCAGTCTCTTCTATACCATTTTTATGTTGAAGACGCTCAGCCCCCAGTGTCTCTGGGGCCCCTTGGTTCTCTCATGTTGTTCACTCTGGCCTGCCTTACCCCCATCTGCCACCCAAGAAGCCACGGCCTCCACTGCAGGTGCCCTCTGTGGATTCAGCAATGCCTCTGCCTAAGGCCCTGGTGTCCTGGAGCCCAGGTTGCCCCATGGGGTGCCCCATCTCCCTCTCATCTCCTCCATTCTGCATAGTATTGTTCTCAGCCTTGCTTGTGATACAATTTAGTGCAGAGTCTAAGGGCGTGGGCTCCACAGTCAGCTGACCTGGTTTTGAATCCCAGCTTTGCCACTGACCGGCTAATCTAGGGTGAGTCATTTAACTCCTCCAAGCCTCAGTGTCTGCAACCATCAAGTGGGGACAGTAATAATTCCTACCTCATGGGGTTGTTAGGAGGATTAACTGGTAATGCAACTGCCTAGTTCCATCCTCAGAATGTAGATTCTGACCGGGTGTGGTGGCTCACGCCTGTTATCCCAGCACTTTGGGAGGCCAAGTTGGGTGGATCACCTGAGGTCAGGAGTTCCAGACCAGCTTGGCCAACATGACGAAACCCCGTCTCTACTAAAAATACAAAAATTAGCAGGGTGTGGTGGCAGGTGCCTGTAATCCCAGCTACTCGGGAGGCTGAGACAGGAGAATCGCTTGAATCCAGGAGGTGGAGGTTGCAGTGAGCCGAGATTGCACCACTGCACTCCAGCCTGGGCAACACAGCGAGACTCCATCTCAAAAAAAAAAAAAAAAAAAAAAGGAATGTAGATTCGTAGACTCTTCACAAATTCCCTTGGGAAAGTATTCCCTGTTTTTCCTTGCAGTCACTCTGTGTCCATGGGGCTTAGAAGGGATGTACAAAAATCTATGTCCCAGAAAGACCATCAGTATGTTTTCCCTTGCCCATCCATGGTCCCCTTTTCCTTGTTCCCTCGTCTCCTCCACTTGAAGCCTTTTGTATAAACTGACCATGGGATGCTTTGCTTTCTTGTCACTCAATCAGAGCCTCCTGCTCCAAGCCTGGGACCCCATTCCCAACAATTTTTCCAGATTTATGGATTAGACTCTTCCTCCATGAGCAGAGACCACCATTCCTGTTCCCAAGAGAGCCAGCTCACCCTGGGGCCTCCTGTGAGTGACAACATCATTGCTTCCTGAAGATGAGGGAGATGCATTCGGGATGTTTACTTTGACAGCTTTTTAGGTTCATTATGCTTCTGAGTGAATTCCCCGACATGTTTCTATGGAAGTTGCATAAATAATTTCAAAATCATAATTTTTTTTAAGCTTATTATTTTTCCTAAATTCCTTAAATTATTAAAATTATCTGATTTCTCAGGAAGCCGTTGTACTTTGGAGTAATTTAATTCTACACTGTGGGGAACACTTGGGTACTGTCTGGGGGACATACTAAAAAAACCTATTAAATCGATTCGTTCTTTAATTTTCCTGGTTCTGCTGCTCAGTGAGGATACGGTCCCAGGTAAGAGAGTATTTGTTGATTACCCAGCTTGCACAGATGTTGCAAGAATTCTCAAATGGCTCATTCTTGCTTTTGTTTTTGTTTCTTTTGCAACAAGAGGGGCTGCCTTCTTGAAAGAGAGGCCAGCATGTAGAAGGAATATCCAAACGTGAGTGAGTGACAAATGTCCATGTGTGGGTGGACACAGGAAAAGTGAAGGACCCTGAAGAGTCCCTGGCGGGCAGGACCAGGCTGTCCTGTGGCCATGGGGTAACTTTCTAGATGAATCGGGGCCAGCTATACTTGGAGTTTCCAGTTTGGGCTATACCCTGAAGCCAGACCCACCCTTCTCAGAATTGACATTATCAAGTCATTCTGCAGCCCCAGAGTCTCACTGATTCTCATGGTCTATGATAAAATATCCAACTTTCTTAGCTTGGCTTTAAGGCTTTCTATGAGCCAGACTTAACCATCCCAGCCTTTTCTCCCATCGCGTCCCATCCCTGAACTTCCCCTTCTATCAAATCACATCCTGCGTTTCTGTCTGATTCTTGGGTCCACGCCATTACTCCAGACTGAAATGTCTCCCCATCCCCAGTCATTCTGCTTGCCTGAATCCTACTCACCCCTCAATGTCCAACCCAATTTCTTTTTTCTTTCTTTTTTTTTTCTTTTGTTTGAGACGGAGTCTCACTCTGTCGTCCAGGCTGGAGTCCAGTGGCGTGATCTTGGCTGACTGCAACCTCCACCTCCCTCCCGGGTTCAAGCGATTCTCCTGCCTCAGCCTCTCAAGTAGCTGGGACTTCAGGCGCGTGCCACCATACCTGGCTAATTTTTTGTATTTTTAGTAGAGAGGGGTTTCACCGTGTTAGCCTGGATGGTCTCAATCTCCTGACCTCGTGATCCGCCCACCTCGGCCTCCCAAAGTGCTGGGATTACAGGCGTGAGCCACTGTGCCTGGCCCCAATCCAATTTCTTAAATGGCTGGCCTCAAGTGATCCACCTGCCTCAGCCTCCCAAAGTGCTGGGATTATAGGCATGAGCCACCATGCCGACCTAAATTTCTATTTCCTTTCTATAAAACTCTCCCTGGCTGCTCCAGCCTCATGGTTTCTTGACACACAGGGCTCTTTGGTGATATGTCCAGCTTCCCGTGGAGCCCTTGTGTTTGGTTCTTCATTGGTAACTCTTTTGTGTGTTCACGCTTTATTGGGCTCACTGATCTGTCAGCTTCTGAGGGACGAAGACCGCACTTTCTTTCTTCATCTCCCCCTCAGTGCTTTCCACACACGGGCTTCCCTGAAATGTTCTTGACTCACTAATTAATTTAAAGCCAGTCCATAGTCTTTGGGAACCTGTCAGCTTGTCAATCCTGCAAGTCCTGCCTAAGGGTGGCACAGAAAGACAACATGATCCAATCAATTTCCTTCTGATCAAGGGATGAGAACTAATTCAAATCAACTCAGCAAGTGTTGAGCAGGTACCATGGGATAAACACAGTGCCAAATATTAAACAAAAATTATTGGGCGCAGCCCCTACCTTCAAACAGCCAACTGTTTAGGAGGAGAATTCTTTTGCAACATGAAAGAATTAGGAAAAAGTTAGCCAAAAATAAAAGACCATATTCATTAAAGTGCTAAATTGACTGGACTCCAGAGTTAGACGTAGAAAGGTAGTGAGTGGTGGGTTCCAAGACAAAAGAGAGATCAGAGAGGAAAGCCACAAAGAAGAGTCTTAGGGGGTGAAGGGGACCTGGAAGATCCAGAAATTTTTAGAGAAGAGGCCAGGATGGATGATACTTTCTTGCAGAGGGTCAAGAGATATCTCAAAGCATGGAGTAATGGAAATGAAATTGAGTACTAGTTATTGACTAGGCGTGATGCAGATGCCAACGCACTTGCTACTCACAGTGCCTGCAAGGTGTACTTTATCTTCATATCACAGAGGCTGAGTCTCTAAGACAGGTTAAGTAA
Source organism: Homo sapiens (assembly GCF_000001405.40). NCBI lineage: Eukaryota > Metazoa > Chordata > Mammalia > Primates > Hominidae > Homo > Homo sapiens. The sequence goes on along the minus strand of NC_000010.11, from coordinate 34,088,694 downwards.
ATTGCCCACTGCAAAGGCAGTGCCTAACACTGCGCTTTGTCCATTGCCCGGCCAGTGGGAGCCCCGGGTGGCAGGCTGAGCTGGGAGGGAGGGCACCTGACCTGGTGCAGCCCCCAGCTACCCAGGACTCACCCCTCTCTTCCTCCAAGATGTGGCTGAGAAGGGAAGAAGTGTTCAACTTAGGAAAGACACCTGTTCTAGGCTGCTTCTAAATGCCTCCCCATCATGCCTCCTGGTGCAACGAATTCTTTTTTTTGAAATGGGACCTCAATCTGTCTCCCAGGCTGGAGTGCGGTGGCATGATCTCAGCTCACTGCAACCTCCACCTCCTGGGTTGAAGCACTTCCCCTGCCTCAGCCTCCCGAGTAGCTGGGATTGCAGGCACCTGCCACCACGCCTGGCTAATTGTTTCCATTTTTGGTAGAGATGGGGTTTCTCCATGTTGGCCAGAGATGGGGTTTCTCCATGTTGGCCAGGCTAGTCTTGAACTCCTGACCTCAAGTGATCCACCCACCTTGACCTCCCAAAGTGCTGGGATTACAGGCGTGAGCCACCGTGCCCAGCCTGGTGCTGGGAATTCTAAGACCATTTTCCATCATCAGAAATTCTAGAAAGAGGCAGGAGAATCTGCATTTATGAAAGTACTTCATGTGCAGCCGTGTTCTCTTCATGGTCTGGATGGTAGGTACTTTTGAGAAAATGCATTAGCTGCAAAGTTATGATCTGTATATATTTTTTTCCCATTTTTGCTCGTTATATTTCAAAAAAAGGTTACTTTAAAAAGTGTTGCCGGGTGATGCTACGGTACACCACACTGGAGATCCACTGGTCTGCATAATCGTCATTTAAAAGGGAACAGATAAGAATAATAATCGCTTCTGGCCGGGCGCGGTGGCTCACACCTGTAATCCCAGCACTCTTGGAGGCCAAGGCGGGCGGATCACGAGGTCAGGAGATCGAGACCATCCTGGCTAACACAGTGAAACCCCGTCTCTACTAAAAAATATAAAACATTAGCCGGGCGTAGTGGCGGGCGCCTGTAGTCCCAGCTACTCGGGAGGCTGAGGCAGGAGAATGGCGTGAACCAGGGAGGCGGAGCTTGCAGTGAGCTGAGATCGCGCCACTGCACTCCAGCACTCCAGCCTGGGCGACAGAGCGAGACTCCGTCTTAAAAAAAAAAAAGAATAATAATCGCTTATATTTATGATGACTCTGTCCTAAGTGCTTTATGGACATTAATGCACAACAACCCCATGAGGTAGACGCTAATACAGTACCCAGGTTACAGATGTGAAAACCAAGCACAGAGAGGCCTGTTATTTGTTCAAGGTCACACAGCTAATGAGTGGTTGAGCCAGGATTCCAGCCTAGGCAGTGTGGCTCTTCCTAGAGTCAATGCTCTCCACTATGACAAGTAAGACATGGAACCGGGGCAATCAGAGAGTGGCTGTGTGGAGTGGCTGGCACGACTTCTCAATGGCTCTGGCTGCTAAATTTCCCTCTCACGTGAGCTGCTTCCCCAGGCCCTTCTCCCTCTCTTTCAGGCATTCCAGCCTTGGGCACAGGACAGAGCCATCCCTGGAGAGCTGCCCCAGTGAAGCAGGAGGGAGCCAGAAGCCCCGTTTTGGGGCTCCCTGGGCACTTGATTCCAGCCAGCACAGGTCTCTGAGTGTCCATTTTGAAGGAGCAGCTCCGCTCTTAGAAGGCCCGCACCTATCGGCGGCGCACGCACCATCGTCCCTGCTTCCGGTGGAGGAGGGCTGGACGGGCCACCTCCAGCCAGTTGTAGGTTCTTTTCTGGGGACCAGCCCCAGACACCGGCGCACTGCCTGCTTTCTCCACATTACCCAACCTCGGGGAAGCAAAACCACTCACCTCTTGGTGTAGTTTTCTCCCCAGCCCTGGGTCACAGCTTCATACAATGTTCCCGGCCTCTTTGCAGTTTGTCTCGTGGGCAGAGGTGGATTCACAGGGTAACTTAGGAAGCTTAAGTTCCAGAGCCCCTTCCAAGACCTTGTGCCTAATGGAGTATTCATAATTTTCTTTTTCCTTTCTTTCCTTTCTCTTTCTTTCTCTCTCTCTCTCTTTCCCTTCCTCCCTCCTTTCTTACTCTCTCTTTCCCTTTTTCTTTCTTTCTTTTTCTTTCTTTCTTTCTTTCTTTCTTTCTTTCTTTCTTTCTTTCTTTCTTTCTTTCCTTTCTTCTTTCTTTCTTTCTCTCTTCTTTCTTTCCTTCCTTCTTTCTTTCTTTCTTTCTTTCTTTCTTTCTTTCTTTCTTTCTTTCTTTCTTTCTTTCTTTCTTTCTTTCTTTCTTTCTTTCCTTTCTTTTTTTGACAGTCTCACTTTGCTGCCCAGGCTGTAGTGCAAAGGCACAATCTCAGCTCACTGCAACCTCTGCCTCCTGAGTTCAAGTGATTCTCCTGTCCCAGACTCCCAAGTAGCTGGGAATACAGGCGTGTGTCACCACACCTGGATAATTTTGTATTTTTAGTAGAGACAGGATTTCACTATGTTGGCCAGGCTGGTCTCGAACTCCTGACCTCAAGAGATCCGCCTGCCTCGGCTTCCCAAAGTGCTGGTATTACGGGCATGAGCCACCATGCCCGGCCATGTATTCATAATTTTATACTCCTTTCCTAAAGAGCCATCCCCTAATTGTACAAATTTCACACTCCATTAACCATGATCCTTACTCAAGGGATTCTTCTGGGTGCTGTCCCTGAAAAAGAACCCTCTGGTGCGCCCCCTTAGTAGGGCACTTGAGGCCTCTGTGACCCGGCCCATAAGTACTGCTCTGTCTGGGACTGTGCCCTGTACTGGATTCCCAACCCCAGCTTTCCTGGAGTGAGACAGAAAGATCCAGTTCCATGTTCTCCTTACTTTTGGCCTAGAATCACAGTAAGGCCTACCTAGCCCTGGTTCCTAGAACCCAGCCAGGTGCACTGGCTAGAAAAAGGAAGGTCAGACACCCAGATTCTACTCTATCTGCCCCAGCCCACGCCCTCCCCATAACCTCCACCTCCCACCTTCCAGGCTTCCAGAACATGCCAACTTTCTAAGGAAGCATCCCTGCCCACACCAGTGCATTAGGCTGCCAAAGGCAAAGTAATTACCCTGCGACCGATTTACACTTCCAGATTACACACAAACTGTAGGGAGCTGTAGAAAAAGGGACTGCACTGTCATTATCCGCACTATTAATTGTGGTGGAATCCTGTGATAAAGGCATGAAGAAAATCATTTTTTTCTCTTGCCCTGAACTTTGACCAGGAGAAGGGTAGAGAAATTCTTTTGAGTAACCATTTACAAATTTCAACAATTGTTCACTGTTGATTCTAAAAGTCTCTTTGCATGAATAATTTTCTCATCTTTATGCAGAATTTTTCCACATTTTTGTTGACTAAAATATTACTAATCTAATTTCCTATTAAAAAACTCATTTCCAGCATTGCAGAGCTGAAAGGTGCTACCAACCATTTAGTCTTCAATTTACATACAACAAATCCTGTAATCTGATGGGGACTTTTACACAAGGGTGGCTGCAAGCAATTACATGGGCAAAGAAATATTTCAGTCCAGAGCTGTGCACTGTGTTAATTTCATCTGCTGAACTCCCATTGAGATTTCTCCTATTGTTAAATTGCCTATTGATGTGGATTTAGAGAAAAAAGTCCACCAAATACAGCAATTCAATGTTATAATGCTATTTGTGCTCTAATATTTTTCTTTTAATTATAATTTGGGAAATTGGGGTTTATTAGAAAGAAAAGAAAGCATCCAACTGGAATAAATTATTCTATTTTCCCCCACTCAGCACCATGACAAAGTAGAACATTCTCCAGGTGAAGTATTGTTGTGGAAAGGCCTGGCAAAAGTCTTGATGTCACAACAGATTGAGCCAGGGCTCTGGAGTGGACTGAGCCTAGGGATGCCCGATGTGGAGGAAGCAGGGCATCTGGGCTGCTGGCCTGGGGGTGCTGTGGTTATTGGGAAGGGTTAAGAGTAGATTTCAGAAGCTAACTCTGGGTCATAGGGAAATAGAGCCTGGTCTTGAACTCCTGGCCTCAGATGCTTCAGGCTGAGGTATGGTTAGGCTGTTAGATCCCTAACTATTCATCCATCCATCCATCCATCCATCCATCATTCCATCTATCCATCCATCCATTTATCCATCCATCCATCCATCCATCCATCGATCCATCCATCCATCCATTGTTTATTGAAGGTTAAGCATATGTTTTGTCCCAAAGGAGGTGTCTAGTGTTTTAGAAGATTCAAACTAAATACTTTGAAATTCTTCTTTTTTAATTTTTATTTTAAGTTCAGGGGTACATGTGAAGGCTTGTTATGCAGGCAAACTTGTGTCACGGGGATTTGTTATACAGATTATTTTGTCACCCAGGTATTAAGCCCAGTACGGAATAGTTATCTTTTCTGCTCCTCTCCCTCCTCCCAACCCCCTGCCTCCAGTGGATCCCAGTGTCTGTTGTTTCCTTCTTTGTGTTCATAAGTTCATATCATTTAGCCCCCACTAATATATGAGTATATGCAGTATTTGGTTTTCTGTTCCTGCATTATAAACTTCTTTTATTTATTCATTCATTCAACAAACACTCGCTGAGCATCTATAAGACTGGCCCCACGGCAGGTTCCCAGGATACATCTAAAAGATGAAGCCCTGTCCTCCATCCTTCATCACTCCAATCAGTCATTAGAGAACACCCTAATAAATGTTATTACAGAGAAACAGGTGAGCATAGAGGAGGCCTAAGCAGAGTGAACATGTGAGAGAGAGAAGGAGCCGTGGCCAAGAACCCTTCCTCAGGAAGGTGACAGATGCTGAAGCTGAGTCTTAAGGATAAACAGGAGGCAGTTCCAGGAAGAGTGTGAAAGACGCATATGTTTAAAAACAGCTTTACTGAGGTACAACTAATGTATAATAAACTGCACATGTTTGAAGCCTCCAGTTGGTAACTTGTGACATGTGTATGCACCTGTGAAATCACCATTGCAGTAAAGAAAATGAACACACCCCTCACCACCAAAGTTTCCTTGTGCTCCTTTGTAACACCTCTTTGGCATTCACCCCATCCCCAGGCATCCACTTGTAAGCTCTCTGTCAATATAGATTAGCCTTCACCTTCTAGAACTTTATTTTTTTATTTTTAAAATTTCTACTTGTATTTTATTTTATTTTAATTTTTATTTTTTATTATACTTTAAGTTCTGGGATACATGTGCAGAACATGCAGGTTTGTTACGTAGGTATACATGTGCCATGGTGGTTTGCTGCATCCATCAACTTGTCATCTAGGTTTTAAACCCCTCATGCATTGGGCATTAGTCCTAATGCTTTCCCTCCCCTTGCCCCCCAACGCCCAACAGGCCCCCAGTGTGTGATGTTCCCCTCCCTGTGTCCATGTGAAGAACTTTATTTTTAAATTAATTGATTATTTTTGTTTAAAGAGATGGGGTCTTGCTACGTTGCCCAGGCTGGTCTTGAACTCCTGGCCTCAAGAAATCCTCCTGCCTCAGCACTCTAAAGTGCTGGCATTGCAGGCATGAGCCACCACGCCCAGCCCAATTCCTAGTACTTTATATAAGCAAAAGTATATAGTATGTACTTTTTTGGGGGGTCTGGCTTTTTCTATTCAGCATAATTATTTTGAGATTCTTCCATATCATATCAATTTTTCTTTCCTTCCTTGACTGTTATTCCATTGCATGGGTATACCATAATTTATTTATTTATTTATTCATTATTTTTTTGAGACAGAGTCTCATTCTGTCACCTAGGCTAGAGTGCAGTGGCACAATCTTGGCTCACTGCAACCTCCTCCTCCCTGGTTCAAGTGATTCTCCTACTTCAGCCTCCCAAGTAGCTGAGATTACAGGCACGTGCCACCACACCTGGCTAATTTTTCTATTTTTAGTAAAGACAGGGTTTCATCTTGTTGGTCAGGGTGGTCTTGAATGCCTGACCTCAGGTCATCAGCCCACCTCGGCCTTCCAAAGTGCTGGGATTACAGGCATAAGCCACCCCGCCCAGCCCCATAATTTATTTATCTACTGTTGGTGGACCTCTGGGAGGTTTCCAGGTTTGGGCTATTACAAATAAAGCTACTACGAACATTCATATACAAGCCTTTGCATGGAAGGAACTTTCTTTCCTTTGCATAAATACCTAGGAGTAGAACAGCTGAATTTCACAGTAGGTGTATGTTTACCTTTTTAAGAAATTGCCAAGCTGTTTCCAAAGTTGTTGTGCCATTTTACATCCCCACCTGCAGTGCATGGGAGTTCCAGTTCTACATCCTCATAGAAGGTGTATTTTTTAAATCTGACATTGAGAGTGAAGGAAGTCAAGGTTCTGAGAGCTCAGAGACTTGGTCATTCAGTTACAGAAGCCCCCAACCGTCCTCCACTTCTGGGACCACCAGGTCACCCGCTTTTGTCTCAGCTCCATTTGGACAAGTTTAGAATAAAAGCGGCCTCAATGGTAGCTTGTGCTGTGAGGCCACGCTGAGACCTCTGGTGGCCATACGGTCTTCTAGCGTGGAGCCCACATTGCAGCTTTTGTTGAACAATTCTTCCTGGGAAGGCGGTGAACTGTAGACATTGTTCCTTTATCATTTTTTCCCATGAGAGATTTGAATTCTGTTCACCTTGCCGAACCCAAATCCTTCTCAAATGCGTGCATCTGGCAGGGAGGAGGATTGCGGAAAACAGCTCACACGATGTCCCAGAGCCTGCCTGGCATGCATTTTCTCCTTCAGCCTCGCCAGCCACTGGCTTTGTCCTGAATTCAACGGCACCATCAGACTTCAGTGGCTGGGAGACCAGACAGGCAAGTAAAGCCTCTTTCCTGCCATTTCCCTTTGACCAGCCTTCACTTCAGAACCTTTTCCACCTAATGTTTCCTGACACTTTCTATAGGCATCTGAAAATGCGGTGATGGAGAGAGTAACTGTGTATCCATGACATGCCTGCAAAACAGGGGAGATTATTCTATCAAATCCCAACCCTCAGCCTCAGACCCAAATGTCGTGAGCAGTGAACACCAAGGAAGATGAAGAAATTCTGCAGTGCCAGATGCATCTGTCCAGAAGGGACAGTGGCTGGGTTTGCCACTTGGCAGGGCTGCAGTTTTCCAGGCGCTGAACCACGAGCTTTGTTCCACTTCCTCTATTCACAACCACCCAAAGCAACTTGTATCGCTGTCTTTGGTATTCTCTCCACAGTTCCCTGGCTTTCTTCTTCTAGGGGAATTTTGGTTCGATTTGTGCTCTTGTGTTTTTACCTATGTGTCTCCAGAGACGATGCTTACTGGGAAATCTGCTAACAGAGAAAATCAGAAAATGGAAAGTCGATGTTTGCAATCACATATTCCCGGGCTGAGGGTTCCTTTTGAAATTTGGCATGTGGGTCCCAAAACCCAAGTTAGAGATGTTTGGGAAAGTAACTCAACCATCCCTTGGCAGGAAGAATCAGTAGTGTAACAGAAAGACGGCCTGCAATCCAGAGGTCAAGACCAGAACACGGAGGCGGGAGCAGGGATGTCAAGGGATGACATAGTCCTGCTGATGTTGCTGGCAATAAGCATCATTTTCTAAATTTTATTAAGCTTTTCATCAAGTTTCCCAATATCTGCCTTCTATGGGGTCTCATCCTCCTGGGAAATTTTCCTGTATTTCTTCATATCTAGACACAGTGTGGAAGGGAAGGGATTGGTGGGAATCACAGTGGCAGAATGTCCCATGATGGCTCTTGAGAAGACCACAGTGATGTCCTTGTCCAAACCCCTGATCTGCAGATCTGCACGTTCAATCCCAGGGACAGGCTTCATTATATTCTTCAGCTGGTTGTTTCACAAACAGTAAGCTTAAGACTTGGCTATAAATAACGCCAGGATAAGAGCGAATCCACCCTCGAAGGAAAATATGCCACATGTGGGGCTTCCTAACAAAACCTACTGCTCGTCTGGAAGGAAGACCTTGAAGACTAGCCTTGGTAGTAGCAGCACCATGTATCAAGAATATGGCGTGTTTTGAGTTGACGTTTGGAAGGGGGTCGCCCTGTTGTCCACCTGGTCTGTACCTTTTAGTTCCTGCTTCTTTGGAACATGGGCTGGCCGTGACTCTACCTCAGAGTGCTTTTCATCCCTTCAGTAAACGTGCAGCACTTCCCGTGTTCTGGGAGCATTTTCTTTGCAACCTTTCAGATACGATTCTTGCTGCTAACTTGATTCAGTTTCACAGTTCAGATTTCTCACAAAAAGAATCTGATTAGCACATCTTATATTTTTCCAGGCAGGTGCCATTGATCAGTAGAGAGACCGGCTTGCCTGTGGATCAGCTGTTCACGTATCGTCCAGTATGACCTGGCTGAGGAGAGGGGCTGTGTTGCTTAAAATGTGATCATTTAAGGACTTCCCTTCACTGCAACCTCTGCTCACTGCAACCTCCGCTCACTGCAACCTCCGCTTCCTGGGTTCAAGTGATTCGCCTGCCTCCACCTCCTGAGTAGCTGGGATTCCAGGCGTGTGCCACCACGTCTGGCTAATTTTTGTATTTTGAGTTGGGGTTTTAAAAGGCAGCCTAACAGAGACGTAAATCATCATAGGTGAAAATTTAAGCAGCCGGCATTTATAGGGCTCCTCTTAAGGGAAGAGAGGAACACATTTTGTTTCCTCCAACACCCAACACTGGGGCTTGGTGGGTGGGAGAGGCGCTGCCTGGGAAGGGCTCCTCACTTGGAGGCTTTGGTCCCTTCCCCAGCTTGGGAGCTCACCCAACCGCCTGCTGAACTTCTCCGCCAGCCCCTGCTTCCCTGGAGTCCACACTTTCATCCTCATTTTCTCCTAGATTCTAAACTCTCAGAGGCCAAGAGCACCACTGTGGCCCCTGCAACACACTCTTCCTGTGCTGTGTGTGAAGCGAATTGAATGTTTTTCACCTTTTTTCCCCCCGTTAGGCATTGTGTTACACGTGAGAGTTAAGCAGTGAATAAGGCAAAGTCTCATCCCCACGAAGCAGAAATTCTGGGCATTTTTAATATATAACGTGGTCTGTGCTACTACAGTGAATGAAAATCGCAAGAATACACACAGGTTATTGTGACAGCATTTGGGAGGGACATCTTACCAAACCTAAGGGTTCAGGGAAGAGTCCTAGAGTGAGGGCATCTGTCTCATTCTGCACCCCACACCCTGAGCTGAGAGTGGCAGATGGGGGAAGGGAAATGGGGACTCAACTCAGTCGTTCCCTCCCTACCAAGCCTCCACAGGCCCTCCTGCACAGAAGCCGGTTCTGCAATGTCCACCCTCCCAGACAGAGTCATTCCCAAATGTAGCTCCAGCAACTTTCTCGTGGGGTAAGGAAGGCTGCCAGCTCTTAGGGGAGGAATCCAAGCTGTTTAAAGAGCAGAGCTCCAAGGACATCCTGTGATACCCCTGAAATGATGTCGAGCAGCACAGGAGGGAGATGCCTTTAAAAGAGGGAACGTACAGGGCGGCCGAGGGTGGTGCCGGGACAAGCTGGGCCTCGCAGATCGCACCACAACAGTGAATGTACATACAGCGGGTGCTTCTGGGATGGCTCCTTCTGGGCCTCCCACACCCCCACCTGGTCACGTACAGGCCCAGCACTGGGGCTGGTGCCTCACTCAGCACCCACGCACCACGTTGTGCCAGCGAAGCTGTTGTGGCCAAGGAGGAGAGCCCCGTGGGGAGCGTTGGCTGTGGAGGCCTCTTTGAGTCAAGGGCAGAGCATGTGTTTGGCCGGAAGTCCTGATTCAGAACTTGGAATCGGGATTTTCTGCTAATCTGGTGTTTTTCCTCTGACAGCACAATAATATTGTTTTGGTTGCTAAGAAACCCTCTTTTAATTGAACATTGGGTCGAGTGGCTATAGTACGATAATATACCATGCAGACATAAGAGAATAGCACAGCGCCCAAGTGACAATCAGGCCACTTCTCACAACAGGCATGTCATAATACATAAGTGTCTTTCCAGATTTTCCTCCCAGGGCATGGAGGCATTTGATTTGTGACTGCAGACAGAAGATTCTCTCTCCCCAGTCTGTGATATGGCCCTACAGTGGGCTATCTGTACCTATAACCAAGCTCAGCTTTGTTTTATAGGCTGACATTTTGTGGGCTATTAGTCTGAATGAACCACTATTCTAATGATCAGATCATTATAATGGTGCATTAGTTTGATGCAGGGTAATGAAATATTGTTACTCCAATAAGGCTGGATGTCTATTACGGATCTTATCTCATAATCCCTGCTTAACAGAGGCATCCTTGGTTTCTTTTGCAGTACAGAGCGAATACCTGATTGAAGAACTCTTTGGAGAAAGGACTATAGTGTCATTTTAAAAGCTAAGAGTAAAGTTTAATATTCCTAATAGTAATTGCTTTCTATTTTGTTTTTCACAACTGAGAGACATTGTTTGGCTAAATCTCTAGGGGGCGATTGAGAGAGGCAGGCACATAATCCCAGCTCTGAATGCCCTGATAAAATTAATGTGTTCTTTTACTTTAGAGACAGAGAAGGTTCATGCATTGTTTGCTAGGCAATTTTCTAGCATGTAGCTGCAAGATTGGGTTCATATCTATTTGCTGAGAAATCAGATGTAAGCATAGGTTGAGTTGAGGCTGTCGATTAGTATAAGACCTCAATAGATGTTTTGTTTTTCACCTTGAGGGGCTGATTTCAGTGTTAAAAGTTGGCCTGAGTAAAAGAAAAGCAGTTCAAAAGTTGGCTTTTAAAAATCTTTTAGTGGATAGAATTAGAATTGTGTTTTTACAGGATGGGAGTTATACCTGCCTCTGCCTCCCTGCAAACACGTGTCACAGGTTGTATTCCACCTGCAGTGGCCAGGGTTCTTTGATTGCAAGCAACAGCAACACTGCTGCCCCTAATTTGAAAGGAGTTATTTAAATGATATTGGGTGGCTCACATATCTAAAAAAAGAAAAAAAATCTGCACAACCAGGGATCTGGAAGGACGTGTATGAGGGACCCTAAAGGACAGCTGAGTCTGAATACTGTATCTTTCATCATTTCCTCTATTTTTATTACTTTGTTTGAGATTCAGAACTTGGTTGAACAAGGCAATCTGCCAGCCTTGGCCTCCCAAAGTGCTGGGATTACAGGCATGAGCCACCATGCCCAACAAGATGCAAGAGTTCTGAGTGGCTTGTGACACTTGACATCCCTTCTTAGTGCCAAGACCACAGGCCCACCCCTTGGCCAATGATAGTTTAGCACACCTTGCCTGGCAGTTCCTTCAAGATTGGGTGAAGAAAAAACAATTACTTCAATGCCATCTTTGTTAAGTATGTAGATAAATTCTCATGACATAAGGCTCTAGGAAGCTCCCAAGACCTCAATGTAGGCTGTTCTTGGAGAACAATGCCTGCCAACCCCATGGTAGGCACCCCTCATTGTCTACTAACATCCATTTCCAACCTGCTTCTTTGCTGGCAGAAGCCACTTCTCACAAAGACTTGAAAACATGCCCTGCCTATTTATTTTGGCATTCCCTCCTGCAGCAGTCATATGACTCAATTTGGGCCAATTAGATACAAGGGAAAGTATGAGAAAGGCTTTCCTCTTTAATATAGATATGGCACTGTAGACTGTGGCAGCCGTTTGGGACAGTTCAGACAAGGCAGAAGGGCAAGGTCAGTAAACTGAGCATGTACGTGATGGATGACTTATTGTCCTGCTGAATTAACTAAATCTGAAATAAATTGACCTGCTGAATTAAGCAAACCTGAAATAAACTATCTCTAGGCCTCTTGCTAAGGGAAATAATAAATATCCTTCACCTTTAAGCTGTTTGTGTTTGTCTATTCTAAGTCTGGGTTGATATAACAAAAATACCATAGACTGGGTGGCTTATATAACAAACAGAAATTTAGTTCTCACAGGTCTGGAGACTGGGAAGTCCAAGATCAAGGCACCTGCAGATTTGGCATCTGGTGAGGGCAGGCTTCCTAGTTCATAGATGGCCATTTCTGTGTCCTCACTTGGTGTAAGGGGTAAGGGAGCTCTTTGAGGCCTCTGTTATAAGGCCACTAATCACATTCACAAGGGCTCCACCCTCATGACCTAATCACCTCCCAAGCCTCCACCTCCAATACCATGACATTGGGGATTAGGGTTTAATGTATGAATTTTAGGGGGACACAAACACAATTTATAACACCATTTTATTTTATTATTTATTTATTTTTAGAAACAAAGTCTTGCTCTGTCACCCAGGCTGGAGTGCAGTGGTGCAATCACGGCTCACTGCAGCTTTGACCTCCTGGGTTCAAGCAATCCTCCCACCTCAGCCTCTTGAGTAGCTGGGACTATACGTGCACACCACTGCATCTGGCTAATTTAAAAAAATTTTTTTATGGAGATGGGGTCTCACTATATTGCCCAGGCTGGTCTCAAACTCCTGGCCTCAAGGGATCCTCCTACCTTGGCCTCTCAAAGGGTTGGGAATTACAGGCAGGATCCACTGTGCTAGGTCTCGAGCACCATTTTCATAGAGATTAGTATCGTGGGCAGCTGCAGCTTCTCAATTAACACATTGAGGAAACATTCAGCTGCCCTCAGGAGGACCTGTCCCCACAGGAGTCAACTACAGGAGGGCCGCTGATGGAGAATTCTCCATGGGTGCCTCCAAGAGCAGGAGCTGGCATAGTCAGCAGCTTCCCCGACCCCAGGACCTCCTTCTGACTCTCCCTGAGCAGTAGGGAGCTCCTTGCTGTCTCCCTCCTTTGTCTCAGTCCTGTTTGAGGCATAGAATCTGATGGGGACAGAGGTTGATGGAGCTTCTCATGGGAGGAGATCCTGTGGGCTCACCCCTCTGGGAGGACCTGGCTCCTCACCATCCCAGAGGGGAGGGAGGGAGCCTGCTCTTGTGGCCTTGCCGTTCCTCAGCATCCTCCCTCACCCTCACCATGGCCGAAGCCAAGAGACATCCGCCCACATGCTGACCCTCACCTGGCTCTCTACACCCGTCCTGACTCCAGGCTAGAGGGGTTTAAGAACTTGGCACCAAATCCCTTTTTGTTGCTCATGCAGCTTTGACATCAGGCCCTAGCTGGTCTTCATAATTGTGCTTTTATTTGTTCCTGGAACTCAGTTCTGGTTTTGTGTACACATTCTGGAACCTGGATGTCATCCATTTCCCTGGACAAAGTTCCATCTGGACAGCATGACCAGCAGCCCAGGTCCCTGGGAGGCTGGAGGGAGAGCCCTGACTTGCACGCGGGGTGGTGGCTCACACCTCACTCTTTACTGGCCTTCCTCCCCAGCATCTGCAGCTGCTTCCCTGCCTGGGCCTCTGAGTGTCCTGTTCCTGTGCCTCTTTTTGTCCATAGTATGAGTGAGGATTGTTGGGATCACAGAGACCCAAATACATGGCATAAACAGAGGAAGCGTTCATTCGCTCCCATTAAAGAAAGCTTGAAGGTGAGCCGTCCAGTACAGCCATGTTGGTTTCACAGAGTCATTGAGGACCCCAGCTCCTCCTATCTCTAGGATGTTTCTGGTATCTTCAGTATGATGGCTGCAGGAACTGCAGCTATGAGGTCCATATTCCACACAAGAAGAAAGGGAAGGAATAGCAGCCGTAGAGGAGCTTTCTCAGAAATCCCATTCAATGATTTGCACATACATCTCATTGCCCACTCCTAGCTGCAGGAGCAGGGAGAAGTGCAGGCTTTCTCCTGTGTGCATGGCCACACTGAATGGCACGTTGCAGTCACGGAGGAAGCAGGGAAGACTGGATGGTGGCTAAGTACCCAGCAGTCTCTGTGGCACCTTGCTCTTCTCACCTGCTGAGAATGATGCTGGTGGCTGGCTGGAGAGCCACCTGGCTGTGAACTCGGCCCTGTGCTAGCCTGCCTTCCTTCCTCCCCACTTGTCCAGCTGGTGCGGTGTCTGAGCCTGCTCCGCTTGTGTGAGAAGACCCAGTTCCAGAGCCTGGTCCCCTCCTAAGCTACCTCTCCAATAATAGCTCACTGGGCTGCCCCGCAAGCTGTTCGACCAAGACAGAGCTGGAAGCATCTCTGACCACAACAATGTACAGACAGCGGTGGGAGATATTTCTGGGTATACTCGTGAGAGTGACATTTAACTCCATACAGGATGGCCTTGAGACTTGACCTCATTAGAAACAGCAAGTGAGTCGTCACTGTTTAGACCCTTGGAAAGAATCATGCAAGAGTTCTGAAATGAGAAAAGGTCTTCACACAGTCAAGCTAGGAAAGAAAATTGATGAAAGAGACATCTTTGTGATCACAGCTCCCTGTGTTTCTTGACACCATTCACAACCTGACCTGGTATCTTTCACCACGAGAGAAGCAGGAGCTGCAGCCCTATTTCCACCAAGCTGCGGATATTTCTCGTTTAAGATTCATCAGATATTGATAATATTTTACATTCCTTTTTTGAGAGAATTGAGATTGTTTTCACAAGTTTGCCAAGATGTGTATTACATCATTGGACTGGGAAATGTGGCCCTGCCTCAAAAAGAATGAGCTAATTTTCTTTTTCTTTCTTCTTTCTTTCTTTTATTTCTTTCTTGCTTTCTTTCTTTCTTTCTCTCTGTCTCTTTCTTTCTTCCCTTTCTTTCTTCTTTCTTTTTCTTTCTTCTTTCCTTCTTTCCTTCTTTCATTTCTTTTTCTTTCTTTCTTTCTTTCTCTTTCTTCTTTTCTTTCTCTTTCTTCTTCTTTCTTTCTCTCTCTCTCTCTTTCTTTCTTTCATTTCTTCTTTCTTCTTTTTTTTCTTTCATCTCATTCTGTCACCTAGGCTGGGGTGCAGTGGCGCAATCATGGCTCACTGCAGCCTCAATTTCCCAGGCTCAGGTGATCCTCTTACCTCAGCTTCCTGAGTAGCTGTGACTACAGGTGCATGCCACCACAGCTGGCTAATTTTTGTATTTTTTTGTAGAAACAGAGTTTCACCATGATGCCCAGGCTGGTCTTGAACTCCTGGGCTCAAGTGATCTGCCTGCCTAAGCCTTCCAAAGTGCTGGGATTGCAGCCATGAGCCATTGTGCCCAGCTGAGAATAAGTTAATTTTTTTATTATTATTATACTTTAAGTTCTGGGTTACATGTGCAGAATGTACAGTTTTCTTACATAGGTCTACACGTGCCATGGTGGTTTGCTGCACCCATCAACCCATCACCTACATTAGGTATTTCTCCTAATGTTACCCTCCCCTAGCCCCCCACTTCCCACAGGCCTTGGTGTGTGATGTTCCCCTCCCTGTGTTCATGTGTTCTTATTGTTCAACTCCCACTTATGAGTAAGAACGTGTGGTGTTTGGTTTTCCAATCTTGTGATAGTTTGCTGAGAATGATGGTTTCCAGCTTCATCCATGTCCCTGCAAAGGACATGAACTCATCCTTTTTTTGGCTGCATAGTATTCTATGGTATATATGTGCCACATTTTCTTTATCCAGTCTATCATTGATGGGCATTTGGGTTGGTTCCAAGTCTTTGCTATTGTGAATACTGCTGCAATAAACATACATGTGCATGTGTCTTTATCATAGAATGATTTATAATCCTTTGGGTATATGCCCAGTAATGGGATTGCTGGGTCAAATGGTATTTCTAGTTCTAGATACTTGAGGAATCATCATACTGTCTTCTTCAATGGTTGAACTAATTTATACTCCCACCAACAATGTAAAAGTATTCCTATTTCTCCACAACCTCTTCAGCATCTGTTGTTTCCTGACTTTTTTAATGATTGCCATTCTAACTGGCATGAGATGGTATCTCATTGTGGTTTTTATTTGCATTTAATGACCAGTGATGATGAGTATTTTTTCATATATCTGTTGGCTTCATAAATGTCTTCTTTTGAGAAGTGTCTGTTCATATCCTTTGCCCATTTTTTGATGGGGTTCTCTGCTTTTTTCTTGTAAATTTAAGTTCTTTGTAGATTCTGGATATTAGCCATTTGTCAGATGGATAGATTGCAAAAATTTTCTCCTATTCTGTAGGTTGCCTGTTCACTCTGATAATAGTTTCTTTTGCTGTGCAGAAGCTCTTTAGTTTATTTAGATCCCATTTGTCAATTTTGGCTTTTGTTGTCATCACTTTTGGTGTTTTAGACATGAGGTCTTTGGCCATGCCTATGTCCTGAATGGTATTCCCAGGTTTTCTTCTAGGATTTTTATGGCCCTAGGTCTTATGTTTAAGTCTTTGATCCATCTTCAGTTGATTTTTGTATAAGGTGTAAGGAAGGGGTCCAGTTTCAGTTTTTGCACATGGCTAGCCTGTTTTCCCAACACCATTTATTAAATGGGGAATCTTGTCCCCATTGCTTTTGTGTGTCAGGTTAGTCAAAGATCAGATGGTGGTAGATGTGTGGTGTTATTTCTGAGGCCTCTGTTCTGTTTCATTGGTCTATATAGCTGTTTGATACCAGTACCATGCTGTTTTGGTTAACTGTAGCCTTGTAGTAAAGTTTGAAATCAGATAGCATGATGCCTGCAGCTTTGTTCTTCTTACCCAGGATTGTCTTGGATATGTGGACTCTTTTTTGGTTCTATATGAAGTTTAAAGTAATTTTTTCCAATTCCGTGAAGAAAGACAGTGAATCTATAAATTACTTTGGGCAGTAAGGCCATTTTCATGATATTGATTCTTCCTATCCATGAGCATGGAATATTTTTTCATTTGTTTCTGTCCTCTCTTATTTCCTTGAGCAGTGGTTTGTAGTTCTCCTTGAAGAGGTCCTTCACATCCCTTGTGAGTTGGATTCCTAGGTATTTTATTCTCTTTGTAGCAATTGTGAATGGGAGTTCACTCATGATTTGGCTCTCTGTTTGTTATTGATGTATAGGAATGCTTGTGAATTTTGCACATTGATTTTGTATCCTGAGACTTTGCTGAAGTTGCTTATCAGCTTAAGGAGATTTTGGGCTAAGATGATGGGGTTTTCTAAATATACAATCATGTCACCTGCAAACAGAGACAATTTGACTTCCTCTTTTCCTATTTGAATACTCTTTATTGCTTTCTCTTGCCTGATTGCCCTGGCCGGAACTTCCAATACTATGTTGAATAGGAGTGGTGAGAGATGGCATCCTTGTTTTCTGCCGGTTTTCAAAGGGAATGCTTCCAGGTTTTGCCCATTCAGTATGATATTGGCTGTTGGTCTGTCATAAATACCTCTTATTATTTTGAGATACATTCCATCGACACCTAGTTTATTGAGAGTTTTTAGCATGAAAGGCTGTTGAATTTTGTTGAAGGCTTTTTCTGCATCAATTGAGATAATCAAGTGGTTTTTGTCGTAGGTTATGTTTATGTGATGGATTACATTTATTGATTTGTATATGTCGAACCAGCCTTGCATCCCAGGGATGAAGCCAACTTGATCGTAATGGATAAGCTTTTTGATGTGCTGCTGGATTCGATTTGCCAGTATTTTATTGAGGATTTTCACATCGATGTTCATCAGGGATATTGTCCTAAACTTCTCTTTTTCTGCTGTGTCTCTGCCAGGCTTTGGTATCAGGATGATGCTGGCTTGATAAAATGAGTTAGGGAGGAGTCCCTCTTTTTCTATTATTGGAATAATTTCAGAAGGTATGGTACCAGCTCCTCTTTGCACCTCTGGTAGAATTCAGCTGTGAATCTGTCTGGTCCTGGACTTTTTTTTGGTTGGTAGGCTATTAATTATTGCCTCAATTTCAGAACCCGTTATTGGTCTATTCAGAGATTCAACTTCTTCCTGGTTTAGTCTTGGGAGATGTATGTGCCCAGGAATTTATCCATTTCTTCTGGATTTTCTAGTTTATTTGCATAGAGGTGTTTATAGTATTCTGTGATGGTAGTTTGTATTTCCGTGGGATCGGTGGTGATATCCCCTTTATCATTTTTTATTGTATCTATTTGATTCTTCTCTCTTTTTTCTTTATTAGTCTTGTTAGTGATCTATCTATTTTGTTGATCTTTTCAAAAAACCACCTCCTGGATTCATTGATTTTTTTGAAGAGTTTTTTGTGTCTCTATCTCCTTCAGTTCTGCTCTGATCTTACTTATTTCTTGTCTTCTGCTAGCTTTTGGATTTGTTTGCTCTTGTTTCTCTAGTTCTTTTAATTGTGATGTTAGGGTGTTGATTTTAGATCTCCCCTGCTTTCTCTTGTGGGCATTTAGTGCTATAAATTTCCCTCTACACACTGCTTTAAATGTGTCCCAGAGATTCTGGTACATTTTGTCCTTGTTCTCACTGATTTCAAAAACACCTTTATTTCTTCCTTCATCTCGTTATTTACCCAGTAGTCATTCAGGAGCAGGTTGTTCACTTTCCATGTAATTGTGCAGTTTTGAGTGAGATTCTCAATCCTGAGTTCTAATTTGATTGCACTGTGGTCTGAGAGACAGTTTGTTGTGATTTCTGTTCTTTTACATTTGCTGAGGAGTGTTTTACTTCCAATTATGGGGTCAATTTTAGAATAAGTGCGATGTGGTGCTGAGAAGAATGTATATTCTGTTGATTTGGGGTGGAGAATTCTGTAGATGTCTGTTAGGTCCGCTTGGTGCAGAGCTGAGTTCAATTCCTGGATATCCTTGTTAACTTTCTGTCTCGTTGATCTCTCTAAAGTTGATAGTGGGGTGTTAAAGTCTCCCATTATTATTGTGTGGGGGTCTAAGTCTCTTTGTAGTCACTAAGGACTTGCTTTATGAATCTGGGTGCTCCTGTATTGGGTGCATATATATTTAGGATAGTTAGCTCTTCTTGTTGAATTGATCCCTTTACCATTATGTAATGGCCTTCTTTGTCTCTTTTGATCTTTGTTGGTTTAAAGTCTGTTTTATCAGAGACTAGGATTGCAACCCCTGCCTTTTTTTGATTTCCGTTTTCTTGGTAGATCTTCCTCCATCCCTTTATTTTGAGCCTATGTGCGTCTTTGAATGTGAGATGGGTCTCCTGAATACAGCACACTGATGGGTCTTGATTCTTTACCCATTTCCCAGTCTGTGTCTTTTAATTGGAGAATTTAGCCTATTTACATTTAAGGTTAATATTGTTATATGTGAATTTGATCCTGTCATTATGATACTAGCTGGTTATTTTGCCTGTTAATTGATGCAGTTTCTTCATAGCATCAATGGTCTTTACAATTTGGCATGTTTTTGCAGTGGTTGGTACTGGTTGTTCCTTTCCATGTTTAGTGCTTCCTTCAGGAGCTCTTGTAAGGCAGGCCTGGTGGTGACAAAATCTCTCAGCATTTGCTTGTCTGTAAAGGATTTTATTTCTCCTTCACTTATGAAGCTTAGTTTGGCTGGATATGAAATTCTGGGTTGAAAATTCTTTCCTTTAAGAATGTTGAATATTGGCCCCCACTCTCTGGCTTGTAGGGTTTCTGCCAAGACATCTGCTGTTAGTCTGATGGGCTTCCCTTTGTGGGTAACCTGACCTTTCTCTCCGGCTGCCCTTAACATTTTTTCCTGCATTTCAACCTTGGTGAATCTGACAATTATGTGTCTTGGGGTTGTTCTTCTTGAGGAGTATCTTTGTGATGTTCTCTGTATTTCCTGAATTTGAATGTTGGCCTGCTTTGCTAGGTTGGGGAAGTTCTCCTGGATAATATCCTGAAGAGTGTTTTCCAACTTGCTTCCATTCTCCCCGTCACTTTCAGGTACACCAATCAAACATAGATTTGGTCTTTTCACATAGTCCCATATTTCTTAGAGGCTTTGTTTTTTTCTTTTCACTCTTTTTTCTTTAATCTTGTCTTCTCACTTTATTTCATTAATTTGATCTTCAATCACTGATATCCTTTCTTCTGCTTGATCAAATCGGCTATTGAAGCTTGTGTATGCTTCACGAAGTTCTCGTATTGTGGTTTTCAGCTCCATCATGTTATTTAAGCTCTTCTCTACACTGGTTATTCTAGTTAGCCATCCGTCTAACCTTTTTTCAAGGTTTTTAGCTTCCTTGCAATGGGTTAGAACATGCTTCTTTAGCTCGGAGAAGTTTGTTATTACTGACCTTCTGAAGCATACTTCTGTCAACTCATCAAGCTTATTCTATGTCCAGTTTTGTTCCCTTGCTGGCAAGGAGTTGGGTTCCTTTGGAGGAGAAGAGGCATTCTGGTTTTTGGAATTTTTAGCCTTTCTGCTCTGGTTTCTCCCCATCTTTGTGGTTTTATCTAACTTTGGTCTTTGATGTTGGTGACCTGCAGATGGGGTTTTGGTGTGGATGTCCTTTTTGTTGATGTTGATGCTCTTCCTTTCTGTTTGTTAGTTTTCCTTCTAACAGACAGACCCCTCAGCTGCAGGTCTGTTGGAGTTTGCTGGGAGTCCAGTCCAGACCCTGTTTGGCTGGGTATCACCAGTGGAGGCTGCAGAACAGCAAATATTGCTGCCTGATCCTTCCTCTGGAAGCTTCATCCCAGAGGGGCACCTGCCTGTATGAGGTGTCTGTTGGCCCCTCCTGGGAGGTGTCTCCCAGTCAGGCAACATGGGGGTCAGGGACCCACCTGAGGAAGCAGTTTGTCCATTATCGGAGCTCAAACGCTGTGCTGGGAGAACCACTGCTCTCTTAAGGGCTGTCAGGCAGGGACGTTTAAGTCTAGAGAAGCTGTCTGCTGCTTTTTGTTCAGATATGCCCTGTCCCCAGAGGTGGAGTCTATAGAGGCAGTAGGCCTTGCTGAGCTGCAGTGGGCTCCGCCCAGTTCAAGCTTCCCTGCAGCTTTGTTTACACTGTGAGCATAAAACCACCTACTCAAGCCTCAGCAATGGCAGACGCCCCTCCCCTCACCAAGCTCCCATGTCCCAGGTTGATCTCAGACTGTTGTGTTAGCAGTGACCACGGCTCCATGGACATGGGACCTGCCAAGCCAGATATGGGAGGGAATCTCCTGGTCTGCTGGTTGCGAAGACCATGGGATAAGCACAGTATTTGGGCAGGAGTGTACTGCTCCTCCAGGTACAGTCACTCAGGGCTTCCTTTGCCTAGGAAAGGGAAATCCCCCAACTTCTTGCACTTCCCAGTTGAGGTGATGCCCCACCCTGCTCACCCTCCATAGGCTGTGCCCACTGTCCAACCAGTCCCAATGAGAAGAACCAGGTACCTCAGTTGGAAATGCAGAAATCACCCATCTTCTGCATTGATCTCATTGGGAGCTGTAGACCAAAGCTGTTCCTATTCGGCCATCTTGGACGCATCCACCAACTTTTTAAACTATCTGTTGTGAATGATGTGTTTCTGGCTGTCTAGAGTCTCAACTTTCTGATCATGTGAGGCTTGGGTGGAGGAGGTACCTCACCTGTGACTAACAATGTTTTAGGGGCCACTTACTCCCTCTCCCTACTTCCTGGATAATGGGGTGCAGGTAGAAGATCCAGGACTGGCAATCAATCAGATGCTCTCCTGGCAATCAGATGAGGAAGTGGGCTGAGTAGGGTGGTTCATGCCTGTTGTTCCACATTTTGGAAGGTCAAAGTGGAAGGAACAACTGAGCCCAGGAATTTGAGACCAGACTTGGCAACAATAGCAAGATGCTGTCTCTACAAAAATTTTTTTTTAAAAATTAGCCAAATGTGATGGTGTGTACCTGTAGTTCCAGCTACTTGGGAGGTTGTGGTGGGAGGATTGCTTGAGACCCAGAGTTAGAAGCTGCAGTGAGCTATGATCATGCCACTGCCTTCCTGCCAAGGTGACAGAGCAAGATGACCCTGTCTAGAAAAAAGAAAGAAACAAAAAAGTTTAAACAAACCCTAAATAATAAAAAACTTTGAGGAAGTGCATCCAAGACAGAGCCAAAGTTGAAGAATGATGAGTGCAGCAGGAAGATGTGCTGCCTGGCTTGGAAGCAGTGGTGGTGCTGGGCATGTCCTGGTGACAGTGGTGATGGGGCAGCCCGATGACAGGCTCTGTGGGACACCTGGCTCTGTTTCCTGCTCACCTGCATGTTTGCCAAATCTTTTCTCTATTTTTTTTTTTTTTGAGATGGAGTTTCTCTCTTGTCACCCAGGCTGGAGTGCAATGGTACAATCTCAGCTCACTGCAACCTCTGCCTCTTGGTTTCAAGCAATTCTCCTGCCTCAGTCTCCCGAGTAGCTGGGAATACAGGCACCTGCCACTGCATCCAGCTAATTTTTTTTTTTTTTGTATTTTTAGTAGAGATAGAGTTTCACCATGTTGGCCAGGCTAGTGTTGAACTCCTGACCTCAAGTGATCCACCCGCCTCAGCCTCCCAAAGTGCTGGGATTACAGGCATCAGCCACCATATCTGGTTTCTCTAGATTTTATGATATATTCTATGTGCAAGGATATATTCTATAGCCTTATATTAAATTCCTTTATAATTTAAATCAACTAAAGTTGGAATCTGCTGTGTCCAATGAAGAACAGCCATAGCCCCATATTATGTTAGCCTTCCTATATTGGGACTATTTTTCCTCAGCCGCTTTTCATCATGGACCTGTCCCCTCCCTTGGTCTGTGTCTCTAACACATCACAGAGGAAGTGGAAATTGCCCTGGTTGTTGAAGGAGAGACAGGAATTGGTGCTGGAAGAAAAGGGCAGTGTTAGCAAAGCCCTGAAAGGCCTCACACAAGCCAGGTGTGTGGGTGGGATGGTGAAGAGAGTGCTTGATTCTAGCGACAGGTGTGCATCAGGGCATAGTGACAAAGAGGAGTGGGTGTGCAAGGGGCCAGAATGGAAATGACACTGGAAGGCAAAACATAATGCAGGAGAAGCCAAGGAGCCTAGGAGGACATCTGAACAGGGAATGGACCCAAGGGAAGCAAAGTTCATAAAGATCAGGCCAGGTAGTAAGTCTTGAAAAAGCCAATTCCTAAATCTAAGCCCAGAAAACTAGATGGCAGAATGACACCTGGTGAGACATCTGCTGTGCCACAATGCTACAGCGGGTCCTGGTGCAGAGTCAACACCATGGGTGGCATTTCAGGTAGCCCGTTCATCCCCGGGGAAGGAAGAGACCATGTATTAGTCCATTTTCATGCTGCTGATAAAGACATACCCAAGACTGGGTAACTTATAAAGAAAAAGAGGTTTCATGGACTCACAGCTCCGTGTGGCTGGGGAGGCCTCACAAGCATGGCAGAAGGTGAAAGCCACGTCTTACATGGCAGAGGGCAAGAGAGAATGACAGCCAAGCAAAAAGGGAAACCCCTTATAAAAACCATCAGATTGTGTGACACTTATTTGCTACCATGAGAACGGTATGGGGGAACCACCCCCATAATTCAATTACCTCCCATGGGGTCCCTCCCAAAACACGTGGTAACTGTGGGAGCTACAAGTCAAGATGAGATTTGGGTGGGGACACAGCCAAACCATATCAGATCACTCATGGTTTTGACTTTGTCATTATGGAATTGGTCCCCTTACAAAGCTGCAATTCCTACTACTCAAGTGTTGAAGCCAGCCTAGGCATCCAGCCTGGACATCATACATGATGTAGGGGAAAGCCATCCTGGGAGGAGGGATGGATTTGACTTCAAAAGTCAATTTAACTTCTGTGAAACTGTGAGTTGATAAAATAAGGTGCCACCGGATTTGTAAAATGTACAATACAACACCATTTGTATATAATAAAAATACCAGTGCAACAAAAAACAATATGTATTTTGTGAGACTATATACACATTACACACAATGTCATGGGTTTTAATGAGGAATAGGGAATGAAAATAATGTATGAAGATAAAAGAAAATAAATTAAGTTCAGACAGGGAGAGGAAATGACAAGATTCAAATACATATGTTTTTGCTGCTCTTATATAAAGAACATGAAATAGTGGAGTACCTGTTTCCGATTTAGTTGGTAGGATCAGTTCCTCTGCAGTCAGCAATGAGAATCTTATTTTTAAGCCCTCCTTGTTTTGAAGAACACTAGACTTGGATTGCAAATGTTTCTTTTGTACTGTCACATTATTATTTATGAAAGTAATCAAAATAGAAGCATTGCTCCTGATCCTGCCATGTCCTATTGGATCTCATCCTGAGAACTCCATAACTTATGTCACTGTAGCCATAGTTTGTTTTAGTTTGCTATTCATGATCACATCGAAGAGAAAATATAGTTGATTTTAAAATTTGTTTTAGCAGGTTTTTCCGGGGCAATTTTCTTAAGTGGTTTCTTACGGTTACCTATACTGTCATGGAAATGTAATCAGCCCTAACAGTTTGTGTGTGTCATTACACAATGTATTAATCTTAAAATGAGTAGGAAACTTCTCTCTCTCTCTCTTTGCAATGAGATTAACTCTTTTCTTCCACATGTAAAAAGCTGGGTTACAAAACTTCTATAATGAGCCACTTTGGCTAACCAAGCTTTACTTTATTTAAAAGGAGCTGTGATGTTGTTTCTGTGTGAACTCAACAAGATCAGTCACTTCCTTGGCTCTTTATTCTTTCTTGTATCTCAGCTCACTCATATGTATCTCAGCTCACTCAGCTCATCCCATATGAGTGAGCTTTCCTTTTGTCTAAAGGGCATCCTTTAAAACTTTTTACTGAAAGTGTGATCCATGGAATGGTTGTAAGTTTGCAAACTGCTACCAGCTCACCATAAGTACAGAAAATGAGTCTAACTTGCATACCAATTTAACATTGCTGCAATATTCAAGTGCACAATCAGTTTACTTGACTTGTTGAACAAGATATAAACCAAAAACTCAAGTCTATAACAGATCAGAAATTCAAAAAAATATAAAACCCACAAAACCTGGCCCTTCTCCAAATATGCTGTTGACAGGTTTTTATTTTTTCCTTTACCCATATCTTTGGAAGACTATTGTAGTAGCTGCAGAATTCTACATTGAAGGTAATTTTTTTCAGTACATGAAAGATGTTTTTCCATTGGCTTTCAGCTTTTAGTGTTACTTTTGAGAAATCAGCTGTCAGTCTTTTGTTCTCTTATTGTTTTAAATTTTTCTCTTTGCCTTTAGTTTTCCACAGTTTCACTATGATGTAAGGATGTGTGAGTTTTTTTTTTTTAATACTTTAAGTTCTGGGGTACAAGTGCAGAATGTGCAGGTTTCTTACATAGGTATACACGTGCCATGGTGGTTTGCTGCACCTATCAACCCATCATCTACATTAGGTATTTCTCCTAATGCTATCCCTCCCCTAGCCCCCTACCCCCCAACAGGCCCCAGTGTGTGATGTTCCCCTCCCTGTGTCCATGGGTTCTCATTGTCCAACTCCCACTTATGAGTAAGAACATGCGGTGTTTGGTTTTCTGTCCTTGTGTTAGTTTGCTGAGAATGATGGTTTCCAGCTTCATCCATGTCCCTGCAAAGGACGTGAACTCATCCTTTTTTATGTCTGCATAGTATTCCATGGTGTATATGTGCCACATTTTCTTTACCCAGTCTATCACTGATGGGTATCTGGGTTGGTTCCAAGTCTTTGCTTTTGTGAATAGTGCTGCAATAAACATACATGTGCATGTGTCTTTATCGTAGAATGATTTATAATCCTTTGGGTATGTACCCAGTAATGGGGTTGTTGGGTCAAATTGTATTTCTACTTCTAGATCCTTGAAGAATCACCACACTGTCTTCCACAATGGTTGAACTAACTTACACTCCCACCAACAGTGTAAAAGCATTCCTATTTCGGATGTGTGAGCCTTTTTATTTACTCTTCTTGAGATTTACTGTACCCTTTAAATCTGTAGTTTAGTATCTTTAATTATTCTTAAAATTTTTAAATTATTATTTCTTCTAATATTTGTTCTTCCCTCTTCTTTTCCTTCTCCTTTTGGGACATCAAATAAAATGTGTATTAGATATTTCAGTTTGTTTTCTATGCCTCTTAATCTTATTTCTATATTTTCTTTTTGTCTCCCCAGATTGCATTCTAGATAACATTTTCTGATTTTTAATAT
The DNA here is from genome assembly GCF_000001405.40 of Homo sapiens. NCBI lineage: Eukaryota > Metazoa > Chordata > Mammalia > Primates > Hominidae > Homo > Homo sapiens. The sequence goes on along the minus strand of NC_000010.11, from coordinate 34,062,788 downwards.
AATGAACACTGTGCTCATAATTATTGTCTGACAACTCTAATATCAAAAGCTCTTGCTTCTGTTAGTTCCTGCTTATGGTGTCTGCCCTCTCTGTTTGCCTCGTTATCTTTGACTGAGTGTTGGTCATTGTACTTGAAAATTATGTTTAGGAATAATTTGAGGCCCAGCCTAAAAGTCCCTTCCTCTGTAGAGGGTTTACGTTTGCTTCTGCAAAGTGCTTGGGGTTACTTCCAGTCTCAGGCACTTAAACCAAGTGTAAAACTTGACATAATATGAGTCTGGATGTAAATCTTTAAGAAGGATTGGTTACTTTTGGTTCACTCTTATCCTAAGAGTGTACCTCTTTTGTGTGCCAGTTTATTTGGAGCCACTTTACCCTTCGTGAACTCTGAACTGTGATCTGTGCCCTCTTTCATTATAAACTGATCAGAATGAAATTCCTATTTTCCCAAATTAGCTAGTGCTGTCAAGGCAAAAGTGCTCTGTCCCTATATACCTCTCAGGGCTATGGGTTCCTTTCCATCTTATATCCTTAAGAAGGTAGTTTATTTATTTTAGTCAGAAAATTTTTATTGTTATCAGCAGAATAATTGGTTCAAAATAACCTCTTATCATTCCCCTAAATAGAAAGCCATTTCTATTTATAATTTGGAGCAGGAAAATGACTAATAGAAGAAGTGCTTCAGTAATGGTTAGCAGGAGAGAAAGATCATTGTAGTAAGAGACTAGAGGCAGCCATGCAGAAGAGGAAGTCTACTTACTCTTGTTACCCAGTGACACAGAACAAAGCCCATGCTCTGACTCTTTGAGTGACTTGGGTATAATACCACAAATGTAACATGAGGTGGAGTAAAATACAATCCATCAGCTATGGTCCATGTAGCAGAATTTGTAGACCTTTTTTAGTTTGTCCTAGAAAATGTTTTAAAGGCAACTGAGAATGTCCATTCATGTTCAAACATATCCGTCATTTTCTTTAGAAGAATGTCTCTGAAAGAAGGGCACTTGAGTTTTATTTTCCAGACTAGAGATTATGGGATGGAATTGCAAGCTATGTGGCCAGTTCATTTTAATTTCAGGACTGGTTCCTTGAGCAAACAAATTGGCCTCAGATGAGAGTTGTCAAAATGTTAGATTCCATAACATTGGAACTCTACAGCAGTGTTTCTCAAAGATGAATGCCCTTGAAAGTCTCTTGATGATCTTGCTAAAATGCAGGTTCCAATTCAGTAGATTGGAGGTGGGGCCAGAGATTCTGCTTTTTCAGCAAGTTCTCAAGTGATTCCAGTGCTGCTGGTCCTCAAACCACATTTCGAGAAGCCAGGTTCTGTAGTTCTCAGAACATTTCACATTGAACCTGGATCTGCCTTTGTCCCCACACCAGGCCTTCCCACACATGGAAAATGTTTTTGGATTTAGTAAGAACTGGGATGTCAAGAGAGGAGCCATCCCCATTGGCAATGCAATGAAGAGCTTCACCTGCACAGCAGGCCCACTTCCTCACAACTGGGATTATCTTTCGGGGTCCCAAAAATGTAAGAAAAACAGAAGGCTGCATGGCACCCTATAGAAGCAGAACACCAAGCCAATCTCAGCCAGCAGTTTCACACTCTACTCTTTCATCAAACATACTGATGATGGTCAGGTGCAGTGGCTCACACCTGTAATCCCAGCACTTTGGAAGGCTGAGGCAGGAGGATCACTTGAGCCCAGGAGTTAGAGGCCAGCCTGGGCCACATAGCAAGACCCTGTTTCTATGAAAAAACAAAACAAAACAAAACAAACAAACAAAAAAACCACACTCATGAACGGTTGTTTTCATTTTTCTTGTTTTTTTTCCCCAGGTTATATTTTAATTAACCTCCTCCATCTTACACCTTGCTTCCTCTAAGAAAATATATTTATTCAAAAAGCTTCATCAGGTAGCAACCCACTAATCAGTGATGTGTGGGGGACAGAGAAGATACCAGAAGTCTTCTCAGAACCACAGAGTCCAGCAGCCCCAAGTCCTAGGTGAGGACTATTCATAACAAGCCCTGCTAAATTGGGGACAAGCGGAGTCCCTTTGTCCAAGATCAGTTCAGTGGTGGGCTCAGTGACTCACGCCTGTCATCCCAGCATTTTGGGAGGCCGAGGCAGGTGGATCACCTGAGATCAGGAGTTTGAGTCCAGCCTGACCAACATGGTGAAACCCTGTCTTTACTAAAAATACAAAAATTAGCCGGGTATGGTGGCAAGCACCTGTAGTCCCAACTATTCGGGAGGTTGAGGTAGGAGAAACACTTGAACCTGGGAGGCGGGGGTTGCAGTGAGCCGAGATTGCACCACTGCACTCCAGCCTGGGTAACAAAGTGAGACCCCATCTCAAAAAAAAAAAACAAAAAAAGCTCAGCTCAGAAAGGGGGTCAGGCAAGTCTGCCAATTTGTAAGAGTGAGGAAAGTCCCAAAAGCAAGATTCTAGTAAATCTAAAGTGCTCCTGGGATTCTATGTCCTTTGGTAGCATAAGATTTGGGCAACACTGAGCAAGCATGGGGAAAAGCCTTTGGAAGTGGTTCTGCCAGGCATCAGGTGGCATCTTTTTGGGTCTCATCTCCCATGAGAGGTTGGAAGAGGCCGTGCATAGGCTGAGGTCTCTGGGAGCCAGAGTGCCTTCCTCCCCAGGCTGCTCAGCCCAATCACTCTTCTACAGCATCACATTCTCCTCCTGACTTTATTTGGGAATCAGTTCTGAGCAACGTGGTTGAGTTTTCAGCCTCACAATCATCATCTAGAACCTCGCTACTCAAAGTGTGGTCCATGGACCAGACTATCAGCCATCACCTCGGGGCTTCTTAAGAGTGTAGCTTCTCAGGATGCACCCCAGATCTCCTGAATCAAAATCTGAGTTTTAACAAGATACCCTGGTGGTTCATGCGCCTATTCGTGTTAGAGAAACGCTAACCTAGAAAGCAGATGCATTTTCTTTTTTCTTTCTTTCTCTTTTTTCTTTTTCTTTTTTTTTTTTTTTTTAGATGGAGTCTTGCTCTGTCACCCAGGCTGGAGTGCAGTGGCGTGATCTCGGCTCACTGCAACGCTTACCTCCTAGGTTCAAGTGATTCTCCCACCTCAGACTCTTGAATAGCTGAGATTACAAGTATGCACCACCATGCCCTGCTAATTTTTGTGTTTTTAGTTGGGGTTTCACTATTTTGGCCAGGCTGGTCTTGAACTCCTGACCTCAAGTGATCCGCCTGTCTCAGCCTTCCAAAGGGCTGGAATTACAGGAATGAGTCACTGTGCCCAGCCAACAGATGTGTTTTCTAAATGAAGATGCTCTTCCCGGCACCACATTTGAAGGCCCGACTGTGGCATGGCCAGGAAAGCAGAGAAAGGCTCTTCGTGAACTCGTTCCTAACAGACAGATTTCTCAAGGAAATGCAAGGCCCGGCCTTAACAGTGTTTATACGGTTTCATTCTCATGTTCTAACTTGTGACTTTGGAGTCGTCTGAAATTTTTCCTTTGATATAATGAGATAAATATATGATCTTGGATTCTCTTCCTCCCTCTTCACTAGACTGTTCCAGAAATAAAGAGTCAGCCATAAGCCTTAGGGGAGTTGAGAGGAAAACTTTTAGAACATGAAATTTTGGTCCAAATGGGATTTTTGCTGGTGTTACTAATTAAGATTCTCTTTAAAACTAGGCCAGCCCTGTGCTCTCCGGTTGGCAGTCTGTTTAGAATCTCTCTGTAAACACGCAGTGGCTTGTACAAATAGGGAGGCTTTACTTTTCCATCATAAAGAGGGCCTGAAATAAATCCCAGACAACTCTAGAAGTTTGTCTTTGCCGTAAAAATAGTGGAATTCATTGAAGGCTGCCTCATTGCACTCAGACAGGGTACAAGCTGGCCAGCTAATTGGCCCTGGGAACCAGCTGGTGGTGGGTTTTCACTCTCTTCAGACTGCGGAAGGGGGGGTCACTCTTAGTTTTCCTTTCCAGGATATTTTTTACAGCTGTCTATTTAGGCGATGTGCATTTTCTTACAGAGCAGGAGTGTCCAATCTTTTGGCTTCCCTGGGCCACATTGGAAGAAGAAAAATTGTCTTGGGCCACACATAAAATACACTAACATTAGCGATAGCTGATGAGCTAAAGAAAAATTGCAAAAAAGTCGCATAATGTTTTAAGAATATTTATGAATTTGTGTTGGGCCGCAGACAAAGCCATCCCGGGCTGCATGTGGCCCGTGGGCTGCGGGTTGGACAAGCTTGCTATAGAGTAAGCCAGACTGCCTGATTTTCAATTAGTGACCCTATACAACTCCAAAGCTTACATGGCTGGTGTCTGGCAACACCATGCCCCGCTTTGAGATAGAATTTTAATCATCAGATCCTGACTTCTGTATTGTTGACTGAGAGAAAGAAAGTTGAGAGTTTCACATCCTTCTCTTTTACATATGCCAAAGGAAGTGCTTGTGTGTGGCCACATTGCCTAAAAACCTAAGTAGCTAAATGGCACTGGGGCTGGAAGAGCCAGAAATGAGCCATCTACACCAGCTTTGAACACTGTGCGAGCCATAACTGTATGCAGAGTGACTGACTGAGCAATTGATTCTCTGCTGGTACAAACTGGCTGGACTTGCCTGACTCCTCATCTGAGCTGGTCTTCTTTAAGGAAGCAACGCCACCGGTCCCCAATTTGTCATGTTCATCTCTGTATACTCAGAGGAAAGGCCAGTGCCCAATATGTAGCAGATTCTTGGTAAATATTTGTGAAATGTGTGAATGGACTGGATCATTCACCTCTTGGAGGTAACTGTTGAAACTGAATCTATTTTCCGCCACTTAATCTGTGCATTTCTGCCCATTTTACATTGCCTACAATGTCCATATATTAGTTTCCCTTACTCACTTGAGGAAGTTTTCCCACACTCAAGCTGATCAAAGTGCTATTGCTTGTGTTAAGGGTAATTGCTTGTTTATCAAATTAAGACACAGAGACAGGGGCTGAAATCCAGTTGCGTTCAGTTCATATACATTTCAGTAGGAATTATAAATATTTTCATATGAAAATTTGCTAAGAGTTCATGTAAATATAGTGCATCTCACAAAATTGCAAACAATTTAACATAGCTATTCTGCACTGCTCAGGGGCTACATAAAGACCTTGCACGTCCAGGCATTAGAATTGCTAGGATAGGCTGGGCGCAGTGGCTCATACCTGTAATCTCAGCGCTTTGGGAGGCCAAGATGGGAGGATTGCTTGAGGCCAGAAGTGCAAGACCAGGCTGGGCAGCAAGGCAAGACCCTATCTCTGTAAAAAGATTAAAAAAATTAGCCAGGGCAGGTGGTGCACGCCTGTGGTCCCAGCTACTTGGGAGGCTGAGGTGGGATAATTGCTTGAGCCCAGGCGTTCAAGGCTGTAGTGAGCTCTGACCGTGCCACTGCACTCCAGCCTGAGTGATGGAGTGAGATCCTCTCTCTAAAAATCAACCAAACAAAAGTTGCCTAATCACATTTGCTGTGATGATGAGGCTGGTTATGGGAGTTAAGGAGAAGGTAGAGGACATCTAGCACAGGCGGGTGGGGACAGGGGTGTGCATCTCTTCCCACTGCACATGGTCGGGACAGCAGGAAGACTCTGGTTCCCAGTGTGCTGGAGTCTTCTTTGTTGAGCTTCTCTTTCCAGTCACATTCTTGGCAGAGAAAGTGGGTGATCCCCTTAGCAAGGAAAGGAAGGGTTAACCCCCAGTCTCCTTCCCAGGTTGGGAGAGTGACACTGTCTTGACACTGCAGTAGCTTTGCCCTATTCAGAGGTGCTGTGTTGAGAGAAGGGATTTTTTTCCTGATCCTTGAAACACCAAAAATCCCTCCATGTTTTCCCTCTAGGTCTTTACCATCAAAGGGGTGAGGGGTCTTGTTCAGCTGAGTGAAGAGTGCCTGGGGGGAGGGCTATCCAGCCGCTATCCAGGGTCAGGAAGAAAAAGGAGTAACAACATTCTTAGCTGTTATCTTTTTTATTGTTAATTTTGATCGAGATCGGATCTTATACTTGTCACCAAGGCTGGAGTGCAGTGGCACGATTACAGCTCGCTGCAATCTCAAACTCCTGGGCCCAAGCGATCCTCCTGCCTCAGCCTCTGCACTCATGCTGTGTCCGGAATTGGTGGGTTCTTGGTCTCACCGACTTCAAGAATGAAGCCGCGGACCCTCGAGGTGAGTGTTACAGCTCTTAAGGTGGCGCGTCCGGAGTTTGTTCCTTCTGATGTTGGGATGTGTTCAGAGTTTCTTCCTTCTGGTGGGTTCATGGTTTCGCGGGCTCAGGAGTGAAGCTGCAGACCTTCGTGGTGAGTGTTACAGCTTATAAAGGCAGTGTGGACCCAAAGAGTGCGCAGCAGCAGGATTTATTGCAAAGAAAGAAAGAACTAAGCTTCCACAGCGTGGAAGGGGACCCGAGCGGGTTGCCACTGCTGGCTCCGGCAGCCTGCTTTTATTGTCTTATCTGGCCCCACCTACATCCTGCTGATTGGTGGAGCCGAGTGGACTGTTTTGACAGGGTGCTGATTGGTGCGTTTACAATCCCTGAGCTAGGCACAAAGGTTCTCCACATCCCCACCAGATTAGTTAGATACAGTGTCCACACAAAGGTTCTCCAAGTCGCCACCAGAGCAGCTAGATACAGAGTGTGGATTGGTGCATTCACAAACCCTGAGCTAGACACAGGGTGCTGACTGGTGTGTTTACAAACCTTGAGCTAGATATAGAGTGCCGATTCGTGTATTTACAATCCCTGAGCTAGACATAAAGGTTCTCCACGTCCCCACCAGACTCAGGAGCCCAGCTGGCTTCACCCAGTGGATCCCGCACGGGGGCTGCAGGTGGAGCTGCCTGCCAGTCCCGCGCCGTGCGCCCGCACTCCTCAGTCCTTGGGTGGTCGATGGGGCTGGGTGCCCTGGAGCAGGGGGCGGCACTCGTCAGGGAGGCTTGGGTCGCACAGGAGCCCACGGAGCGGGGTGGGGGAGGCTCAGGCATGGCGGGCTGCAGGTCCCGAGCCCTGCCCCACAGGAAGGCAGCTAAGGCCCCGCGAGAAATTGAGCACAGCAGCTGCTGGCCCAGGTGCTAAGCCCTTCACTGCCTGGGGCCGGTGGGGCCTGCTCGCAGCTCCGAGTGCGGGGTCCGCCCATCCCCCACCCACCCGGAACTCGCGCTGGCCCGCAAGCACCACGTGCAGCCCCGGTTCCCGCCCGCGCCTTTCCCTCCACACCTCCCCGCAAGCTTAGGGAGCCGGCTCCGGCCTTGGCCAGCCCAGAAAGGGGTTTCCACAGTGCAGCAGCGGGCTGAAGGGCTCCTCCAGTGCCGCCAAAGTGGGAGCCCAGGCAGAGGAGGCGCTGTGAGCGAGCGAGGGCCGTGAGGACTGCCAGCACGCTGTCACCTCTCAGTGCCACCATACTTGGCTAATTTTTTTTGTAGAGATGGGGTCTCACTATATTGCCCAGGCTGGTCTTGAACTCTGGCCTCAAGTGACTCTCCTGTTTTGGCCTCCCAAAGTGTTGGGATTACAGGCATGAACCTGTCCCCGCGGCTGTGTGATCTTGAGCAAGAGCCTCAGCCTCTCTGAGTCTCAGGTGGGCAGGTTCTCATCCCTCAGTGGGTCATTATAACTCACTTGATACATAGCTTGCAGTGTCGTTGTGAGGATTTGGGACACCACTGTTAGGGCTTCTGGCATGCAGTGGTGACAATGGCTGCTGCTGACTGAGCACCTGCTGTTACTCTGACGGAAACTTTTAGAATTAACCATGTAGGTTCCAAAGGGTGTTATCAGCCTTATATGCTAATCTGGTATCATATCAATAGGAGGAGAGATGGCAAATGTTTCTTCACATTCGCCCAGCTTCCTTTAGAAACTTCCCTTGCCTTGTAACAAGAGGCACACATAGCCATGGGCCAGCACCGTGACCCCACGTCAAAGCTTCCTTACTAGAGCACACTCAGCTAGGAAAGCAGTTAAACTCGGATGATTCTTCCTGGGTGTTTAAAAAAATTCCCTAGACAATTCTGTTATGCTTGTTGGGTTACAATCACTATCCAGAAAGCCCCACTGCTGTGTTAATTTATGCAAAATCCCTGTAGAATTCACTTTCCCTACAAGGTTCTTTTAAAAGAAATTTTGAAACAATCTCAATATTACAGAAAAGTTGCAAACACAGTACTTTCTTTTTTCTGGAACCATTTGAGATTAAGTTGTTGACAAAATGCCCCATGATTTCTGTATTATTATTATTATTATTATTACTATTAGAGACAGGTTCTTGCTCTGTCACCCAGGCTGGAGTGCAATGGTGCAATCATAGCTCACTGCAGCTTCGACCTCCTGGGCTCAAGCGATCCTTCTGCCTCAGCCTCCGAAGTACCTGGGACTACAGGCACCCACCACCAAGGCTGGCTAATTTTTAAATTTTTTGTAGAGCTGGGGCCTCCCAGTGTTGCCCAGGGTGGTCTCAAACTCCTGGGCTCCAACAATCCTCCCTCCTTAGCCTCCCAAAGTGTTTGGATTACAGACGTGAGCCACCATGCCCACCTGATTTCTGAATTCTTGAGTATGTACTTTCTACAAACAAGGGCATTCTCCTATATAATCATAATGCAGTCATCAAAGTAATGATGTTAAAAATGATACCTTTCTTACTATTTGACTCAGTGATCCCATTACTGGTTATATACCCAAAGGATTATAAATCATGCTACTCTAAAGACACATGCACATGTATGTTTATTGCGGCACTATTCACAATAGCATAGACTTGGGACCAACCCAAATGTCCATCAATGATAGACTGGATTAAGAAAATGTGGCACATATACACCTTGAAATACTACACAGCCATAAAAAAGGATGAGTCCATGTCCTTCGTAGCGACATGAAAGAAGCTGGAAACCATCATTCTGAGCAAACTATCGCAAGGACAGAAAACCAAACACAGCATGTTCTCACTCATAGGTGGGAATTGCACAATGAGAACACTTGGACACAGGGCAGGGAACATCACACACCGGGGCCTGTCGTGGGGTGGGGAGATGGGGGAGGGATAGCATTAGGAGAAATACCTAACGTAAATGATGAGTTAATGGGTGCAGCAAACCAACATGGCACATGTTTACATATGTAACAAACCTGCACGTTGTGCACATGTACCCTAGAACTTGATTTAAAAAAAAAGAAAACAAAAGATCCATTTCTACAATTGAATCCTCTGACCTCATTCCAACCTTACCAGTCGTCCCAGCAAGGGTGTGGATAGCAAAAGGATAGACTCTAGAGTCAGGCATTGCGTTCAGTTGTCATGTCACTGTAGTCTTGCAGTCTGGAGCAGTTTTTCAGTCTTGGTTTGACTTTAGGACCTTGACATTTTTGAAGATTACAGGCCAGATGAATGTAGAATGACTCTTCTCTGATGCATTTTCATGATTTGATTTTGATCATGTATTTTTGGCAGAAATATCACAGAGATGATACTATGTTCTTCTTAATGCATCCTACCAGGAGGTACACAACTTCAGCCAATTTGTCCCATTAATGGTGAGGTTGACTTCAATACTTGGTTATGATATCTATCAGACTCCTCCACATCACATTTATTCTTTACCTTTTGTAATTAATAAGCATTTTGAGTAGAGGAACTAGGAATTATGTAAGTATTCTGTTGCTCCATAAACTTTCAATCTATCCATATTTATATCAATATAGATTCCTGTTTTTCTTTGTTACTTATTAAGTTATTGTATCAATCTATTCAGTCTGTTCTCGCAGACAGGTATAAAAAAATACCTGAGACTGAGAAATTTACAAAGAAAAGAGGTTGAATTGGCTCATGGTTCCACAGGCTGAACAGGAAGCATAGTGGCCTCTGCTTCTGGGGAAGCCTCAGGAAGCTTTCAATCATGGCAGAAGGCAGAGCAGGAGTAAGCATCTTACGTGGCGGGAGAAGGAGCAAGAGGGTGGGGAGGTGCTACACACTATTAAACAACCAGATCTCATGAGAACACACTCACTATCATGAGAACAGCGCCAAGAGGATGGTGCTAAACCATTCATGAGAATCTGCCCCCAAAATCCAATCGCCCCCCACCAGGCCCCACCTCCAATACTGGGGATTACAATGGAAGAAAGATGAGATGTGGGTGGGGACACAGATACAAACCATATCAGTTATGATCCATTTTTAACATTATTTTGATTCTCTAAATGCCCTAGATTTGGCTTCTGTGACTCATTGTCCCCAGTTATTATTTGAACACTTCCTTCTTTTCTGGAACAATTAGATGTTTCAACTCATTCTTACTTTTCCTACCTGGCATGCAGTGATGACAATGGCTGCTGCCATTTCCCCAAGGAGCCCTGTTTCCTTTCAGTGGAGGAGGGTATTTAGAGGCCAACTTCTGGGTCCTGAGTGTGCCCATTACTATTGTTACTCTGTCAGTGGACAGAGAGTGACAGGGTATATATGTTTGTAGGGGATCAGTGTATGTACATGCAAACACACATATATATATACATACATTTACCTTTATACTCATGTCTACATCTATATCAAAGTCTATTTATCTATCCATCTATTTTGAAAATCCCAAGGAATCATATCAATACTTTCAGTTCCAATTCCTCTCTTTACATATTTATAACTTCCTTCTTTTGACAGCGAAAAACCTGAATCCCATTGTTCTTGTTTTTGGTTTGCTTGTTCTTTGTTTTGCTTGTTCTTTGTTTTTGGTTTGCTTGTTTCCTTATTTGCTCAATTGTTCTTGTTCTTGGTTTGCTTGCTTGCTTATTTGCTCAATTCTTTAGTATGTTTCCAGTGCTTACTGAAGCCATCCCCACACAGAGATCCCCTCACCCCACGCAGGCTCACCCCTACATCAACATTCACCCATACGTTGGTAATGCTTTTGAAAGGAACTATGTGAAGACAACAGTTAACAGTTCCTATTATTGCAGAAAGCTTTTACCAAACATGTACTTTGATTTTACACTTCTGAACACAGTGATCCCCTACTGATTCCCCTACTGCTGCCCCCCAAGGGAGGACACCCTCCTTCTGTGCTTGGGGTTTGATGCCCTTTGTAGGTGACCCATCTGAGAAGATGTCCTCCTCATCCTTTTTGGCCTCTTCATCACTCTGGACCGCTGCAGCTCCCTCACTCCAACTCTTGCTCTACCCCACCTGATAGCTCTAAGACTACATAGTTCAGGGAAGGGAAGGAAGAGGAAGGGCCACACCACATTTTATAATTTGGATTACAAGTCTTTTCTTAGTTGGAAAGATTATCTCAGTTAGTTTGAATCAGTCCCAAACTTGAGCTGGCTTCAACCCCATCCTTAGGATGAGACAGAAGCTTCCGTACTACACTGTGATGCTTTTGCTGTGGTTCTAGTGAAATAGCACCCTCTATTTTCTCTGAGTGGAGCACCAGGAGCAGAGGTTTCCTTCCTAGCTGCACACTGTTCACCAACTGCATTTTGAGTGCTCTTTTTCTCCTCCCTTTTCTTTGCTTCTGTATCCCAAATCCAACAACCAACCAACCAACCAAGCAATCAACCAACCAACAAACCAACCAAGCAATCAACCAACCAACAAACCAACCAACCAATCAACCAACCAACCAGCCAACTAATCAACCAACAACCAACAAACCAACCAACCAAAAGAACTTTCACAACCTTCAATGCTTCCTGCTGATGCAATGGTAAAGGATAATAACACTCTGGTTTTAAGTGAGAAACACACAAAAACCATAGCTCCTTTTCATTCCAAGTGTTACCTAAAAGACTACCATCTCACTCAGCCTCTTCATTATATCTGGCTGTTTCTTTCTTTCTTTCTTTCTTTTTTTTTTTTTGAGATGGAGTTTTGCTCTTATCACCCAGGCTGGAGTGCAATGGGGAGATCTCGGCTCACTGCAACCTCTGCCTCCTGGGTTCAAGCAATTCTCCTGCTTCAGCCACACGAGTAGTTGGGATTACAGGCGCCTGCCACCACGTCCAGCTATTTTTTTTTTTTTTTTTTTTGTATTTTTAGTAGAGACAGGGTTTCACCATGTTGGCCAGGCTGGTCTTGAACTCCTGACCTCATAATCTACCTGCCTTGGCCTACCAAAGTGCTGGAATTATAGGCGTGAGCCACCATGCCCAGCCTCTGACTGTTTCTTGATGTCTCACTACAACCATACCCTCCTTAGAGGAACGCTCTGCTCTTATTGTTTCTACCCCTTTTGGGTGGGCTATTTAAGCATACACGCTTGCCCCCCATAGATGCAGAGACATATGTTATATAAGTGTGAGGAACTGCACCGAAGTCATTATTCCACATCACGTTTCTGCTTTGCTGCCCACCGGCTTCTTGGTTTCTTGGCAACATTACTCATCCATTTCAGAATAAGGCTTATACTTAAAAGCATGGTCCTGGTTCCTTGTATTCAGAAGTGTAAAATAAAAGCAGATATTTGGTAAAAGCTTTCTGCAATAATAGGAACTTTAGACTGTTGTCTTCACATAATTCCTTTCAAAAGCATTACTAACGTATGGGTTAGCATTGATGTAGGCAATGTCGCTTGAAGTGGGAGGAATGATATTTACAAAATTCTCTTAGTTGTTGACGTTAGTTTCCTGGATTTTTTTCTTTTAAACAAACCTTAATGGAACAAATGAGATGACAAAATACGCTGAAAGCATCTGAAACACGAGATCCACCTACACTTAACCTCCAGAAATCATCTCGACAAGCCTGAATGCTTGTTTGCAGTGGGCGTCTCCAAGGCTGACTCACAACTCCTGCTCTGAGCTCAGGACCTCCGCGCTGATCCCTCACACACTCTCATCTTTTGCCTTGATGTCATCCAGCAAGGCTAAAGCAAGCCCCCTCTCAACTGTTCCGAACCCCTGGAACTTCTCTCAAATGAGTTTGGTTTTTGAATGGTGCCTGGAGGGAAGAATTTCCTAGCACTTGATTTACATTATTTTCCTACTGTGCTTTAGATATCATTTTAAAAATTCCATTCACACGACGAGAGGAAATAGTTTCAAGAAAGTAAAGGGGCTGAAAATCTATCTCCTCTGCATATCCCTAGTTCCCACTCTGCCCCACTGTCAATGACTCACAGAATCAGACCAGCAGGCGTGGCCAGAATGACCCTCTCTGGAGGCAACAAAGATGATTTTTTAAAAATTTTTAGTTTTTATGGGTACATAGTAGATGGATATATCTATGGAGTACATGTGATGTTTTGAGACAGGCATAGAGTGCATAATGCATCAGAGTAATTGGGGTATCTATCACCTCAAGCACTTGTCATTTCTTTGTGCAAAGATGATTTTTTAAAAACTAGATGAGAAGGGGATGTGGCTCTTTCAAGTGGCTTCATTCTTCTCCCCTTGTAAACGGCAAATTTGCTTCTCAGAGTTGGACGGAATGTGTTAAGAGTGTTGGGCATATGGCCTTAGTTTTCACTCTGTAGGCCATTGCTTTTCAGGAGAGAAATCTGGGTAGCAAGACAGTGTGCTTCATGGATGAGAAGGTGCCAGCAACTCAGGGTTCTCCTGGCAAGGAGGGGTGGTCGTTCCCAAGCAGGGGAGGTGCAGGGCATTGAGAACATCAGTGCTCAGAGTTCCTTAGGGAAGCTGGAGCCGTAATGTCCTAATTTTTCACAAGGCTAAACTGATAGAATTTGTAGACAGCAAAGTGCTTAAATTAAATCCAGCTCAGTCAAGTATGTCTAGAGATGTCCCTTGAAGAGATGCTTAGAGAAGTGATCAATATGGTCTGATCATGATCCTTAATGGGGCTGGTTTTCAGACTGGTGTGGAGAGAAAATGACTATTGTTTTGAAATTGGACAGCTCATGATGAAGTACCTGTTCTTTGTGTGTGAACCCGCACTCTGTTGATTGACAGGGGCAATGGACCAAGCTGCCCCGGTGAGCTGGTCCAACAGAAAAGACTTGTCCTTGGCCATGTGACATGCCCACCATTGCCTGACTGATAGGCTGAAAGGTCTGGGGCCATTATCATGTCCCTATTGTCTGTCTATCTGGTGTACCACCTAGAGCCCCACCATTCCTATTTGTGACGTGAAGCGGATGTCATGTGAAGACTTGTGGAAAATCAACTTGATATTGCCAATTCTATTGTTTAAGACTAAACACAGGACCCCGCCAAGTAGCTGATGGTCATCTACCATCATTATACTGGGTTCTTCAATATTTCTCTCACTAGTTAGCTTTCAATGCCCTACGTTTCTATCTTTAGGCAGCACTTTTAGTATCAAGATACCGAAGGTGTTAAAATGCACCCTGGGGCACATAAAAAATCTTCATACTTTATTAATACTGCTTTATGGGTTAATTGGTCACCTTAACTAGCCAAGCAGACCCCCCCACAAAATGGCACAGGAGGTAGGCACACTTTGGTCTGGGAGAAGGAAGGGATGGCTGGTAACTGGATTTTGTCTTCCCCTAATCAGAGGACAAAAACAGTCAACAATTACAATTAGCACCAACTTTGAAATAGACAAAGATAAGCTACTTTCCACTGAGAAAAGGGAGTCTTTTCTCAGTGAGGTTTCTGTGGGCTTATTCTTGGTGATAGTTGGGGGTACGGCTTGTAAGGCATTTGAAACTAACACCAAGAAACTTGGACTTTGGGGCCAAGCAGACCTCCCAGGTGTTCAGATGGGTAGAAGCCACCCCCTGAAAGGGGGGTGATAACTCAGGCATTCAACAAAAGCAGTTCAGGGAACATTATGCGGCTTTACATCTCTTCGTGTACGTAGCGGGCTTGGGAATGGTGCTGAACAAAACTAAATGATGTTCCAAGGCAGATGCTCTGAATGATCGTCATCTCCTGAACAACTGCCTTCCTGCTTGCTTGCCATGGGCTTGGGCACTACAACTTGGGCCCAAGGTCCCATGGCAGCACAGACAAGACCGAATTGCATGGAGATTTCCTGTCTCTGTGTCTTCTGCCCCAGCCGTCTCTCTGAGTGTTCCTTGGCTTGGTGTAGGTGCTGCATTATTGGTGATAGAGTGGACCACAAGACTGCCTAGAAAGACACTAAACTGGAGGCTTCTAAGCTTGAGCCAGAAATGAAAGCTAAGTAGAGTGATGAAAGCTCTTTTGGAAGGAGAAAATGTTCCCGCAGCCGCCTTCTCCTGCCACTGCTGTTTTCTGGTGTGGATGACAGAACTCAATAATCACGCGTGACTCCATGTTTACGCCTGGCTCCCAGCAGAAAAGTCTGTTGTGGATCTAAGAGTAGGAGTTTGGTAACATTTTGCCCTTGGGGGTTTGTGTGAAGGGAAATACGCAAAATCTTTTTTAGCTTTGACTTCTGTGATTCTATGGAAACAAGGCAGCAGTGCTGAGAATCCAATGAAAGATGGAAAAGCTAAGACGGCAAAGCTTTGAGGTCGAAAGAAGAGAGGGAGGGTGGGAGAAGGGATAATAGGATTTATTTGAGACTCTGCTTGGCTATTCACTTTTGTCTCCGAGATCTGAAGTAGGAACTTTTTCAATGGGCTGTTGATTTGGATCTGAGAGGGAGAGTTATTGGTTGTGTTTGGAGAACAGCTTTGGATAAGAGAGAGAAAGGGTATCTGGACACCCAATTGTCTGGGTATTTTCAACCTTGTCTTGTTAATAATGCTTTGGGGTCTTCCTGCCCCATTTAGAACAATGGAAGCATAAGACAAGATTTAATTCGAATTGTGGTTTTGATTTATTGTAATAGTGTGAAGGGAAAACCTCAAAGGCTCTGAAATTCAGTTCTGGGATTGTCTGTGTGCCCAGGTCTAAGACTCTGGTGGAGGTGCACGGTGCTTGCCCCATCTCCATCTGTGACACACGGCTGCATCTTCGGGACGCAAGCTGCATTTGTGGCAGATGGCCAGACAGCTCTCGGAGTTCAGAGTGAGTGTGTGGATATTTACATACACACAAACACGCCGGGAGCAGCTGTCTGCCAGTGTCTCCCTCGCAAAATGGAAGACACGGCCTCTTAGGTCAGTAGCCTTGAGCCATTGTCACCACACTCCCTGTACATCCTCTGACAGTGACCATCAAGGTGGAAGGAACACAGGGCTGGCCTCCCTGTGGGCCTGATCTTATCTTTCTCTGAGGGTCCATCTGAGGAGCCATCTTTCCCTCTTTGATTACACAAAGTTGTGCAGTTGGGGAGACAGATTGGAAATGAGGAGTGCTTGTGAGAAAGGTTGGTTATTGACCTCAGTGAATTTGAGACACCAAAGAATGTAGCCAGATGCTCAGTTCAGCGCCCGGGCTTGAACTTCAGAAGACCAGCTGGTATCAGTCTGATCTCCTTTACATTTCTCTGCTTTCTTCCATACCAGTGAAGTTTTGGATGTTAAATTATCTGATTAAAAAATAATATGTGACAAGCCATGGAAGAAGGGGAACTCTATCTAGGACTGAATACAAATGAGACAAATGGATGAGGATGTTACTCAGGCATTTAATAGAATCCACTTAGATCCTGTTATAGGAAAGATTCTGAAGATGTTTAACAAGTGCTTGTTTGCCAATATTCTCCTCTGAAAGCATTTCGGAGCTGGGGTGGCTGTCACCCTCCATGCTGAACATGCATGCTCGACACCCAGAGTCCCTTAGGAAGTCACCATGTCACAGTGATGACACTGGTGCAGGTGTACATGTAAATGTCGGCCTGGCTGCAACTTCCACTCACACGACCAGTACCTATGGGAATGGCAGGATCTTTCTGGTCAGCTGGTACTTGTGTGATAAACACTTCTATTTCTCTGCATAGTTGCGTAACCCATCACTAGTTTTAGCCTAAGCTTTTCTCCTTGAGACACTTCCATCACCTTCAACATCAGGGAATGTTGGGGGTTCAGGGAGTCTTAAGAGTCTGGCTCAACAAACATATGAAAAAGCCTCAATATCACTGATCGTTAGAGAAATGCAAATCAAAACCACAATGAGATACCATCTCACATGAGTCAGAATGGAGATTATGAAAAAGTCAAGAAACAACAGATGCTGGCAAGGCTGTGGAGCAATTGGAACGCTTTTTACACTGTTGGTGGGAGTGTAAATTAGTTCAACCACTGTGGAATACAGTGTGGTGATTCCTCAAAATCTAAAACCAGAAATACCATTTTACCCAGCAATCTCATTATTAGGTGTATACCCAAAGGAATATAAATCATTCCATTATGAAGATAAATGCACATGTATGTTCATTGCAGCACTGTTCACAATAGCAAAGACATGAATCAACCCAAATGCCCATCAATGATAGACTGGATAAAGAAAATGTGGTACATATATACCACGGAATAATATGCAGCTATAAAAAGGAATGAGATCATGTCCTTTGCAAGGACATGGATGAAGCTGGAAGCCATTATCCTCAGCAAACTAACACAGCAACAGAAAACCAAACACTGCATGTTCTAACTTATAAGTGGGGGCTGAACAATGAGAACACATGGACACAGGGGGAACAACACACACTGGGGCCTGTTGGCGGGGTGAGGAGGGAGAGCATCAGGATAAATAGCTAATGATGCACGTGGGGCTTAATACCTAGGTGATGTGTGGATGGGTGCAGCAAACCACCATGGCACACGTTTACCTATATAACAAACCTGCATGTCCTGCACATGTATCCTGGAACTTAAAATAAAATGAAGAATTTTTAAAAAGTTTGGCTCTGCTTCCAAACAGCAGTCAGAGAAAGAACTGAGAGCCTGATCGGTTGTTTAGCACGGATGCTTCTGTGCTCAGAATGAGGTAGTTGTCGCTGGGAAAAGTGATCCTGCAGTGATGCCTGATGGACGGCTCTCCTCTGCTTGACAGCTTGGCCTGGATCCCGAGTGTGTCTCGGTTGTATATCCCAAGTTCACTGGGCTTTAGGAATGCCACCCCTTTCATTCATGCCCACATTCCCAGGCATTTGTTCCAAAATGCTGCTTCGTGCTGGCCTGGCCCCTGCTGAGCCCCAGTTCCCAGCACAGACCTTCCCCTTTCCCTCTTTTTCTGTTTTGTTTTGTTTTTGAGATGGAGTCTCACTCTGTCACCCTGTGATCTTGGCTTACTGTAACCTCCGCCTCCCTGGTTCAAGCAATTCTCACACCTCAGCCACTTGAGTAGCTGGGATTACAGGTGCCGCCACCATATCTGGTTAACTTTTTGTATTTTAGTGGAGACAGGGTTTCGCCATGTTGGCCAGGCTGGTCTCAAACTCCTGACCTCAGGTAATCCTTCTGCCTCGGCCTTCCAGAGTGCTGGGATTACAGGTGTGAGCCACTGTGCTTGGCTTCCTTTTCCCTCTTGTAAACATCCTGTTGGGATCCTCTGGGTCTTTTCCAGCCACAGACCACAGTCAGGGTCCCTCCCCTGGCTTGTGCCAGCCAGTTTATCAGAGTTTCTGAACTGGACACCAAGGGCCTAGACTCCCCCTGGACACTGGCACACCCTCTCTGCAGAACTGTCTATGCCAAAGGGCCTCTTGGGATTTTCCTCTAGCCACAAACGTGTCTCTTCTGCATTTTCCTCACACCAATGGGAACCTGATGGCTCCACATTCATTTAACTAAGAGAAGCAGCTCAAGCTATTCTTTTCCTAAGAGTGAAAGTCAACTCTGGGCAGGGTGCAGTAACTCACACCTGTTATCTCAGCAGTTTGGGAGGCTGAGGCAGGAGGATCCCTTGAGGCCAGGAGTTTGAAACCAGCCCGGGCAACATAGTGACATCTCATCTCTACAAAAAATAAAAAACAAAATTAGCTGAGCGTGGTGGTGTATGCCTGTAGTCCTGGCTACTTGGAAGGTGAAGGCAGGAGAATCACTTGTGCCCAGGAGTTCAAGGCTGCAGTGAGCTGTGATGGTGCCACTGCACTCCAGCCTGCGCAACAGTGAAAGACTCCATTTCTAAAAACAATTTTAAAATGAAGAAAAAAGAGAATCAGCTCTGTATTTACTTGTTGGCTACACCGAGGAAGAGAGAAGCGTCTGAGCATCAGGTAAAACCCGCCCTTCTCAGCACTCTGCCTCGACTGTAAAGAATGGAGCAGAACTGTCCTGACTGAGACGGGTGTTCACACTCCGAGTGGAGTGGATGGAAGTGTGTCCGCAATGTCCCTAAATTCCACCCATGCAGACAGCATGCCCTTGGTCCAGGCAGGCCCCAGATGTCCCTGCTCCTTGCTTTTATAACATACTCCTTGTCCCTCCACCATCTGTCATGGTCCTGGGGGTCTCAGGGGTCTCTACTTCATTCAGCTCTCTCCTTGGGGAGCCTTTCATCTGCCGGTACACGGTCATGACACCTCACTCTGCCCCCAATGGCCCTTCACTCATTCTACATCACAAATGTCCGTTCTGTTCTTGTCTAGACCTACTAAAATATCATTTCCTTGAGGGAGGGGCTTTGTCTTGTTCATCCAAGTCCCTCCCCACTCCCTCAAATCTCTCAGCACAAATCTCTCTGCACACATCATGCAGCTGGCATCATGCAAATGTTTGACTCAATGGACTAAGGGCAGTCCAGGCAGCAGTCATGGGCGGCCAGAAAAAGGATGGAATTGACAGAAAGCCAGGGGGACAGGAGCTCTGGGGTAGTCGAAGGCAGCCTGGCAAACCCTGAAATGGTGTCATGTTTGGTGTCCTAGAATGCACTGTGTTGCGAAGTGACACCAGAGACAACATCCTCTTCCGGACAAAAACACTCTGTATGGACTTGGGAAAGTCATTTACTATTATTAACAAACAATAACTGTAATAGTTACCATGTTAGGAACTTTGCTTCCATAATCTAATTTCATCCACTCAAGAAAGCTAGTCAGTATTATTATTATTATTATTATTTTGACATAGGGTCTCACTATACAACCCAGGCTGGAGGGCAGTGGTGTGAACATGGCTCACTGCAGCCTCAACCTCCCCAGGCTCAGGTGATCCTCCTACCTCAGCCTCCCAAGTAGCTAGGACCACAGGCACACACCACCATGTCAGCTTAATTTTTGTATTTTTTGTAGAGACAGGATTTTGCCACGTTGCCCAGGCTGGTCTTGAACTCCTGAACTCAAGCAATCTGCCCACCTTGGCCTCCCAAAGTGTTGGGATTACAGGTGTGAGGCACTGCGCCTGGCCAGTAAGTATTATTATTTCTGATTCTTATTTTATTGTTTTATTATTTTATTTTTTTGACACTGAGTCTCGCTCTGTCACCCAGGCTGGAGTGCAGTGGTGCTATCTTGGCTCACTGCAACCTCTGTCTCCGGGCTTCAAGCGATTCTCCTGCCTCAGCCTCCCGAGTAGCTGGGATTACAGGTGCCCGCCACCATACCCAGCTAATTTTTCTATTTTTAGTAGAGACAGGGTATTGCCATGTTGGCCAGGCTGCTCTCGAACTCCTGGCCTTAAATGATCTGCCCACCTTGGCCTTCCAAAGTGCTGGGATTATAGGTGTGAGCCACCACCCCTGGCCTATTTCTGATTTTTAGATTAAACAGAAGCTCAGAATTTATACTTGGTAATTGCAGAGCTGAGATGCAAATGCATGAGTGTTGTGTTTCTGCTACATCAGACTGCCTCCCACTGGCCTCCTTGGCACCCCACTAAGCTGCCTCCAGGTTTCCCCCCAGTTCTTGGATCCCAAGGCTGGGCTCTGCAGTCAAGATGGCGATGCCCGCATTAGAGAGCACTGACGGAGTCCTTCCGTCTTCTCACCATCAGAGCCTGCCTGGATTGCTATGGTGGGCAGGATTGACAACCTCCAGATAACCCTTCTATAGCTTACATCACTTCTTGAAAGAATTCATTAATGCAAAATTTTATGAAGACATAAAATATGGGCTTAATGAGAAATACTGAACTTACACTGAGAAATGAGAGCTGCAGTTTGCTATCAGTTGCTTTTTTTTTTTTTGAGATGAGGTCTCACTCTGTTGCCCCAACAGGAGTGTAGCAGCACAATCATGGATCACTGCAGCCTCAACCACCTGGGCTCAGGCAATCCTTCCACCTCAGCTTCCCAAATAGCTGGGACTACAAGTGTGTGCCACTACTCCAGCTTAATTTTTAAAATTTTTTTGTAGAAACAGGGTCTCACTATGTTGCCCAGGCTGATCTCAAACTCCTGGGCTCAAGCAATCCTCCTGCTTCAGCCCCTCAAAGCGCTGGGATTACAGGCATGAATCCAAACACCCAGCCAGCTAACTTTAGCATAGCCATTATGCAATAAACCATATGCAATAGACATGGACATGGTTGGTGGCTTAGTTTCCTGTTGCTGCTAGGACAAATGACCACAAATTTAGTGGCTCAAAACAACACAAATGCATTCTCTTACAGATCTGGAGGTCAGACTTCTAAAATCAAGGTGTTTGCAGGGCTGATGCCTTCTGAAGATTCCAGGAGAGAGCCTGCTTTCTTTCTTTCTATTTTTTTTTTTTTGAGATGGAGCTTTGCTCTTGTCCAGGCTGGAGTGCAGTGGTACGATCTTGGCTCACTGCAACCTCTGCCTCCCAGGTTCAAGCGATTCTCTGCCTCAGCCTCCTGAGTAGCTGGGATTACAGGCACCTGCCACACACTGGGCTAATTTTTGTATTTTTAGTAGAGATGGGGTTTCACCATGTTGGCCAGGCTGGTCTTGAACTCCTGCCTTCAGGTGATCCGCCCTCTTTGGCTTCCCAAAGTGCTGGGATTACAGGTGTGAGCCACCGCGCCCAGCCTATTTCCAGGTTTTAAAGACTCCCGGCCTTCCCTGCTGTGTGGCTGCATCACTCTTATCTAATTCCATCACCACATGGTTTTCTTTCTCTTTTGACCTTCTTACCTCCCTCTTAAAATGACCCTTGTGATTCCAGAGTCCACCCGACAGTGTAGGATCATCTCCCCATTTCAAGAGCCTTCATTTGATCACATCTTCAAAGTCCCTTTTGCCAGGTAATAGTCACAGCTTCTGCAGAGTAGGACTTGCGCACCTTTGGGTGGCAGTTATTTGGCTTGCCATGGTTAGTTTCTGATTTCTCACTTCAACTAAGGAATAGGAAATGCTCTCTGCAAAGTACGGCTAAGAGAAGAGTGTCTGTTTTATTCAGATCCAGTGACTGTTCTAAGTTCTGTGTTCCATCTTAATTATTGCTTCCTCTCTTTGGTGGGGGATTGCCACCCTCCTCGTCCTCTCCTTACCCACCTCCTTCAACATGGCTCTGTGTTGAGGTGTTGCTTTTTGATATCTCACACATAACCAGAGGACGTTTAACTCCAGTGACATTTACCATGGAATTGCTAATGAGGCTTTGCTTAGCGTCAATAAACTCTACGAAATTCCAGCTGCCTGCTTTACTTAATACCCCAGAATGGCTGCTGGATGCTGCATCTCACCTTCCTACTTGACTTTGAGGGCTCAGGGCCTATTGCGCGTGAGTTCTCTGAAGAGCTGCAATTGCAAGGAGGTTGGGGACCCCTCTTGGCAGATGCCAACGCCAAGAGGCTTCCCAGAACGTCGTCAAAGCTCTCCTCTCTGGCTGATCAAGCATGTTTTTGTATAACAATCTCATGCTAAGGATGGTGTGAGCGAATCCAGAACTAATACTTTGCTAGAGAACAGTGGTTGGAGGGGAAAGAACTTCAATGATGAGCAGGTTTAGTGGTAAATAAAAGATATTTGTTCTTGCACATTCTCACAGCCCTTCGAGGCCAACAATACCATACCGATGCTTCCTCTATGCATTCACCTAAAAATGGAATTGGATCCAAGAGTGCCCTGGGCTGTCTGAAGAATTACATTTCTCTAGGCCCTTGAGATTGCTAAACACTCTGGAGTTTTTCAATCAACGGTGAGTTGGAAACTCATGGAGTAGCATACCCCATGTTTTACAAGGTGGAGAATTTCATAGTTGCTAGGATTTCTTGAAAGAAAATTAGGCCAGGCATGGTGGCTCACACTTGTAATCCCAGCACTTTGGAAGGCTGAGGCGAGTGGATCACGAGGTCAGGAATTTGAGACCAGACCAGCCTGGCCAACATGTCCAAACCCTGTCTCTACTAAAAATACAAAAATTAGCCGGGCATGGTGGTGCATGCCTGTATTCCCAGCTATTTGGGAGGCTGAGGCAGGAGAATCCTTGGAACCCAGGAAGTGGAGGTTGCAGTGAGCTGAGATAGTACCACTGCACTCCAGCCTGGGTGACAGAGCAAGACTCCGTCTCAAAAAAAAAAAAAAGAAAAAAGAAAATTAGTCAGATTCTGGGAGGAGATGGGGCTGGGGAGATATCTGCTTGCTTCTGTGGCTTGCAAGGGAAACCTGGGAAGTACATCACCCTTGAGTTCCCCAGTGGTGGCAAAGAGTCTGACATAGTCAAGCAGGTGGTGGTCACCCCCAGCTGGAAGGTGGGGGATGTGGGAATGGACAGGGGAGGTAGGGGAGAAAGCAGCAACGAAAACAGAAAGAGATTTGTTTTTCCCCAACTTTTTATTAAAAAAATTTTAATCTACAGAAAAGTTGAAAAGAAAAAAACCAGAGCAAATACCCTAGTTTTACCAATCATCGTTTAGCTACTTTTTTTTTTTTTAATAGGGTCTCACTCTGTCACACAGGCTGGAGTGGAGTGGTGTGACCATAGCTCACTGCAGCCTTGAACTCCTGGGCTCAAGGAATCCTCCCATCTCAGCTTCCCAAGTAGCTGGGACTAATAGGTGTGTACCACCATGCCCTGCTAACTTTTTTTTGTAAGATGGGGTCTTGCTGTGTTGCTTGGGATGGAGTGCAGTGGCATTCCTGGGCTTAAAGTGATTCTCCCACATCAGCCTCCTGAGTAGCTGGGACTAGAGGTGCACTCCACCACATCCTGCTATTTTTTTTTTTTTTTGGTAGAAACAGGGTCTTGCTATGTTGCCCAGGCTAGTCTCAAACTCCTGGCCTCAAGCGATCCTCCTCACTCAGCTTCCCAAAATATTGGGTCTACAGGCATGAGCCACCATACCTGGCCATAGCCAAGTTTGCTTTCTGTCTCTCACACACACAGATAGATATGCATGTATACATATATTTATATGTATATGTCTCTATATATGCATATATGTAAAAACATACACATATATACGCCTTTTTTCTGAGCTGTTTGAAAGCAAGTTTAAGATGTCATGACACTTCATGCCTAAATACTTTGGCTCATGTAGTTCCAAAGACCAAGGACATTCACATATATCACCACACCATTATGATTGCACCTAGCTATAATATTTAATATACAGCTCCATTCACATTGCTTCAAATACCCAAAGTTTTTTTTTTAACTTTTGTTTTTCAATGCATAAGAAGGAAAGATTTGTAATAGCTTTTTTTCTTTCCTTGAAAGTAGAAAAATTGGGGCTGGGCGTGGTGGCTCATGCCTATAATCCCAGCACTTTGGGAGGCCAAGGTGGGCAGACCACTTGAGGTCAGGAGTTGGGGACCAGCCTGGCCAACATGGTGAAACCCTGTCTCTACTAAAAATGCAAAAATTAGCTGGGTGTGGTGGTGCTCGCCTGTAGTCACAGCCACTCGGGAGGCTGAGGCAGGAGAATCGCTTGAACCCGAGAGGCAGAAGTTGCAGTGAGCTGAGATCGTGCCACTGAACTCCAGCCTGGCGACAGAGAGAGACTCTGTCTTAAAAAAAAAAAAAAAAAAAAAAGAAAAAAAGAAAAAGAAAAAAAAACACAGAAATTGGAGAAGCAGGAGAAATGCCTGCAAAAGATTATTAGGAATCTTTTTGGTATAAATTATTCTTTAAAAATCACACCCTGTCATTGTCATGGAATCTATTCTAAAAAAATTTATTCGTGGATTCTGGCAACAGACTATTTCTTTGAATTCAAGTTGACAGAAAGACCAAGTCTTGATAGACCACGGTGGTTTTTTAGTTTTCTTTTTAGTTTTTTTTTTAAATTTATTTATTTACTTTGTGGAGAGACTTCATATGCTAGAATAACGATAGCTACTCTTACTATTTAATCCAGTGGTTGTCAGACTTTAGGGTTCTTAAGAATCACTTAGAGCGTTTATTAAAAACACAGATGCTTGGCCTCTGCCACCAAATATTCTGATTTAGGAGGCTTGGGGAAAGGCCCAGAAAGCTGCAGTTTTAAAGAATAGTCCAGGGGGTTCTGATACTTGCAGAAAGAATGACTTAATCTGGTAGGCCTATTACAGGTATACCTAAAAATAAAACTCTTCAAAAATCACACCCACACCCACATTTAATTTCAAGTGGGTGATTTATTAATGATGAGATTTTAGGTTAAAAAAAATTGCAGGCCTGGTGCAGTGACTCACACCTGTAACCCCAGCACTTTGGGAGGCTGAGGCAGGTGGATCACCTCAGGTCAGGAGTTTAGACCAACCTGGCCAACATTGTGAAATCCCATCTCCACTAAAAATACAAAATTAGCTGGGCATGGTGGCGTGTGCTTGTAGTCCCAGCTACTTAGGAGGCCGAGACAGGAGAATCACTTGAACCCTCAAGGTGGAGATTGCAGTGAGCGGAGATCACGCCATTGCACCCAAGCCTGGGCAACAAGAGCAAAACTCCATCTCAAAAAAAAAAAAAAAATTGTAGCTGGGTGTGGTGGCTCATGCCTGTAATGCCAACACTTTAGGAGGCTGAGGTAGGAGGATCACTTGAGCCTAGGAGTTCGAGACCAGCCCTGGCAACATAGTGAGATCTTGTCTCTACAAAAAATTTAAAAATTTAGCTGGGTATGGTGGTGTGCACCTGTAGTCCCAGCTACCTGGGAGGCTGAGGCGAGAGGATCCCTTGAGTCTGGGAGGTCAAGGCTGCCATGAGCTGTGGTTACATCATTCCAGCCTGGGCCACAGAGTGAGACCTTGTATCAAAAAAAAAAATTCTGTCTGGGTGCTGCGGCTCATATCTGTAATCCCAGCACTTTGGGAGGCTGACGTGGATGGATCACCTGAGGTGAGGAGTTCAAGACCAACCTGGCCAACATGGCAAAACCCTGTCTCTATTAAAAATACAAAAATTACATGGGCATGGTAGTGTGTCCAGAATTAGTGTGTTCTTCGTCTCACTGACTTCAAGAATGAAGCCGCAGACCCTCATGGTGAGTGTTACAGTTCTTAAAGGTGGCGTGTCTGGAGTTTGTTCCTTCTGATGTTCAGATGTGTTTGAATTTTCTTCCTTCTGGTGGGTTTGTGGTCTCATTGGCTCAGGAGTGAAGCTCCAGACCTTCACGGTGAGTGTCACAGCTCATAAAGGCAATGCGGACACAAAGAGTGAGCAGCAGCAAGATTTATTGCAAACAGCAAAAGAACAAAGCTTCCACAGTGTGGAAGGTGACCCGAGTGGGTTGCCACTGCTGGCTCAGGCAGCCTGCTTTTATTCCTTTATCTGGTCCCACCCACATTCTTATGATTGGTCCATTTTACAGAGAGCTGACTGGTCTGTTTTGATAGGGAGCTGATTGGTGCATTTACAATCCCTGAGCTAGACACAAAAGTTCTCCAAGTCCCCACTAGATTAGCTAGATACAGAGCACTGATTGGTGCATTTACAAACCTTGAGCTAGACACAGGGTACTGATTGGTGTGTTTACAAACCTTGAGCTAGACACAGAGTGCTGATTGGTGTATTTACAATCCTTCAGCTCGACATAAAAGTCCTCCAAGTCCCCACCAGATTAGCTAGATACAGAGTGCTGATTGGTGCATTCACAAACCTTGAGCTAGACACAGGGTGCTGATTGGTGTATTTACAATTCCTTAGCTAGACATAAAGGTTCTCCAAGTCCCCACCAGATTAGCTAGATACAGAGTGCTGACTGGTGTATTCACAAACCTTGAGCTAGACACAGAGTGCTGATTGGTGTATCTACAATCCCTTAGCTAGACATAAAGGTTCTCCAAGTCCCCACTAGACTCAGGAGCCCAGCTAGCTTCACCTAGTGGATCCTGCACCAGGGCCACAGGCGGAGCTGCCCGCCAGTCCCGTGCCATGTGCCCGCACTCCTCAGCCCTTGGGCAGTCGATGGGACTGGGTGCCGTGGAGCAGGGGGCGGCGCTCCTCGGGGAGGCTCGGCAGCGCAGGAGCCCACAGCATGGTGGCAGAGGCTCGGGCATGGCGGGCTGCAGGTCCCGAGCCCTGCCCTGTGGGGAGGCAGCTGAAGCCTGGCGAGAATTCCAGCACAGTGCTGGCACTGCTGGGGGACCCGGCGCACCCTCCACAGCTGCTGGCCCAGGTGCTAAGCCCATCACTGCCCGGGGCCGGTGGTGCTGGCTGGCCGCTCCAAGTGCGGGACCCGCCGAGCCCACACCCACCTGGAACTCACAGTGGCCCGTGAGCCCCACGTGCAGCCCCAGTTCCCACTCCCGCCTCTCCCTCCACACCTCCCTGCAAGCAGAGGGAGCCGGCTCCGACCTCAGCCAGCCCAGAAAGGGGCTCCCATAGTGCAGCGGCAGGCTGAAGGGCTCCTCAAGTGCAGCCAGAGTGGGCGCCAAGGCTGAGGAGGTGCCAAGAGTGAGCGAGGGCTGCCAGCACACTGTCACCTCTCAATCCCCCCTCAAACAGGACACCCCAACTGCTGTTGGGAATTTGGCTGATGACTGCTCTAGCTACTTCCTGCTGGATAGGGGCGATGAAGGGGCCCTGCAGTTGTACTGTCCTCCAGAGGGGAGCTTTCTAGGCCAGTAAAAGTGCCAGCGGGTTGGTCCAGGGGTCCTCAGTAGAAGTTGTTAGTTGAACTCATTTAGGGCTCCATTTGTAAGACCATCTGTAGCTTGATGGCCTCAATTCTAGAGGAATAGCTTAAGGAGACTAAAGAGACAATTTAAAAGAGATATGAATATACTTAGATTGGATTAAGATTTAGAGATGAGGGGTGAAGTAAATTATCTATCTTGAGTTCCTTTTTTAGAAAGGTGATCTAAAATACTATCTGAGCATAATCACTTAGTGACACCATGGAGGAGGAACTAGCCAGGTGGTTCAATGACCATAATAAGGACTATGAAGCTGTATCTGGGTGAAATACAACTGCATTAATTCAGATTTGGATGGATTTACTAATAGCTCCTAGTCTATCAATACCTGTGCTCTGGTGACTTTGATAGGTTTAAAAGCCCATAGGAAAGCGTTTGATGAATCTCAAGAATTTTGCATTTCATATGTGTAAGAAGTAGACATGTTAATAAAACCTGATAACCTTCCAAGAATCCTTTTGCTGGAGAATAATAATATGATATCAATTTTCTCCAGTCTTTCCATTTCCCATTTTATCCTTACCCTCATTCAAGCTGTGGGACGATTCTGTAACCATTGATCTTGAAGGGGGAATGAGAGTAGAAAGCAGAGAAAAAGATGCCTCTTTCTGGACTTTTAATGAAATTCGAATGGGAAAGGCAAGGACTCATTTGTGAGAGAATCTTATGAGTAAGAACATGGCTCCTCACCTCATCCTCCCTCTCCTCAGCCTCTTGCACAACTGTCTAGGGTGGTCCAGGGAGAGAGGGAGGATGGAGTGAAGGTCTGGAGGCCCCACAGGAGATGAGACCAGGCAGTCGGGAAGGAGATTCATGCACGTTCTGCCTCTCCTAGGGTGAGCCACACCAAGCATCCCACCCATGGCTGCTCAGCTGATGGAGGCCTGTCTTGGCCTCCACCAATGCTTTGCATTCTGATTAGCCTCAAGTCGGGGACCTCCCTGAAAATATCCCTGCAAATGCTTAAGGAAGGAGGTGGGGCTCTGGATACCTATCCTGGGAATGAAAGGGAAAAAGACTCCCCTCCTACCTGTACTCAGCTGGGCTCAGTAACAAGCTGAAGGTCCCTCTGAGCTAGGGTAATTGTAAAGCACGGCCTTTTACACAAGCACATTGATGGCATCTTATTTTTCCCTGTAATGGTGCCATTTTTGTATCAATATCAATATATTGACACTGGAGATAAGAGAGCAGATACTTAATCTCTTATAGTTTTAAAATGGGTGAAATAAATGCCTCTGCTAGCGTTGGCTTTTCTGAAACACACATATAATCACATCATTTCTAAAGTGAAATCTTGGCCAGGCCTGCTGGCTCACATCTGTAATCCCAGAACTTTGGAAGGCCAAGGCAAGAAGATTGCTTGAGGCCAGGAGTTTGAAACCAGCCTGGGCACTAAAGCAAGACACCATCCTTACAAAAAATAAATTAGCCAGTCATAGTGGTGCACACCTGCAGTCCCAGCTACCCCAGAGGCTCAGGCAGGAGAATCCCTTGAGCCCAGGAGTTGGAGGCTGCAGTGAGCTATAATTACACCACTGCACTCCAGCCTGGGCGACAGAGTGAGACCTTATTTCAAAAAACAAAAACAAAAACAAACAAACAAACAAAATAAAATAAAATTGTTGGGTGGGGGAACCCTACCTGCTTGTAGGACGCCTCCCAAGCATGGTGAGTAATGCCATTTCTAAGAGGCCCATTGCGTCATTCCAGCCCCTGTGGCCACTCCTCATCCCCTACACACCTCTCACTGAAGGCAGGCACGTGAGGTTAGTCACTGCCCCTAAAGAACTCACGTGTCTTCACTCTTCTGTGGCTATGCTCAGGATCTCCCCTGCCAGGAAAGTCTGTTCTTCTGCACTCTCACTTAACCCTGCTTCCTGCAACCCCCCACCCCCACCATACATACCTGGTATCTAGGAAAACCCTAGCTCCCACTCAAAGCCCAGGGTAACATCACTTCCTAAATTAACCTTGACCCTGCCTCCCTCCACCAACCCCACTTCCGGGAACAATCATGCTCGTGGGTGTTATAAGACTTAGGTCTGTTAAAAAACAATTAGACAATTAAATGTCTTTATTTTTATGTATTTATTTATTTTGTAGAGACAGAATCTTGGTATGTTGCCCAGGCTGGTTTTGAACTTCTGGCCTCAAGTCATCCTCCTGCCTCAACCTCCCAAAGCACTGTGATTATGGGCATGAGCATAGACAATTAAATTTAACAGAGCGAAGAACAATTCATGAATCAGGCGGCATTCAGAACCAGAAGAGAGGTCCACTCAGCAGCATGACCAGCAAGCTTTTATAGGATGAACAGAGAAGCGAAGTAGAGAAATCATCTAATTGGCTACAGCTAGGCATTTACCTTGTTTGGGCATGAGGTGATCAGTTGGCTGTCTATGATTGGCTGAAGCTTGGCTGTTTGTAACAGAAAGATATTCCTAAACTAGGTTTTTGTTTGTTTACTTACTAAGTTAGGTTACAGTTTGTTACATAGAAACTCAAAACATAGAGCCAGCCTCACATCAGTACTGATGCTGGTTCCATACTTTGGAGATAGCCATCTTCATCATCTTCATCATGATGAAGATGCATTGAGAACCTGTTAACTAAGCAGGAAGCCATTGGCCTGGTAAACTCATCCTTGCAATAGAGTTGTGCTTCCTGAAAACACATTCATTCCTGAATGAGAATGAAATGTCCTTCTCATTCTGGTCTTGCAGCTGGCATAGAGGTTTGTGTAGAGAAGTCATATAATTGACATTAGTTGAATTTAATGGAAATGATAAGAAAGTAATTCTTTAATGGTTGTTTGTCTATATGGATATATCTTAGGTATAAGATACTTATTGTGTTGTTATCCATGCTTCAAGAAGAATCCAATTAACAGGATTCCAGGAGGTATCCTGCAGGAAAGGCTGTCTAACAGTCTTTCATGAGTGCTTGAAAATCCATGACAGTTTATGTCTTTGCACCAAAACTTTCAACAACCATTTATGCATCTACTATGTGCTAGACACTGCCCTGGCTCTATGTCTACTGTTCCAGTGTAAGTTAGAGGTAGCAAGGAGGTTCAGAAGGAAATGCAGGAAGCCCAGCTACTTTGAGTCCTTTTGCCATTCCTATCCAGTTCACAGGGCCCCAAAAATATTCCAAGGTGAGAGCAAGTTTGGGATTCCCTCCAGGGAAAGAGAGGAGACACCATGGTGCAGAAATCTGTGACTGCTGGCAATGTTGAGCCCAAAGTGAGCTAATGCCTTTGTGCTTCTGAGAGGAAGGTCAACGGAGAGTGGAGGCGAGATTTCTCTTGTGCAGTGTAAGTGGGCAGTAGAAGGAAGAAGTGAGCTTTCACATCCTGTGCTTGGCATGAGGCCTCTGGAAGTGACAGACGTTCCAGGCCTTTTGCTTAAGACCTGATTGAGTCATATTTGGCCAGAGAGAAGCTCTGCAGCAGGGAAAATTTTGGCAAACTTTCATGATCCTTTGCCACAGATGGAAGTCACATTTTCATAGATAGAGGATGGTTAGGATGGGGAACAAGGCTCAAAAACAGAGACTCAAAGCCCATGCATCCACCCTCAAACTCTAAATCCCAATATATCCCTGGCACCCTGCTCTGCACTGTGCAAAAGTCACCATGACTCGGATGAGCACCTTATCCTTAAAGAGTCTGTGTAACACAACGCAGAGAAAAAGGCTAATATGCACCAGCAATTAATCGACTGCTCCAGTGAAGAAAGTTAAGTACTGAAATAAATGGCCCTTCCTTCTCTGGTCTATCACTTGCTTGGCCTGTGGAATATTCTGCAATGCAGGCCTGGGCTTAAGGGGAGCAGAGCCCAAGGGAGACCCCACTTGCACAGCCACACTAATCTCCTGTCTGCCCTCCAGCCATACCTGCCCTCTAGGCCAGATTGCCAAGGCCTGGTTGTAGGGTACAGTCCTATAGGAACATTCCCTGTGCTGGGAGCAAAGCCGGGCAGATGGAGATGTAAGAAGAGAGTAAACATCCATGGGGGAATCCTGCAGCTCAGGACACACACCTGATGGGTCTGAACCTCTCCAGGGACACTTGCTTGTCCTTACAGCCACTGATGAAATAGGAAAGATAATGGGAGAAAAATCACTGTGAACTATTCTGATAACATTTCTGACCCTTCCATCATGCACTCAAACTTTAAGTTCAATCATCTGTGTCTCTTGTAGACGCCACAGCAGGGCTAGATGCAGACGGGTTCTGGCACCAGTGAGCCCTACAGGGTGTTGTTGGCCTGTGTGTGTCTGGTTATGTAAAACCATCAACTGTTCTTCCAGAATTAATTCTTCCCTTTGCTCAATCTATCTTGATCTTCAGCCTTCTTTCACCAAATTGCTTACTTGTCCTGGGTCACTGCAGCCCTTGCTAACATCATTTTCATTCCTACCCCCCTTTCTTTTGTAACACGTTAAAAATTTTTTTGAATTTTTATTTTTATTTTTTAGAGACAGGGTCTTGCTCTGTTGTGCAGGCTGGAGTGCAGTGGCGCCATCATAGCTCACTGCAACTTTGAGCTCCTGAGCTCAAGTGATCCTCCCACCTCAGCCTCCCAAGTAGCTGGGACTATAAGCACACCCAGCTATCACCTCTTTGTAAAATGATGAAAATTCTTTTCAAGACTTGACATTTACACTTGAGAATAGAGAACAGCAAGGGGAAAAGAGGCCAGGCACAGTGGTCACACCTGTGATCTCAGCACTTTGGGAGGCCAAGGCAGGAAGACTGCTTGAGCCCAGGAGTTCGAGATCAGCCTGGCCTGCTCTAATGAGATCTTGTCTCTACAGAGAAGTAAAAAATATTAACCGAGCATGGTGGCAGTCACCTGTGGTCCCAGCTACTTGGGAGGCTGACAGGGGAGGATCGCTTGAGCCTGGGAGGTCAGGGCTGCAGTGAGCTGTGATTGCACCACTGCACTCCTGTCTGGGCAACAGAGCCAGACCCTTTCTCTCTAAAAAAATTAAAAGGGGAAAAGACATGTTTTCAGCTATTTATACAGCTCCCCAAGGCAAGGTCGAGATGATAATTGGAGCAAAGCCACCTGAACACCTGTCTTTGTTCTAAACCGTAGGGCAGTGTGAAGGGCTGACACACTGTGGTGGCTGAGTGGGGCCCTGTCTCATTCCATGGGGCAGGTGCTATGTTGTAAGTTTCCCACTCCTGCTATTTTCTGTTTTCTCTGCTCTCAGAGGCCAGGCTGCTCCCAGGACAGGAGCAGCTGCTGCCAGCTTCTGCGCCAGGGCCTGGGAATTCCTTCCCAGCAGGGGACTCATGGTGGCACGCACATCCTTGTTCCCCCCTTCCTCTCCTGCTGGCTGGCCCCTCGGCGGGACAGGACACCACGGGGTGATGGAAGGAGGCAGTCCCACCTGGGGAGCAGAGCACAGATTGCTTCGACTGACTCATGCCTACTGCAGAGGCCACCAGAGTGTTAGCATCAGGTCAACCCGAGGAACTGAGAAGCAAGCGTGATCTTCCCTCGTGGTAGGCCTAGCATGTGACTGTGAGTGTGGCGATCAAGAGATGATGTGCCCACTGACTCACACCATCCTTTCTGACAATGACAGTGAGGGACAGAGGATGGAGAACCCCTTGGTGAAGGCCGCCATGCTTACCAGCTTTGCGCCTTCCCTGCAGCAATCAGGATGGGTTTTTGCTTTGAAATGATATTTGGTGCATCTTTGAAAACACTGGATACCAGCACTGTACTTAATTCATTCTCTTGTTCACTGTTTCCTTAAACACATACTGAGGGCCTTCCATGAATAAGGTCATCAGGTTGTGGGTGGCACTGAGCACACTCATGTGGGGGGTTGGCAACACTGTCAGGTAGACCAGGGACAGAGGCCAGGACCAGATGGCTCGAGGAGAAGATCTCAGCCGCGGAGGCTGCCTGACTGCTGAGAAGCAGCTCAGTGACCATGGAGTGGTGGCCAGGTGGAGGGGAGCTCAGGTCATGATGCTACACTTTCTTTAAAAATAAGTTTTTTTCTTTGACAGGATCTTGAAAAAACACTTTAAAATGTGTATCTTTCCCCCATTTGAATATATGCTCCACAAAACGGATTAATTTCTTCTTTCTCTTTTTCCTAGAGACAGGGCCTCACTCTGTTGCTCATGCTGGAGTGCAGTGGCATGATCACAGCTCCCTGCAGCCTCAACCTCCCAGGCTCAAGTGATCCTCTCACCTCAGCTTCCATAGCAGCTGGGACTACAGGTATGCACACCACACCTGGACTTTCTTTTTTTTCTTTTTTTTGAGACAGGATTCCATTACGTTGCCCCGGCTGGCTTCAAACTCCTGTCCTTCAGTGATCCACCCACCTCAGCCTCCCAGGGAGCTGGGATTACAGGCATGCACCACTGCACGCAGCTATAATTTCTTACATGCTTACTATGTGCCATTCAACTCTCACAACAACTCTATAAGGCAAGCGTTATTCTGTTCATTTTGAAGATGAAGCTACTGAGCCTTAGAAAGGTTAATTTTCCCAGCTAGGTGCGGTGGCTCACGCCTGTAATCCCAGCACTTTGGGAGGCCAAGGCAGGTGGATCACCTGAGATCAGGAGTTCAAGACCAGCCTGGCCAACATGGTGAAACATACAAAATTACAAAAATACAAAATTACAAAAATACAAAATTTAGCTGGGCCTCATGGCAGGTGCCTGTAATCCCAGCTACTCAGGAAGCTGAGGTGGAACAATCGCTTGAACCTGTGAGATGGACGTTGCAGTGAGTCAAGATCATGCCATTGCACTCCAGCCTGGGCGACAGAGTGAGAGACTGTCTCAAAAAAAAAAAAAGTTAATTTTCCTAAGGTCACATTCATTACTTGATGGAAGTAGGACTTAAGCCCAAGTCTTCTCAACGCACAGCTTAAACTGAAATCCACAGAGCATGCATGAGTGTGGTTATGGCAGGTGTCAGTCAAGGCTCTCTCATTGGATGGGCTGTGCATGGCTGTATGTGTCAAGTTGGCAGGCAGGGGAATGGAATTAGGAATTGTTTTCAATTGTGGCAGGGCCCAATGAGCAAGAAAGATAATTTGCAAGAATGTGGTAGGGTGTCACGCCAGACTGGACGGGGCTCCAGTTCCAATAGAAACACAGAAAAACAGGCAGGAAACAGAGAGGACACATGGTTGTGACAATTCAGGTGGCCTGATTATGCAGGTGGGTGGGAAAATATTGTCCAGCACCTACAGGCAAAGATGACTTGAAATATTTCATTATTCACATACTTACAGCCCAATACATAAGAATGGACACTAAATTTAGCCTCAAATCAAATTCCCAGGGAGCTTTGCTAGCCAGAAGTTATATACTAACCTTTCAATTGCTGGACACTGGAGGTAAGGGGCAAGGTGAGGGGTATTGGGGCATAAGTGTCAGTCCTGCTGTTAGGACTGCCCACACTCATGCCTGGCACAGTGGCATGAAGGCCCTGTCATTCTGCTGTGTCCTAGTAGCCACACCTGTGCCTTATGTAATAATACTAGCTCTCAGCCAGGCACGGTGGCTCATGCCTGTAATCCCAGCACTTTGGGAGGCAGAGGTGGGTGGATCATTTGAGATCAGGAGTTCGAGACCAGCCTGGCCAAACTGGTGTAATCCCATCTCTACTAAAAGTACAAAAATTTTAGCAGGGTGTGGTGGTGCGTGCCTGTAACCCCAGCTACTTGGGAGGCTAAGTCAGGAGAATCGCTTGAACCCGGGAGGTGGAGGTTGCAGTGAGCTGAGATTGCACCACTGCACTTCAGTCTGGGCAACAGAGTGAGACTCCATCTCAAAAAAAAAAAAAAAAAATACAAGCTCTCCAAGAGGAAGCTCATTTCAATTGCAGCACAGCCTTAGTGAGACCAAGGCAGCCAGTGCCTTTTATCCCCTGGCAAAAATGAGGTGGCCCTGGGCAGAGGCCTGCTTCCAGGAGGAAGGCAGGTATCAGCTGCCCCAAGAGGTGGGGAAGGAGGGCCGGGCAGAGGCACTGTTAGTTGCCATAATCACCTTCAACTCTTTCTCCAGCGTTTACTACACTTTTCACATTCATGCCAGAAACTGAGCACTTCTAGTCTTTGACTTCTAGAAGCTTCAGTTCTGAGTCGAGTACCTACCAGGGTATGCATTTACATGGTGCTGGGAAATAGCTGGCAATAGTAGGAAATAATATCCAGCTGCCCTGTCACCAATATAAAGTAGATCAGATTGGGGTGCTGTGGTTCATGCTCATAATCCCAGGTACTTGGGAGGCTGAGGTAGGAAGATCACTTGAGCCTAGGAGTTGAAGGCTGTAATGAGCCATGGTAGTGCCCCTGTACTCCAGCCTGGGTCACAGAGCAAGACCCTTTCTCTAAAATAAATAAATAAATAAATAAATAGTGGATTAAATAAGAGAAAAGTTTATTTCTCCATCTCATGTCCAGGGCTGATAGGGTGGCTTTACCATGTTGGGGACCCAGGATCTTCCTGTCTAGGAGCTCTGCCATCCCTAAAGTATTCATCATTCTTATTTGTACTGTCCAAGATGGTTGACCATCCAGTCTGCATATCAGCTATCAGGAGGGGTGGAAAGAGAAAGAAGAGGGCATGCCTGTCCCTTTTAGGGCATGATCCTGTAGGTGAATGAGTCACTTCTGCCATATCACATTAAACAGAACTTAGTTGCATGGTCACTCCGAGCTGCCAGGAGGCTGGGAAATGACTCTTCATTCTACCATGGTCCATGCAGTCAAAAACTGGGCATTCTCTTAGGTAAAGAAGGAGATACTGGGGGACAATTGGCAGTCTCTGTCACAGTACCCCATTTTGGCTGCTCAAACATCCACATGCATATTCTTCTTCCTTCATAGACCACAGCCAGTCCTTCCCCAAGGGAGACCATCCTGAAGTCCCAGGGAGTTACTGCACCCAGCTCCAAGCCTAGGACCTCTGGGTGATGTACAGTCATCTCTGTCATGTCTACATGAGCTTCCTCTACACAGTATAAACAAGTCATCTCTTTCCTCCTCAACACATAATGGTAGTGCAGGGTTAGATTAATGACAAAAAACACTCCCATTCAAAAAAGGGAAGAATGGGAAACATACAATAGCAATTGATCCACAATAATGATAAAATTCTGCTGGGAAGAAATAGCAACAGATCCCTGGTCCTGCAGTCATTTCTTTGGAAAGAGCTCTGGTAATTCCTGAAGGGGCTTGAGTCCTTGACATATTCACAGAGCAGAGTGGCAAACTCGCTTTGAAATGTTACCTGCCTTACTCTCAGGCAGTGTTATTTCAGGTCTCTTTGACAGCAGAGAAACTGACATCCCAAGTAATACAAGGCTTTTAAAAGTTTCTTCAAAGACATAAATTAGAGAGATTAATTTATAGCATTTTCACCCACCAGCACTTTTTTGTTGCAAGTGAGAGAAATTCAAGTCAAGGGGAATGTAGTGATTCCCAAACTACGGAAGGGCAAAGTTGGATCTGGGCCTTAGGAATGATGGAATTGGACCTGGGCAATCATGGAATTTTCTGGTTTGCTTATTTCTGTGGCTCTCGGGGCCAGCATCCTTTTTCATACTATAGGCCTGCTTCCTCTAAAAGTGGCAGGAACATGCTTGTCAGCAGCTCTCAGACTGCAGTACACACCATAGTGATTCATCTCTTAGTTCAAAGCCAAAAATTCCCAGGGCACGGCTCTGATTGGTTGGCTTGGGTCACATGCAGGCTGAGCACTGTGATTGACAGCAGCCACTAGAAGCACGCGGTGGAGTGAGCAGGAAGAACATTTCCCAGAAGCAGCAGGGGAAGGAAGCCTGGACAAACACCCAGGGAAGTTTCCCTTAGGGACCTGGAGGAAGGGGGCGCCACTGAGGACTGAATTTAAGACTTCCCCTTCCTCCATCCACCTTTTCTTCTGCTGTTTGGCTTAGTTGATTTTTATTTTCACATCAGCGACATCTGATGCAGTTAATTTTGGTTGGATCTGAGCTGTCGCATTCCAAGTTCAGCAAGGATACACAAGTGTCAGAGCATAATCCTTCTCCGTCTTGTGAGCCAGTTAACACTGCAAACAGGCAGAGCCATTAACATGTTGACTTTCTTTCCCAACAACATAATCCTCTGGCAGCCTGACTTCACTGATTGATATTCGACCTAATAAGGCTGATCTGGATAAGCTTCCCTAGTCTCCAAGGACATCATTTTAACTGTGGGGATTTAAAAAAATTTTTTGTTAAAGTAAGTTTAATATCTTTCCAGAAATATACTTTGAACCATCTCGCAGGCCTTGGCTAAGAGGAACAGCTCCTGTTACAGACGGTGTGGAAATATTAATACAATTGAAAGCCTCAGGACCCTCTCAGTGATCTGGAGACCTTCATGGCAAAGGAAAGATTCAGTGGGTTAATTCAAGCATCCAGGAGGCTAACCAGGAAAACAAGCAATAAAACCTGAGACAGAAGAAAGGAAGCTAGCTAACAATAAAAAATGGCAGGAAGATTCCCAGCCCATCTGTAACCCATTAGAATGCTGGGAACTATTTTCCAGGGTATTTTTTCCGGTGGTGTTGTCAGCTTCTGTGCTTGTTAGGGAGAGCCCATTTGGGAACAAGAACAGTGCCGTTGAATAGATGAACTTCTTCTAGGAGTGACAGGCCCTGAGAGTTTCTTTGAAGGGTCTGTCTGGTATTATTAGTAAAATTGCAGATAAGAACGACTGACTAGTAATGTGTATGGGCCCTAAAATCAACTTCATTGAACTGAGCTTTAAAAGATGAAGTGTGTTTAAGATCAAACATGAAGCTTTGAGATGAACTAGTGAGATACATTTTTGTGTGTGTGTGACACCTTCTAATTCTTGTCCCATTGATAGGCAAAAGTACTAAATAGTCTACATTTTTGTTAATGGTATGGGAAAAAAGTCTAAGTTTTTGTGAGTGTGTGTGTGCAGAAATAACTTACATTTTGACAGGTAGATTCCACAATTCCCAACCTAAAATCAGAGGATTAAATATGCTAGCTGAGACTATTTCTATGGAATTCATCCAAGTCCCTTAACTATGGTAGAATTCAGCTAGATCACTAAGGAATAATGGATGAAGACTGCGTTGCATAACTTATATAACTAATTTATATCATATTATCTAAATTTTAAAAATGGAGTTATGATTCTTTTAAAGTAAAACAAAATCCATCTTGAAAAATGTTTAGTCCTGGGCAATGATCATGAAGCAACCTGCCTTTAAGAAGAATGTGAAGAAATGACTTCATATTCCTGTTTAAAAACCATGAGCCCATTTAAATAGGTTTTAAGATATATCTTCTGGGAGAAAAAGCGATGTGTGTGGTCATTTTAAACGCACACATTTAAAACAGAAAGATTTGGGGCCGGGCTGGGTGGCTCACACCTGTAATCTCAGCACTTTGGGAGGCCAAGGCGGGTGGGTCGCTTGAGGTCAGGAGTTTGAGACCATCCTGGCCAACAGGATGAAACCCTGTCTCTACTAAAAATACAAAAATTAGCCGGGCATGGTGGCAGGCGCTTGTAATCTCAGCTACTCAGGAGGCTGAGACAGGAGAATTGCTTGAACTTGGGAAGGGGAGGTTGCAGTGAGCCGAGATCACACCACTTCACTCAAGCCTGGGCAACAGAGGGAGACCCTGTCTCAAAAAAATTTAAAAATTTAAAAAAAATCAGAAAGATTTGGGAATGATTTTGAAGCCTGCAAAGTTTGATATAAGAAAAGAGAGCGAGCGAGCATGTGAATGTGTGTGTGTGCATGTGTGTGCACGTGCATATGTGTGTATAACCTTTCTCAAGGAATAGACAGAGAGCATGCCAAGTCCATTTCCTCTCCCTTGTACCCCACATTCCGATGTCTTGACTAGGGAAAAAGACCTCCACAGGCTGCAGTAGGAGGAGCACAAGCTTTTGACTCTGACCTTCTGTTCAACTTTGGGACATTCTTTGATGAGAGTGCATGCTCCTCCTTAAGGGGGGTGAGTCCCTTAGCCATTCTGAATACCCTCTCCTCACCTGTAAAATGGGAGAATTCCAGGCTTCTTGGGATGATAAGATGAGGAAACGCGTGACAAGTCTTTGGCCATGAAGAGTTTTCATAAGAGTTCTTGTTCTTGTTACCATGACTCCTGTGAGTTAGAATTGCATCTGGATTCAGGACTCTGCTGCCTTCAGGGAGCTGGCCACAGACCTTTCTGTGTCAATTCTCAGCCAGGAAGACCTCTCTGTCCCCTACCGAGGTCCAGATCTGCAACCGCTTCCCACCGCATGTGGGGATTGTGAAGAGATGGCATAGAGTTTGTGTTTCATCTTAGCTATTCCCATCCAACTCTGTTTGATCGGGAACAGGCTCTCCTCGTGCCACCTGTCAGGGGAATGCCTTTGCCAGAGAAGAGGGTCTGCTCCCTGCTCCCACACACACTGGCCCATCAGCTGTTTCTCATTTTCCTCACCTGCAGGGCTTTAGGCCAGGCTCACCAAGGACTGGTGCAACCAAGGTGAGAAGAGAATAAAAGCATCTGGTGTTGAGAAAGTCCCTTGTCTCGACATCAGGGTGATGTCACTCCCTGTGCTGCCAGCCCTGTTTATAGCCAGCCTCGTCCTTGCCCTCCCTTCTAGGGCGGCGGGCTGCTGACACTGTCAGCTTCTTTCTGGCCTTCTTTGCTCTGCTGCTGCAATCCCCAACAGCCTTCACTTGGACTCTGAGTTTCTTGCCTTGACCTGAATTTTGTTACTTCCGTCTTGAATGTTATTGGCTTGTTTAGTCTCGGAACCTATTGCTGCCTGGTTCTTTTTTTTTCAGCCCTTTCTCCATTCAGAGAGAGCAAGCTGGGGTGAACCAGCTGAAACATCATGAGTATCATATGGAAAGACCCTGAGCTTTGCAGTTCTGTAGACCTGAGTTTGAATTCTAGTGCAGCCACTTACTTGCCCCAGGGCATTAGATACATTACTTTAATACTTCTGAGCCTAGCTTTTTCATAGGTAAAGCTATGCAAAGACATGGATTCAACCCAAATGCCCATCAATGATGGACTAGATAGAGAAAATGTGGTACACATACACCATGGAATACTATGCAGCCATAAAAAGGAACAAGATCATGTCCTTTGCCAGGACATGGGTGGAGCTGGAAGCCATTACCTTCAGCAAACTAACATGGGAACAGAAAACCAAATACCACATGTTCTCACTTGTAAGTGGGAGCTGAGTGATGAGAACATATGGACATATAGTGGGGAACATCACACACTGGGGCCTGTCAGAGGGGTATTGTGGGGAGGGAGAACATCAGGAAGAATAGCTAGTGGATGCTGGGCTTAATACCTAGGTGATGGGTTGATCTATGCAGCAAAGCACCATGGCACACTTTTTTTTTTAATCTACATAACAAACCTGCACAGCCTGCACATGTACCCCTCAACTTAATATTTAAAGAAAGAAATCCTTTCATAGGTGTTACTTGCTTGTGATGAGTGGAACAACATACAGCCATACCTGAGCATCAGATGTGTATAAGTCAGGGTTCCCCAGAGAAACAGAACCAATAGGATAGATGGACGGATGGATGGACAGGTAGATAGGTAGATTTAGACAGACAGATTTATTATAAGGAGTTGCCTTATGCAATTTTGAAGGCTGAGAAGTCCCAGGATCAGCAGTCTGAAGGCCTGAGAACCAGGGTGGGAATTTCAGTGTGAGTCCAAAAGCTTGCAAGAGGAGAGCTGGCAGTGTAAATTCTAGTCCAAGTATGAAGGCTTGAGAATCAGGAGAGTCAATGATGTAGGTTCTAGTCCAAGCCTGAGGGCAGGAGAAGACCAATGACTCAGCTTAAGACCTTCAGGCAGAAACAGTGAATTCTCTCTTGTTCAGCATTTTGTTCTATTCAGGCCTTCAACTGACTGGATGAGGCTCACCCATATTAGATGCTTTACTTAGTCTATTGATTCAAATGTCAGTCTCATCCAGAAACGCCCTCACACCCAGAATAATGTCCACCCAAATATCTGAGGACCCCCATAGTCCAGTCAAGCTGACATCTAAAATGAACCACTAAAAGGGGATTAGATCACTCTTTGAGAGTGTCCTCACACCCAGACACACCCAGAATAATGTCCACCCAAATATCTGAGGACCCCCATAGTCCAGTCAAGCTGACATCTAAAATGAACCACTAAAAGGGGATTAGATCACTCTTTGAGAAAATGTCCTAAGAGACCTAAATCTGCAAATCAGCAGTAACAAGATAACTTTGATGTTATCCAAGTAAAATCAAGATTTGTATAATGGCTATTGCTGTTCAGATGGAAAGTGCCACCATTGTCTGAATGTCCCATTTATGGAGAGGATCTGTTTCTGTTTCTGTTTCTCTAAAACCTTAGAGAAACCCATCAGTGAGCCACAGAGTGCAATGGAAGCAGATGCTAAAGCCAAGTATTAGGAAGGTATCAGGCATGCTTAGCTGTTTCTTTTCTTTTTAGTTTCTTTTTTACAACCGTATCTTGGGCATGGTGGCTTGCACCAGTAATCCCATCTACTTGGGAGGCTGAGGCAGGAGGATTGCTGAGGCCAAGAGTTGGAGACCAGCCTGGGCAACATAGGGAGACCCTGTTGCCAAAAACAAACAAATAAATAAATAGATAAAATTAGCTGGGTGTGGTTGCACTTGCGTGTAGTCCCAGCTACTTGGGAGGCTGAGACAGGAGGATTGCTGAGGCCAGGAGATGGAGACCAGCCTGGGCAATATAGCAAGACTCTATCTCCAAAAACAAACAAATAAATAAATAGATAAAATTAGCTGGATGTGGTTGCACCTGCCTGTAGTCCCAGCTACTTGGGAGGCTGAGGTGGGAGGACCACTTGAGCCCAGAATTTCAAAGCTGCAGGGAGCTATGCTTGTGCCACTGCACTCCAGCCTGGGCAATATAATGAAACCCCATCACTAAAATAAATAAATAAATAAATAAATTGCAACTTATTTGGTGTAACTTTCTTATAGATTGCAAGCGGGCTAATTAATTGAACATTGTATTCAATAAAATCACTTATATATGAGAAATTGAATTGTGGTCTACAAAACTCTCCATTACTTTAGAAGGCATTTGGAAAGAAAAATCAAGATTTCCAGCTTCTGTAAGTAAGACTCTCTGTTACCTAGTAGCAGTTCCTCCAAGTTCTGACAGAGCTTCCTTAGAGTTACAGGGTTGTGGGGTCATGCTGAGCTATCCAATCCTATTTATTGACAGCAGACCTCATATTCCTTCCTTAAACAGAGTATGATTATTTGAGACCTTGTTCTTTTTTTTCCTACCTCTGGACTCCTAGAAATGGGATTTAGATTGCATACTACAGCTGATTAGAAAGAACCCTGTTTAGTCAAGCATTTAATATTGAATTATTAGCCAAGCCTGACTCTTAGAACTAGACATTGATCCTGCCCTTGAATGTGGCACTTGGAAAAATAGTGGCACTTTCTGTTTAGAGAAAGGCAGGCAATGTTTTCCAGTCCCTTGTATC
Source organism: Homo sapiens (assembly GCF_000001405.40). Taxonomy (NCBI): domain Eukaryota; kingdom Metazoa; phylum Chordata; class Mammalia; order Primates; family Hominidae; genus Homo; species Homo sapiens. Next base: position 34,019,455 of record NC_000010.11, on the reverse strand, counting down.
TCAATGGCACAGAACCCTCATTAAGCATGAGGTCTCGCTATGTTGCCCAGGCTGGAGAGTCTACCACCAAGTCCTAAGAAATAAAAGGTGACGTCCGGACACCCACTTCTCATGATCATCTCTTTTGAAATTAACACTGATAAAGGTCTCCAAAAGCTATCAAGGCAACTTCACGACAGAGATGAATGCCAGCAGTACCCTGTTAAGTATACCCATTAATCATTATTTTTAGAATCTTTTTCAACAAGAAACATTTTTTTTTAATAGTTTGCCTTGGAGCAAAGCTATTTGGTATGAAAAACTATTTGAGTGAAAGGAGATGCTATTAGCCCTCTCTCTCCCACAGATGTAGCCGAGGGTGCTAAGGGAATTCAGCACATCTTACAACACAGGCTAGGAAACCTGCTCTCTCTGCACTGGTTGGGTGAGTCCTGGTATTGCACCAGAATCATTAAAAGGCATTTAATAGGCAGCCACCTGTGTACAGTGCTTTGTACAACATGGCCACTTAGGAGGCAGAGAAGTATTTGCTCTCTGGGAATGTATGTTTTGTTTTACCACTTTTGAAAATCTAGCAGAAGGTGAAGCTTATACTCCACTGGGGAGGTAGACTGGAGTAAGATTAGCATTGCCAGATAGTGACATGCAGGAATATTCTGTTTCCATGTTCCCCATTTGTGTTCTTGTCAAGCTATATAACTGAGTCATATTTTGGCTTAGGATACCAATAAGTAAAAATGTGTGGATATGGATATGTGTGTGTGTGTGTGTGTGTGTGTGTGTGTATGGCAACTTACCTGAGTCTGTGTGTGTACACCAGCCATGACGTACTTATTATTCTCAGCTCTGGAAATTTACAAAGTGCTTGTCTGCCATACTCTTCATTAAGCTCTGCAGATCTTAGACAACACGAGGAGCGGCCATGAATCTGCAAAGCAGGTCCCTGAATCTGGGGGATGGTTTCCATTACGACGAATCACACTTGTTCTTGAACATCCACGTCCTCTCCTTTCTCTGTAGGTATATTCTCTTCTCTAACTGTTCCCAGTTTTAAACTTTGGGCTACCACTGCTGTGGGTTGGGCCTCTGACCTAGCAGGAAGCACAGCTGAAGTTCCTGGATGACTCAGAACTTTCCTCCACATGCAGATCATCTCTGGGTCCTCTGGGTGTTGGGGCCTCAGGGTGGCGGTCAGGTCTGCCTGCTGTCCGGACTCACTGCTATATCTTAAAAAAAATTTATTTATTTTATTATTTTTAATTTTTATAGGTACATAGTAGATGTATAGATTTCTGAGGTACATGAGATGTTTTGACACAAGCATGCAGTGTGAAATAAGCATGTCATGGAAAATGGGGTATCCATCCTCTCAAGCATTTATCCTTTGAGTTACAAACAATCCAATCACACTCTTAAGTCAAGCTTGTCCAACCCAGGGTCACATGCGGCCCAGAATGGCTTTGAATGCTGCCCAACACAAATTCATAAAGTTTCTTAAAACAGTACGAGATTGTTTTAGGATTTTTTTTTTTTTTTTTAGCTCATCAGCGATCATTAGTGTTCATGGATTTTATGTGTGGCCCAAAACAATTCTTCTTCCAATGTGGCCCAGGGAAGCCAAAAGATTGAACACCCCTACCAAGTTATTTTAAAATGTACAATTAAGCTATTATTGACAATAGTCATCCTGCTGTCCTCTCAAAGCGTGGATCTTATTCATTCTTTCTAACTCCTTTTTTTTTGTTCCCATTAACCATCCCTGGCCGCTGTATCTTAACCCCTAAAGCCCTTGTGTGCTGTTGTTGGTACCTCTGGTCACCTGCTTCTTGTGTGCCTTCTGGGTCAACTCTTCTTAGACCCAGGTCTTGCTGTCTGTCTGGTGAGAGGCCTTGGCTGGCTTCACAGTCTAGAGGACCCCTTCTCTGTAACAGTCTGTTTTCTGATTCTCTCCTCCCCATACACAGCGCCCCCTAGTTCCTGGATTCCACTCCTCCAAGCCTCAGGTGCCCCAGAGGAAGAGCAGGGCTCATGCAGGTGGGTTATTTGTTGACACAAAACTCAACAAATAACTAAAGATCCAAAAAGGTACAGTTCATGCAGATGATTATGTAGATTTGCCTTAATCCTTTTTTTTTTTTTTTTGAGATGGGGTTTCACTCTTGTTGCCCAGGCTGAAGTGCAATGGCATGATCTTGGCTCACTGCAACCTCCGCCTCCTGGGTTCAAGCAATTCTCCTGCCTCAGCCTCCCAAGTAGCTGGGATTACAGGCGCCCACCACCACACCTGGCTAATTTTTGTGTTTTTAGTAGAGACTGGGTTTCACCATGTTGGTCAGGCTGCTCTTAAACTCCTGACTTCAGGTGCTCCACCCTCCTCGGCCTCCCAAAGTGCTGGGATTACAGGCGTGAGCCACTGCACCCAGCCTCTTTTTTTTTTTTTTTCTTTCAGAAGAAAATATCCCTGGACATTTTATAGAGTTTTGTCAGCAGGATTGAGCTTATATATAGGTTAAGAAGGCAATGCTCTGTGGAATAATATGAGTGTTGGGGATAACTCACCCTATACAATAAAAATAGAAATGGAATGGCTCCAGCAGTCAGGTTGCTGAAATTCACCACATTATGCATTCCTTTGCTCTAAGGCATTGATGTTCTGTGTTAAAATGCAAATACATCATCTGAGAGGACTTAGAGAACGGGGCCATGTGTCAGAGCAGGTGTCAGCAAATTTGGCTTCAGGCCTTCCCAGCTAAGCGACTTTTCTATGAAAGCCTAGAATATTAGAGATGAAAAGAATCTTAGACCCACATTGTGATTCTCCTTACCCAGAGGAATGTTTGCAATAACAGGGCTTGCAAAGTGAGCAACCTTATTCATTTAAACATCCTTGCTTTATTGAGTCCAAGTCAGCTTTCTGGTGTCTCCCATGAGATTCCCACCTCTTCTCTTTTCTAACGGAGGCCCCCTTGATCCCTTCAACTTTCCTTCTCATCCTTTGCTGCTGGTTCCCCCACATGTTTGTTTCTTTTAAATGGAAGCAACCAGAAGGTTCCCAGTTCCCACCATAGATGCCCTGAGCGGCAGCCTCACACCTCCAGATAGACACAAGAGGCATGTCATATTTTCATTCCTTTTTAGTTAAGATCAACTAAAGCCATAAATCTTTTCCTGGTGAGCTGTTATTTAAGTCACCCCTCTCCCTTCTCGTAGAGGAGCAGGTTTTGACACCCTGCCCCCACTACCCGGGGCAGGATTTTAAATGTACCTCAAATACCTTTATCTTCCTTGATGTTTGCTAGGGACAAATATTTCAGAATCTGTTTTCTCATCTTCAAAATGGTAATGGTCATCCCTCTTCTGTCCACTATGCTTTTCAGCAGCAAGACTCCAGCGGTGAGATGTGGGTGCCACCAGTGCACTGTGGAGGGTGTGGGGACCTGCTGCAATGGAGCTCCAAGCCACTGGCTGTGGCTTCCTGAAGTGCTGTATTGACCTCTATTTAGACCTAGCTGGAAAGAGAATGGTGACTAATTTGTGATGTCTGCTGTGATGTGTGAGTGTATGTGTGTGCACACAGCATCATTCTTGACACAGATTTGTCATACTATACCCATGCAGGAAATATTATCATTATTAATTCATTAACATTTGAATACGTATTAATCACCCAGCTTGCATTAGAAGGCAGGTACATTTTGGTGAGACAGGAGCAGGGCACATCACATGGAAGGATTTTTCAGCAGAGCCCTGAGGGCATTGTGGGGTAAATGTGAAGATGAGGGCTGTTATGAAAGGAAGACAAGGAAGGCCATGATCCAATTAGTTCACCCCTCACATTTTTTTTTTGAGATAGGTTCTTCTCTGTTGCCCAGACTGGAGTATAGTGGTGTGATCTTGGCTCACTGCAACCTCTGCCTCCCAAGTAGCTGGGACCACAGATATGTACCACCATGCCTGGCTAATTTCTTGTGTTTTTTTGTTGTTTTTTTTTTTGTAGAGATATGGTCTCTCTGTGTTGCCCAGGCTGGTCTCAAACTCTTGAACTCAAGCAGTTCTCCCACCTTGGCCTCCCAGAGTGCTGGGATTACAGACATGAGCCACCATGTCCAACGTACCCCTCAAACTTGATTCTAGGAGCAGTCCCAGGCTAGAAACAAGGGTTGACATAGGATCTACAGACCACCCTTATGAGGACCTTAGACCAGGGGTTGCAAACTCTAACACCTACGGGAGACCCATCTATAACATCAGTGAGGAAGGGGACCAGGAATGCAAAGGTACCCCGGGGCTGCAAAGAGGGGAACTGAGGCACACACGTCTCATCCACAGGGGCTGCACAGGCCCCAGCTTCAAGCATTTTCTGCCAGAAGTGAGTATGGGCTTGAGTGTTGCCAGAGAAGTCTACTTTTATAGAGAAGCTGAAAATCTGGCATATAGTGTAAAATATTCCATTTAAAAATGTTGACTCAATTAAAAAAATAACTGTGGATTCGACAAAACACATCTGTGGGCCAGATTCAGCCTCCAGCTGCTAATTTGGGACCTCTGTTGTAGATGCCATTAGAAAAGGGAAAATTAACTCTTATGAACAAATGCTCACATTGGTGCAGTGGAATCACATGACTTCAGTCCAACAGACAACTACTGCCCACCAAAAGCCCCAGGTGAGCAGACACGCATATGGTCTACAGGATCTTGGGTTGTAGCACGGGGTGACAATTCCAGGACACAAATGATTGTAATTAAGTAGAAACATTAAGTGCCACAAGAGAAGTATCATAAAAATGCTTGAGGAGTTTTTGAGGGGTGGGGCAGGGAGACAGTTGTTGGTGGGGAGGGGTTGGTAGTTGGTAAGAATTGCATTGGAGATGAGCATTATGGGATGGAAAGATTTCTAGAGATCAAACACGATAGGCAGAAGCCAGATGCAAATGGGGGTTGAGGCCAGGCACAGTGGCTCACACCTGTAATCCTAGCATTTTGGGAGGCTGAGGCAGGAGGATCACTTGAGGCCAGAAGTTTGAGACCAACCTGGGCAACAAAGTGAGACCCTGTCTCACAAAATAAAAAAATTAGTCAGGCAGAGTGGATCACACCTGTAGTCCTAGCTACTTGGGAGGCTGAGATGGGAGGATCCATTGAGCCCAGAAGGTCGAGGCTATGGTGAGTTATGACTGTGCCACTGTACTCCAGCCTAAGCAATCAAGCAAGTCCTCATCTCTTAAAAGAAAAGCAGCTGAATTTGTTGAAGGGTGAGTGGTCTGGTTGGCATGCAAGTAGAGGAACAGTGCCCCAAGAAGGTAGGATATAGCACGTCAAGTTATGGAGGGCTCTGAAGGCACATTGGAGAGGTTTGCACTTAATTCAATCGGCAACAGAAGGCTTGAAACTTCTAAGCAGGAGAAAGGTGATTGGAGCTGGGTCTCAGGCCAACGCAAGGGCTGGATGTAAAAAGACTGATGAGGAACTTGTTTTCATGCAGAGAAAGAGTACGACTGGCCTGGACTAGAATGGCAAATGCATAACAGAAGGCAGGGAAGATGTGAGTAATATTGGGGAGATAGGGTGAATGTGACTTCTCAACAGATTGGATGCAGGGACCAAAAGAGAAGAGAAAAATTCTCCCCCTGTTTTAGAATGGGGAAATGGGACTGGGAGGTGGAGAGGGAGAGGTGGTGAAGTGTTCAGTTGGATTATCCTGAGTTTAAGATGCTTTTAGTTGAAGGGATTACAGAAGCAAAGTGCACAGGTAACAGAATAGTTCAGTGCAAGGCACAGAACTGGCACCTTTCAGAGGAAGAGAAAGAGGGAGAGGAAGGAAGGGAGGGAGAGAGAGGCAGAGAGAGAAACAGAGAAGGAGAGAGAGAGAGAAAGACAGAGGAAGAGGAAAAGAGAAACAAAGGCAGAGAAACAGAGAAGCAGAGACAGAGAGAGACAGAAAGAAACAGACAGAGACAGGGAGAGAGAAAAGGAGGAAAGGAGGGAGAGAGGCAAAGAAAGAGAGAGGAAGACAGAAGGAGAGGGAAGAAGAGAAAAAGAGAGAGACGACAAAGGAATAGAGAGAAGACAGAGGCATAGATCCAGAGAGACACAGAGACAGAGAGACAGAGGGAGATAAAGACAGAGAGACAGAGACAGACAAAAAGGCAGAGAGAGGGAGAGAAACAGAGGGAGGCAGAGGGAGAGAGACATAGAAAGAGGGAGGCAGAGGCGGATGCACTCTTGGGAGGCAGCTGCAGGAGCAGGGGTCTGGCCAGGGAAGTGATGCAGGCCTGATGATGGTTCTCAGGGTCAGGAGGTGAGGGGAGCATGGGGAGAGGAGCAGGGAGTCTGGGGTAAGCCTTAAAGTGCACACATGCTCAGTGGATACCAACAGGAAGAAACAAGTCCAGGATAGACAAGAGAGAACCTAGAGTGCAGGAACCCAGAGGTCAGCGGAGTCGAAGGGAAGGGACAGTGGGCAGCTGTGTCTAGTACTGCTGAGAGGTCTGCAAGGTGAGTTCTACAATGTGGCTTTTTTTTTTTTTTTTTTTTTTTTTTTTGAGAGGGAGTTTTGCTCTTGTTGCCCAGGCTGGAGTGCAATGGCATGATCTCGGTTCACTGCAACTTCCACCTCCCAGGTTCAAGTGATTCTCCTGCCTCAGCCTTCCTAGTAGCTGGGATTACAGGTGCCCACCATCACGTCTGGCTAATTTTTGTATTTTTAGTAGAGATGGGGTTTTGCCATGTTGGCCAGGCTGGTCTTGAACTCCTGACCTCAGGTGATCCACCAGCCTCAGCCCCCTCAAAGTATTGGGATTACAGGTGTGAGCCACCTTGCCCTGCCCAACGTGGCTTTTAATAATCACTTTACTAAATTGTTCTCAACCAGGCCATTGTCAACGAAAAAGAGTCAAACTGTAAAATATTTGAACAGGCTTATTCTGAGCCAAATATTAGGACCATGACCCATGATACAGCCTCAGGAGGCACTGAGAACATATGCCCAAGGTGGCTGGGTTACAGCTTGATTTTATATATTTTATGGGGGCATTTTATTTTATAGGCAGAGGCATAAATCAATACATGTAAGATGTACATGGGTTCTGTCCAGAAAGGTGGGCCATCTCAAAGTGGGAGCTTCCAGGTTATGAACCTGTGGGTTCATAGGTGGATTCAAAGATTTCCTGATTGCGGTTGGTTGATAAGAGTTAAGCTATACCTGAAGAGTTGAAGTCAGCAGAAATAAATGTTTGTAGTTAAGATAAGGGAGGTTACGGAAGCCACGTTTCTTATTATGTAGATGAAGTCTCCAGGTAGGAGAGAGTAGATGGTAAATGTCTCTTGTCAGACCCTAAAAGTGCCAGACTCTTAGTTAATCTCTCTGGGATCAGGAAAATACCTGGAAAAGCAAGAGGATTCTCTACAGAATGTATCTTTTCCCCACAAGAGACAGCTTTGCAAGGCCATTTAAAAATATGTCAAAGAAATATATTTCAGGGTAAAATACTTTTGATTTTTTTCAGGGCCTGCTATCTGCCATGTGATGCTATACTAGAGTCGGATTGGAATTTGGTATCTTATTGCTACAAAGCGTCTGTTTTGTCAGTCTCCAGATATCTGTTTTAATGTTCATGTTGGTCAATTGGGCCCGAACTTCAAAGGAAGGAGGGTGTAATGAGGTCTGTCCAACCCCCACTTCCCATAATGGCCTGAACTAGTTTTTTGGGTTTGCTTTGGAACGCACTTGGCCAAGAAGAGGGGTCCATTCGGCCAGGTGGAGGGCTTAGAATTTTATTTTTGGCTTATACCACCAACAACTAATTTGTCCCTAACTCCAATGGCTGTGTCTTCATCTCCAATTCTATTTCAATGCTGAGATAGAATTCAGATGTGGCACAGTGTGTCAGAAGAAGGAATTGATAAAAAAGATGGTTTAGTAGGACTTGGCACCATTGATCTCTTTTTCCTTCTTCAAACACCCTCTTCCTTTGCCTTTTATGAGTCCACACTCACCTAATTTTTCTACTTCTCAAGCTTCTTCCTCTAACCATTGTTAAATATTAGTACTAATTAGTTTTTTTGTCCCTGTTCTCTTTTCCTCTTAATTTTCTGTTTCTGTCTTCAAATGACTTCAATCGCTGTGTTTATTGATGGGATCGGATCCTGTCTCCAAGTTAGAGCCCTTGTCTGACCTGCAGACCCACGTAGCCATTCAGACATCTCCAAGTGGATATTTCACAAAGCATTCAACACCACACAAACTCAACTTCACACCTCCTTGCCCTTCCCACTCTCCCTGTTACTGCACCCACAAAACCACTGACACTCTGTTCTTGGCTGCAGTGAATGATGTGACTCAGGCAGAACCCTGGGCAGGATCCTCAACTTCTCCACTGCTCACTCCTGTAATCAGCCAGCCACAGATTCCTGCAGATGCTTCCTCAGTGTCTGGGATGACTGACCACTTCTCTATCTACATAGTAACTGCCCTGACACAGGTCACCATCTCCTCATCCTCCTAACTGCTATCTTCATGCCAAGTCTGGGCTACTTTCCATTTATTCTTTGCACTACAGCTTCGTACCATCTGGTTATTTTACTCCTATATCTTAGAAAACATCAATGAATTAATTGTCTCATCACTCAGAAGATAAAGTTTAAACTTTTTTTTTTTTTTTTTTTTTGAGACAGGGTCTTGCTCTGTCACCTAGGCTGAAATTCAGTGATGCAATCTCGGCTCATTGCAACCTCTACCTCCCTGGTTCAAGCAATCCTCCTGCCTCAACCTCCCAAGTAGCTGAGACTACAGGAGTGTGCCACCATGCCTGGCTAATTTTTTGATTTTTTTTCTAGAGACAGGGTCTCACTGTTTTACCCAGGCTGATCTTGAACTCCTGGCCTCAAGTGATACTCCTACCTCGGCCTCCCAAAGTGTTGGGATTATAGGTGTGAGCCACCACACCCAGCCCTAAACTTCTTAATATTTCACAAAAGACCTTGGCATGATTTTGCCAACTCATCCCTCTGCCTCCCTTCCTTCCTCTTTCTTTCTTTTTCTTTTTCTTTCTTTCTTTCTCTTTCTTCCTTCCTTTCTCTCTTTCTTCCTTTCTTTTTCTCTCTCTCCTTCTCTTTCTTTCTTTCTTTATCTTTCTTCCTTTCTCTCTTTCTTCCTTTCTTTTTCTCTCTCTCCTTCTCTTTCTTTCTTTCTTTATCTTTCTTCCTTTCTCTCTTTCTTCCTTTCTTTCTCTTCCTCTCTTTCTCTTTCTTTCTTTCTTTCTTTCTTTCTTTCTTTCTTTCTTTCTCTCTTTCTCTCTTTCTTTCTTCTTTCTTTCTTTTACTTTCTTTCTTTTTTTTTCTCTCTCTCCCTCCCTCCCTCCATCTCTCCTTCCTTTCTTCCTTTCTTCCTTTGTCTCCCTCTCTCTGCACTTCAGGCTGTGTGATAGAGTGAGACTCTGTCTCAAAAAAAGAAAAAAAAAGAAAAAGAAAATAATGTAGGGCGGGGCATGGTGGCTCATGCTTGTAATCTCAGCACTTTGGGAGGCCAAGGTGTGTGGATCATGTGAGGTCAGGAGTTCGAGACCAGCCTGGCTAACATGGTGAAACCCTGTCTCTACTCAAAAAATACAAAAATTAGCCGGGCGTGGTGGTGGGCGCCTGTAATCCCAGCTGCTTGGGAGGCTGAGGCAGGAGAATTGCTTGAACCCCAGAAGCAGAGGTTTCAGTGAGCCAAGATCATGCCACTGCACTCCAGCCTGGGCAACAGAGCAAGATTCCATCTCAAAAAAAAAAAAAAAAAAAGAACAAAACAAGTACCAAAGAAAAAATGTTATCAAAATGAATGCATAGAAAGGATTTATAATTATCAATCTGAATCAAGTATCTGCATCTGAAGTGCAAAAACAACAACAAAAAGCCTTCACTCAAACATTTTCCATTAGTTTGTCAGCACTTGTTTCTTATAGATTGTGCAAAGAGAAATGTTAATGTAACATTTGATTGCAAATTAATGATGACAATCATAGACTAGTAAAATTCAAAAGAAATTTAAAGGTCACCTAATCTTAATCTCTCATTGTGCAGTTGAGTAATGAAGTTTAGCCTATTTAACAAAATGCTGCTAAAATATACATATATTTAATAAATATTAATTGATTACAAGGTATTGTGCTATATGGTGTGGGAAAGTTATAGAAATATATGACATTAATCACTTCCATTATCTCATTTAATGGCTTCTGTGTCAATTACATGACCATCTACTCTGAAAGCATGAATAGTACACATAAACAGACAACTAACTCACGGTGTAGGGTAAGTACTAATGTAACCACCTGAGGGGTTCTTCCTGCCCACTGCACAAAGGAGGACCATGGCATTGCAGTAAAGAAAGGTTGAATAGACACGACATCAACCATACCACATAGGAGATGGAGTTAGTATTCAAGTCAATCTCATTCAAGGCTCTTTCAAAGGCAGTTTGGGGGAAGGGCTGGGGATGGCCAGGTAATGGGTGCTTGATGCTGATTGGCTGGGGCAGAGATGAGCTCATAGGGGTCAATGCTGTCCTGTTAAGCTGAGTTGCTTCTGGGTGGGGCCACAGGATGTGAGGGAGGCCTTGGGTCCAGGTGGAGCCATGGGTGTCAGACATGCAAAAAGCCTGAAAAGATACCTCAAATTCCAACTTGCAATAGTGGTGTTGCATATCTTCCCATTCCTCTCCATCACCCTAGCCTCATGACCTTTCATTAGCTTCACAAAAGAGGTTTAGTTTAGGGGAAGGGCTATTATCATTTAAAGTATAAACTAAAGGCTGGGCGTAGTGGCTCACGTCTGTAATCCCAGCATTTTGGGGGGCCGAGGTGGGTGGATCACCTGAGGTAAAGAGTTTGAGACCAGCCTGGCCAACATGGTGAAACCCCATCTCTACTGAAAATATAAAAAATTAGCCTAGTGTGGTGGCATGAGCCTGTAATCCCAGCTACTTGAAAGGCTGAGGAAAGACAATTGCTTGAACCTGGGACGCGGAGGTTGCAGTGAGCTGAGATCGCACCATTGCACTCCAGCCCGGGCAACAAGGGCAAAACTCCAACTCAAAAAAAAAAAAAACCAAATCCAGGTGCAGTGGCTCACACCTGTAATCCCAGCACTTTGGGAGGCTGAGGTGGACAGATCACTTGAGGTCAGGAGTTCAAGACCAGCCTGGCTAATATATTGAAACGTCATCTCTACTAAAAGTACAAAAATTAGCAGGATGTGGTGGTGTGCACTTGTAATCCCAGCTACTTGGGAAGCTGAGGCAGGAGAATCGCTTGAACCCAGGGGGCAGAGTTTGCAGTGATCTGAGATCGCACCACTGCACCCCAGCCTGGGTGAGAGTGAAACTCTGTCTAAAAAAAAATATATACATATATATATATTTATATATATGTAAATATATATATATATATAAAATATATATATATAATCTAAATGTCTTCCAAATTTAGCTTAGCCTAAGCCCAGGAGCGATTAAGGGAAAGGCAAGATGGTGGGATGGGTTAAATCAGATCTCTTTCACTGCCATAATTTTCCTACTGTTGTAATTTTTGCAAAGGTGATTTCACTAAGTGGATGTTAGAGATGGAAGCATATAGGGAGGAAGGGAAGAGAGCAGTTACTCTGGGCTTGGCATTGAAAAGGCTTGAACATTATTACAAGACTTCATTGTATAGGATGTCAGTAACAGAATCAACCCTCCTTCTTCTTATCTGTTTTCCCTGAACATCAATTAAACAATCACAAATTCCCAGGAAGGGGTGGAGTAATGCTGAGATAGAATTCAGATGCGACACAATGCATCAGAAGAAAGGACTGATGGAAAAGATGGTTCAGAAGGCACAACCAGGTTTCACAGGTTGATTCCTTTGTGAAAAGCTCCACTCTGTCAACGTAGGCAGCAGGTATCCATTAAGACACTAAGAAAGTAAATCACTTTTCCGTTTATAATGGAGCAAATAAAGCTTATTACATTTCTCATTTTTCTTATTAACCCTAGTTTTTTTTTTTAAGTTGATTACTTGAATCCTCTAACATGTTAATACTATCTTTTTGGCTGTTGACCTTTTCTCTCCTACTTTCTCCTCATCAGTTAGAGCTAGAAATATATTCTCAAGGAAAACCATTTAAAGAGTCTTCCTCAAATCATAGTTTTAATTTACAAGAGTATAGACGTACCTGGACTTTCCTGTTGATTTTGTTTTCCAGGACAATGACCTAAAAGGCTGCGTAATTTGGGAGTAGTGTTCCCCTAAGCCTGTTTCTGACTGTGATGTGGTTAAATGGCCTGGGATTAAGAGAAGCAATTGTGTTTGTTTCCCAAGGTCATACACCTTGATTTAAAAAGCTATGAAAAATATCAGAGCATTTATCTGCAGGTCTGAAGATAAGGGTAATCCTTTAGGGAAATTGAGATTTTAATTATTGACTCCTTCACAGACTTGATGAATGTATTTCTCAGGCTCAGCCATCAAATCCTTTGCAGTCACTGCCTCTTTTTCTAACATCTCTACCAGTTGTATCTTACATTTTCAGGAATGCCAGCTGTTGGTAAATGTTGGACTGGAGAAATGCTAGAATTCAGGATCCAATCTTTTTTTTTTTAATGACTGGTCAGCTATGTTAATCAATCAACTCACCCTTTTCCATCTTCTCTTTTTAAAAATGAAATTGAGAATTGTAATCAGCACATACAGCAGCCTGGCAGGAAGGCAGGATCTAAACATATTTGAAGGAAAGAGGGTTGAAGTCTGAACTGGTGAACAACTCTTATCGGCCAGCTCTTTGATGCTGCTGCTGTCTAAATAATTTGTTTTCCAGGCGCTGACTCACCAAATTCCTCTTTAGAAGTGGTAATCTTTTTATTTTATTTTATTCTTTAATTATACTTTAAGTTCTGGGGTACACGTGCAGAATGTGCAGGTTTGTTACATAGGTATACATGTGCCATGGTCGTTTGCTGCACTCGTCAACCTGTCATCTACATTAGGTATTTCTCCTAATGCTATCCCTCCCCTAGCACCCCACCCCCTGACAGGCCCCAGTGTGTGATGTTCCCCTCCCTGTGTTCATGTGTTCTCATTGTTCAACTCCCACTTATGAGTGAGAACATGCAGTGTTTTCAAACAAAACATGTTCGGTTTTCTGTTCTTGTGTTAGTTTGCTGAGAATGATGGTTTCCAGTTTCAACCATGTCCCTTCAAAGAACATGAATTCACCCTTTCTTATCCCTTTCTTATGGCTGTACATGGTGTATACATGGCATATATGTGCCACATTTATGGCTGTACATGGTGTATACATGGTGCATATGTGCCACATTTTCTTCATCCAGTCTAACATTGATGGGCATTTGGGTTGGTTCCAAGTCTTTGCTATTGTGAACAGTGCTACAATAAACATACGTGTGCAGGTGTCTTTATAGTAGAATGATTTATAATCCTTTAGGTATATACTCAGTAATGGGATTACTGGGTCAAATGGTATTTCTTGTTCTAGATCCTTGAGGAATCGCCATACTGTCTTCCACAATGATTGAACTAATTTAAACTCCCACCAACAGTGTAAAAGTGTTCCTATTTCTCCACAACCTCTCCAGCATCTGTTGTTTCCTGACTTTTTAATGATTGCCATTCTAACTGGTGTGAGATGGTATCTCATTGTGGTTTTTATTTGCATTTCTCTATTGACCAGTGATGATGAGCTTCTCTTCATACGGTTATTGGCCACATAAATGTCTTCTTTTGAGAAGTGTCTGTTCATATCCTTCGCTCACTTTTCAATGGAGTTGTTTGTTTTTTTCTTGTAAATTTGTTTAAGTTCTTTGTATATTCTGGATATTAGCCCTTTGTCAGATGGGTAGATTGCAAAAATTTTCTCCCATTCTGTAGGTTGCCTGTTCACTCTGATGATAGTTTGTTTTGCAGTGAAGAAGCTCTTTAGTTTAATTAGATCCCATTTGTCAATTTTGGCTTTGTTGCCATTGCTTTTGGTGTTTTAGTCATGAAGTCCTTGCCCATGTCTATGTCCTGAATGGTATTGCCTAGGTTTTCTTCTAGGGTTTTTATGGTTTTAGGCCTTACGTTTAAATCTTTAATCCATGTTGAGTTAATTTTTGTATAAGGTTTAAGGAAGGGGTCCAGTTTCAGTTTTCTGCATATGGCTAGCCAATTTTCCCAACACCATTTATTAAATAGGGAATCCTTTCCCCATTGCTTGTTTTTGTCAGGTTTGTCAAAGATCAGATGGTTGTAGATGTGTGGCATTTTTTCTAAGGCCTCTGTTCTGTTCCACTGGAATCTTTAATTAGTAGTGATGCAAAAACAAAAATGTGAAAACTGGCCAGGTGCTGTGGCTCATGCCTGTAATCCCAGTATTTTGGGAGGCCAAGGCAGGAGGATAACACTGGAGCCCAGGAGTTCAAGACCAGCTTGGGCAACATAGAGAGATCCTGTCTCTACCAAAACTTAAATATATTAGCCTGGTGTGGTGGTGCATGTCTGTAATCTCAGCTACTTAGGAGGCTGTGGTAGGAGAGTTGCTTGATCCTAGGAGGGTGAGGCTGCAGTGAGCAGTTATTGTGCCACTGCACTCCAGCCTGTGTGACAGAGTGAGACCCTGTCTAAAAAAAAACCAAAAAAGTGAAAAGTATGATAAATAAGTTACTTTAAAACTTAGTGTGGCTTGGTGTGGTGGCTCACACCTATAATCCCAGAACTTTGGGAAGCTGAGGTGAGCAGACCCCTTGAGGCCAGGAGTTCGTGACCAGTCTGACCAACATGGTGAAACCCCAACTCTACTAAAAATATAAAAATTAGCCTGGCATGGTAGTACGCATCTGTAATCTCAGCTACTCAGGAGGCTGAAGTGAGAGGATCACTTGAACCTGGGAGGCGGGGATTGCAGTGAGCCAAGATCGTGCCACTGCACTCCAGCCTGGACGACAGAGCGAGACTCCGTCTCAATAAAAAACAAAACAAAACAAAACAAGACAAAACAGTGCTTGCGCATTAATGTCCAGTTTTGTGTTGAATGTGCCTTATACTTAGAATGCATCATAGCAGAGAGGAAAGAGCCACGTCTCCTACAACTGCTTTCCCCTGCAACAGGGGGACACAGTTCCAGGGTACAGTGGGGAGACTGTGTTAGGGTTTTGGAGTTGGAGGAAGGGTGGGAGTGTTAGAGATTGGGAGCTGCCATGATATACCCTCCTGTCTTTGGAGCTCTCTATGCCTTCTTACCTTGTTCTCCTTGTTCTTCCCATTGAAGTCATTTGTGATTGTTCGATCAATCTTTATTTTTGAGAGACCTTCTCTCCCTAAAACAATTATGCTTCCGGTCCTGATTTCCTAGCTGTCTCTTCTGTGACTGCTTGGCGACATAAGATAAAAGTCAGACCATTTCCCTGTCTGTTTGTACTCTGGGCTGACAAGATTCTATTATAACCTGTGTCTTTCTTTCAGAGATCATACTTATTGGGTATAATTAGATGGAGATAACTTGTCCTGAACTGCTGATGGGTTTTGGTGAATCCTGGTGCCAGGCCCCTGTTCGACCAGAGACATTTGCTCCCAAAGTGACCCAGGCCACAGAACACTATGTTTCCCTCTCCAAAGACAATGAGCCCATATGGGGTTTGACCCGGAAACCCTGACATCATTAGCATTGTTTCTGAAACAACTAAGCTAACCCAGTCAGAGCATTCATGATTTTGTTATGCTGGTTCAACTGCCCCAGAGAGGAAATAATTTCCGCCCAATTGCCTGTGAATTGCAGTTCCTCTGTCCAGCAAAAGGGATCGTGGTGTCTATTGGGGTCGCCGACCTGCCTCACAGGTCGTCTGTAACATCATAACTTTTTGGCTGGTTTTGCACCTGGTTGACAGGCACGTGACTGATAAGATTAGGAAGTTTTCTGAACTGTATCTCTTGATCTGCTTTTGGAATTAGTTAATATATTAATTATTAGGATTGCATTCCTATTGCTTATTACGGATCAAATTTGTGCCTTTTTAATTTCATTAATCAGAGAATACTTTTCAGGTCTTACCTTAGAAGTGAGAGTGTGTGCATCTTGTAATATTTGGTAGAATTTAAGTCTTTTGTGTAAATAGTTCTATAAGCATATTATATGCTTATTTTAATCAGTCTTTCTTAACTAGACCTTTCACATAATTTTACTGAAAAAATATATTTTACAGTACTCTTGGAAATTAATAGAGCTGTTGGATGTTGGAATGCTTGTTTGAGAGAGGAAGCTTTATGTTTACCCCTGTTGGGGCTCAGAAACTGATAGCCCAAAATGTGGCCCTTTGACATGATGAACTGAAGAAGCCTTGTGGTTTCTCAGACCTTCCTCCTCCGGCCTCTCATTTCTCTGTCTCTCTGAAAGCACAGGATGAAGTTGCTCTCTGAAGTTCTCTTATCTGCCTGAAGTCTGGACTTACTAAGGAAGAAAACAATCACCTCTGGTCCCTTCCCTTAGTTTTCATGAACTGAACTCATGGCAGGAGGAAAGACGAAAGTCTGACAACGCACCTGGACAGACTTTCGTCACAAATCATTATCTGCTCTGTGGGCCCAGTAGTCTTTGTCCCAGGCCACTGTGTATTCTTCAAGCCCATTGAATTCCCTAAAAATCATTTATTATCCCTCAAAAATCACCCACTCTTCCCCATCTCCCTTTCCCCTAAGAAAAAGGGTATAGAACCATCAGTACCCCATTGCATGATGTGGTGATCACTCCGTGATTTTCCCCTCCATGCACATGAATAAATTTGCAAGCCTTTTCTCCTATGAATTTGCCTTTTACAGTTAATTTTCAGCAAACCTTCGTAGGGTAAAGTGGAAGTTTTCCCTCAGCTCCTATACCCTCTTATCCCATGGAAAGTTTTCTATACGTGACACAAATGGTCCACATCAGAAAGGAGACCAGAGATATGGGAAGTGGAAAAGGGAGCAAGTACAGGGGTCTCTGTCCTTGCAAGATGTTCCGTGTGATTTACAAACTGTTAAGCAACAGAACCAGTCCCTGTTTCAATGTCACCGTGGGAAGGAGCCTGCTTGGTCCTTAAGAGGCCCGTGCACGTAGTTGAGCTCAATTAAAGTGCTTTGGTTCTGGCACCCATAAAATATGGCTCCAGGAGAGAATAGTTTAATGCAAAGCTGCCCTTGCCTTTCAAGGACAATGGATGGCATCCACTTGGCTGTGTTGGGAGCAAATTCTGCAAGGAACTTTGGGCATTCCGACCTTGTGCTACTTGGGTCCCTACAACTTTAGGAGGGTCCCTGTGCTCAGTGATGAATAATTCCCTGCCACATTACAGATGATCCTTACACTTCATCCAAGCCCAGTTGATTTTTCCAGCTAGCCACATTCTCTTTATCTCACCCACTGATCAGGGAGGCAGCAATGTTCCCATTTATCATATACTATTCTGTTCTGTCATTTAGAAATACTCATATGCTCGCCCAGGGAATATTGATAAGATAATTTCTCAGATCCGATAAACCGTGGTAAGGGAAGCATATCTTTCCAATGTGATAAAGAACTTTAGAATATGCGATAAAATGTGATAAAAGCATGCTGCAAGGCCATTATTGAGAAGAATGGTCTCCGATGTGCCCTGTAATCAGGGCTGGGGGGATGAAGAAGAAAGCTTATTGTTTGGATCTTTTCTTTCAAAAGATTGGAGCTTTTGAATTGTGTTTCTAAGGAAAAAGCTCTTTGAAGGTCATGTTTGAATTAAAAGCTGTATTTATTATCTGTTTCTCCATGTTATCTATATTACAATTGCATATCGAATTTGGACGCCCAGTATCTCCTGAAGGTAGTTATTTTCTAATTCCACTTTTATCCTGCCCTCTGGTGTAGTATTCGTCAGTGCATGTTTGCATCTGCTGGAGCTGATAAGGTAGAAAATGCTACCTGACTCACATTATTATAGTTCTCTCCTTCTCCCTCTCCTGGCTAGTTTGAAATGATTACTGCCTCTGGACTGTAGTCATCTGCTAAAAGATAACGTAACTTCCAGATGCAGCTCCTGTCTCAGCACTTTGAAGTGGTGAGTCTAGATATTACCAGTCACCAGGACATCCTAGTCACTGCAAACAAGAGAGGGGAAGGATCGGCTGGAGGGGGTAAGAGTGGGATTCAGATGAACAGGGTAGTTCTGTTTTCATAACCAAACACTAGGTGCTTACTTCCTGTTCAGATTTCAGAGCAGGCAATTAATCTCTTTCATTGGAGTATAGCCGCTCCACTGTTGGGAACTTGCTACTGTAGGTACTGGACTAGATAGGCACGAGGCCAAGAGTAACATCTTTAAACTGACCTCATTATGGAAACATCCTCTAAATGCTTACTATCTAATTTTTGCAATTTGAGAGAGAAGCAATAATATTAATAAATAAAAGGTAATATTTACTGAAAGTCCACCATTGGCCAAGCATTAGAGAAGTGAACCATTCAATCAGTGAAGCAGATCCTGCTAAAATCACCCTTTAGGCTGGGCACAGTGGCTCACGCCTGTAATTTCAGCACTTTGGGAGGTCGAACTGGGTGGATCACTTGAGGTCAGGAGTTCGAGACCAGCGTGGCCAACATGGCAAAACCCCATCTCTACTAAAAAATACAAAAAAATTAGCTGGGGGTGTTGGCCGGTGCCTGTAATTCCAGCTACTCAGGAGGCTGAAGCAGGAGAATCTCTTGAACCTGAGAGACAGAGGTTGCAGTGAGCCAAGATTGAGCCACTGCACTCCAGCCTGGGCAACAAGCAAGGCTCTGTCTCAAAAAATAAAAATAAAAAAATAAATAAATAAAATTACCATTTACGGATGATGAAGCAGAGCCTTGCTTAAAAGGATTAAGTGATATACTGGGCCAAGTGTGGTGGCTCACACCTGTAATTCCAGCACTTTGGGAGGCCGAGGCAGGTGGATCACGAGGTCAGGAGTTCAAGACCAGCCTGGGCAAGATGGTGAAACACTGTCTCTACTAAAACCACAAAAATTAGCCTGGCGCAGTGGCAGGTGCCTGTAATCCCAGTTACTAGGGACGCTGGGGCAGGAGAATTGCTTGAACCCAGGCAGCAGATGTTGCAGAGAACCGAGATTGCACCACCGTACTCTAGCCTGGGCAACAGAGTGAGAGTTTCAAAAAAAAAAAAAAAAAAAGTGATATGCCCAAGGTCACACAGCTCTGTGGGAGGCAGGAGTGGTTGAGGCCACGCAGTCCTTATTTTTTTTCTCAGTAGGTTTCTCTTACAGCACTGTATTAGGATTCTCCAGAGAAACAGAACAAGAGGCTATTGCCTTAGTCCATTTGGGCTGCTAAAACAAAACTGTTACCAGCTGGATGGCTTATAAGCAACAAACACTTATTTCTCATGGTTCTGGAGGCTGGGAAGTTCAAGATTGTGGTACCGACAGATTTGGTGTCTAGTAAGGGCCCACTTCCTAGTTCGTTGATGGCCTCATTTCCCTGTGTCCTCGTGTTACAGTACATAGTTAGTCAGACATGAGCAAGTCCAGAGAGGCCCCCCCTCCACCCACCACCAGGGATGTCAGGCAACCAGCAGGCAGTTGTTAAGCCATCTTGCTAAAATAATAATTGGTCACAGCTGGTGCCAGGGAAAGGCAGTCTCCCAATAGATAGAAACACCTAAAACCGGTGATCAGCAGCTTCCCAATAAGATCTCAGGAGTTGGGTGAGTGGGCTCAAGCATGCGCACTAAGAGGCAAAATGGCAGCCTGGTAAGGGAAGAACGCCTCAAGTCAGCATGTGCACAGTTTTGGTAAACATACTGTGCATGTGGCCCCTCCCAAGTGCTGGCAGGCCACCGCACATGTGGACAGCCCACCCCAAGGGAAGAATCAGGTGAAAAGGGACACAAACACCACCACTGCCATCCCCTCTGCCCCAAGCATGCCAAGGGATAAAACTCCAAGTCAAAGGTCAAACAGTGCACTTGATCTCCCAAGTCGCCTGCTTGGCCCTTTTCCATGTGTGCTTTACTCCCTTTCATTCCTGCTCTAAAGCTTTTTGTTTTGTTTTGTTTTGTTTTAATTCTTTGACAGAGTCTTGCCCTGTCACCCAGGCTAAAGTGCAGTGGCACAATCTTGGCTCACTGCAATCTCTTCCTCCGAGGCTCAAGCTATCCTCCCACCTCAGCTTCCGGAGTAGCTGGGACTACAGGCATGCCCCGCCACACACACGAGATATCTATCTATCTATCTATCTATCTATCTATCTATCTATCTATCTATATATATATATACATATATATAAAAATAATAGAGACAGGGTTTTGTCATGTTGCCCAGGCTGGTCTCAAACTCCTGAGCTCAAGCGATCCACCTGCCTTGGTCTCCCAAATTGCTGGGATTACAAGTGCATACCACTGTGCCAGGCCTGCTCTATAGCTTTTTAATAAACTTTCTCTCCTGCTCTAAAACTTGCCTTGGTCTCTCCTTCTGCCCTATGCCCCTCAGTCGAATTCTTTCTTCTGAGGAGGCAAGAATTGAGGTTGTTGCAGACCCATAAAGATTCACCCCCAGTAACACTCACCTGGTGGAAGGGGCAAGAGATCTCTCTGGGGTCTCTTATATATGATCACTAATCCCATTCACAATGGCTGCACCCTCATGACCTAATCACCTCCCAAAGCTCCCTCCTTCTAGTGCCATCACCTTGGGGAGTAGGATTTCAACATATGACTTCTGGAGATCACAAACATGGAGACCCCAGCAGATCTATAGAGATAGATAGAAAGAGATGTATTAGGAGAGATTAGCACATGCAATGATGGAGGCTGAGAAGTCCCAGTCTGCGGTCCGAAAGCTGGCAGCCAAGGAAAAGTGGGGGTGTGGTTCCAGTCCAAACCCTATGGCCCAAGAACTGGGAGCTGGTGGTGTAGGTCCCAGCCTGAGTGTGAAGGACTGAGAGCCAGGAGCACTGGTACCCAAGGCAGGAGAAGATGGTCGTCCCAGCCGAAGCAGAGAGTGTGCATCTGTCCTTCCTCCACCTTTTGGCTCTATTCAGGCCTTCCACGGATCCCATGATGCCTGCTCACATCGATCAGGGTGATTTTTATTCAGTCTACCAATTCCAGTGCTACTTTCTACCAGAAACATCCTCACAGACACTCCCAGAAATAGTATTTTACCAGCAATCTGGGCATCTCTTAGCCCAGTCAAATTGACACATAAAATTAACCATCACAGGTATCTTCTTTGTATGGAAGCAATAATATTCCTTCTCAACACGACCTTTCATAGGTCTTAAAGGAATCCAAGGGATCGGCTAATAGGTTTATAAGAATCTGGGGAAAATGTATAGTGAAGTCAGGAAAGTATTCTAGCCTATTCCTTATCCCCATATCCCTCTACCAGATACTGCAGTAGAATGATTACCTTAATCCCCCATCAGCTGAGGGATATTAACTGCTCATTATAAAACTTAAACACGATGTGAACTAAAAATTGTTTCTAAAACAGACTTGCCCCTTTGTTACTAATATGCCTCTTTTCCCTCCATGTTTCTTTTTTGTTTGTTTGTTTGAGATGCAGTCTCGCACTGTCGCCCAGGCTGGAGTGCAGTGGCTCCATCTCAGCTCACTGCAAGCTCTGCCTCCCAGGTTCACGCCATTCTCCTGCCTCAGCCTCTTGAGTAGCTGGGACTACAGGCACCCGCCACCCCACCTGGCTAATTTTTTTGTATTTTTAGTAGAGACGGGGTTTCACCGTGTTAGCCAGGATGGTCTCAATTTCCTGACCTTGTGATCTGCCCGCCTCGGCCTCCCAAAGTGCTAGGATTACAGGCAAGAGCCACCGCACCCTGCCACCCTCCATGTTTCTTAATCATCACTGGCTAAAATTAATAATTAATTAGAATGGCTATTGAGCACGGATTATGTGGCAGGCCACACGATCTAAATGAATTCCCATTTTACAGATGAGGAAATTGAGGCCTGTAGAAGTTAAGTGACTTCCAGTCCTGGATATGAGATATCTGACTCTTGTGTCTGAGACAGCATCAGGTCTGTCCTGCTGGGCTGAGGGAGCAGACACCACTGTGATGGTGACAGCATACATGCATTGATGTGGGCAGAATGTCAAATACAGCATTCCTTTGGTTCCGATAACTGTTTTCCTTAATGTATTTGATATGGTTTGGCTGTGTCCCCACCCAAATCTCGTCTTAAATTGTACCTTCCATTATTCCCGTGTGTTGTGGGAGGGACCTGGTGGGAGATAATACAATCTTGGGGGCGGTTTCCCCCAGACTGTTCTCATGGTAGTGAGTAAGTCTCACAAAAGCCGATGGTTTTACAAGGGGAAACCCCTTTCACTTGGTTCTCATTCTCTCTCTGTCTGCTGCCACGTAAGACGTGCCTTTCACCTTCTGCCATGATTGTGAGGCTTCCCCAGCCACGTGGAACTGTGAGTCCATTAAACCTTTTTCTTTATAAATTACCCAGTCTAGGGTATGTCTTTATCAGCAGCCTGAAAACAGACTAATGCAATATGTATATTTTTTCCTTTGAAAGTGTGGGCACCCGGAAGAACAGATAAAATTTCTACAATGTTGTGGATGAACTTAGGAGTATTATGTTAAGTGAAATAAGCCAGGCACAGAAGGATAAATACTGCATGATCTCAATTACATGTGGAATCTAAAAAATATGAACTTGTAGAAGTAGAGAGTAGAACGGTGGTTACCAGGGGCTGACAAGGGGGGTTTAGGGAAATGTTGGTCAAAGAATACTAAATTTCATTTAGATAGGAGGAATAAGTTCAAGACATCCATCGTAAAACATGGTGACAAAGAGCACGGTGGCTCACGCCTGTAATCCTAGCACTTTGGGAGGCCAAGCGGGCGGATCACCTAAGGTCAGGAGTTCAAGACCAGCCTGGCCAACATGGTGAAACCCTGTTTCTGCTAAAAATACAGAAATTAGCCGGGTGTGGTGGCAGGTGCCTGTAATCCCAGCTACTCGGGGGGCTGAGGCAGGAGAATCGCTTGAACCCAGGAGCGGAGGTTGCAGTGAACCAAGATCATGCCACTGCACTCTAGCCTGGGCGACAGAGCGAGACTCCATCTCAAAAAACAAACAAACAAACAAAAAACTATGGTGACTATAGTTAATAACAATGTATTATATTCTTGAAAATTGCTGAGAGTAGATTTTAAGTGTTCTTACCACAAAAATAAGTATGTGAGGTAATCTATATTAATTAGCTCAATATAGTCATTCTGCAGTATGTATATTTCAAAATAACAAGTTGTACATGATAAGTATATACAGTTTTTATGCATCAATTTAAAATACATTTTGAAAATAAAAAAAAATTTCTGCAATGTTGGTGAGGATTTTGAGCTTTACAAGAAACCCCACATTTCTTTTGATTAAGGTGGAATTAAGATTCTTCTGGAATTTCTAGTGTGTAGGGACACATACAGTCACAGAAGGTATGTCTTGGTTTAGGTAGAGAAAACACACAAAGACTGAGTTCTTGTAGAGCTACCACGTGGCACAATGAGTGCTACCAATGAATGCTGTGGGTTCTGGGTCTCCTGTCTATATATTCAGATGAGCTTGGCATGAGCATAAGACCCAGGAGGTTTCTAGAGGACACATCACTGGATCAGAGGGATTTTAGTTCCTGCCTTCCCATTCTGTTTTTGCCTTTAACTCAGAACACCATAGCAGGGGGAAAAATGAAGCAGAGGGGGAAAGGAGTGTATCCTTCCAAAATACACACGACCCTCCTGGCCCCTGCACACCAAGCATATCTTGCTCTATGATCCAAGGAAGCTCACAGAGTCTAGAAAACCCACTGAGAGAAAAATATCTTCAAAGAAAAGTCAGTTCTCAGAAGAATGTTAAAGAGTGAAGAGTGAAGCAGAAAAAAAAGTTCTTGCATTTTTATTTTCCTTTTGGATTTCTATTTTTCTTTGCTTGGGTTACAGGGAATGCTACCTTTCTTCTATGCGTTATAATTATTTGTTCATTTGCCTTTGATTCTTAGGGTTTCTAGATATAAGGTTTAGAAATGCAAAGTATTTGTTATCAGTGTTGATCATTACTTGTTTTTTTTTAAATTTTCGGAAGTATTCATGTTCATCTTGTTTACATATTTTCCCCATTAGCTCATTTCTGTTTTAATGGCAATTTTACTTCTTCATTTAAATTTTTCTGATCCTAACTACTGAATGGGTTGCTTTAATGAAAAATGGAAATAATTACTGCTTCGACTCAAGAGAGTGTCTTTATTTCACTCAGAGCTGTCACTTTTACTTGTAAGATAAGATGATTTTAAATGGAATGAAATTCTGTAAAACTGGCTGCGCTAAGAAATATTGACATGCAGTGACGGGAGGAAACTTCCATTTCTGATTGAAATCAAAACATTGAGCATATATTTTGCTAGCCTTGAATATAATTTTTAAAAATAACACCACAAAATTCTCATTCTCTCCTCTCTTCACTGGAACTTATTTAGTCATCTGGCCTGATAGCATTTACAATGCTGAAAAAGTTAATAGAAAATAAAAATACAATTTTGGAGATGTGCAAGACCCACTGTGATAACCTAAGTTAACGTAAATTGTCATGATGATGCCCAAACAGTAACTTCTACATTTTGATTTATTTATTGTGCACATTGCTCATAGCTAGCTCCCAGGCCAGCAATTGTAGGCAAAGGACCAAAGAAACCAAGTACAGAGTTTTCACTTATGGAGGGAAATCATAAGTCATTCACAATTTTTGCAATGATTTGTCATGAAGCTTAGCAAATGTGTTAGAGTGTGTTAATGGCCGAATATATCAACTCAAACTTTTTTTAGAGTGATTGTTACTCTACTCAAATTATTGTAAGGCAAGATGGAATGAAAAAACATATAACCCCGAGAGCTTAAATTTAACCATTCAAAAGATGCTATTGATGAGCATAGTAATGATTTTTTTAAAAATATATTTTTGAGACAGGGTCTTGCTCTCTCATCAAGGCTGAAGCACAGTGGCATGATCACACTCCCTGCAACTTCAACCTCCCAGGCTCAAGTGATCCTCCCACCTCAGCCTCTCAAGTAACTGGGACTCAAATGATCCTCCCACCTCCGCTTCTCAAGTACCTGGGACTACAGGTGTATACCACCACACCTGGCGAATTTTGTTTGTTTCTTGTAGAAATGAGGTCTTACTATGTTGCCCAGGCTGGTCTGGAACTGCTGGGCTCAAGTAATCCTCTCACCGCCACCTCCCAAAGTTCCGGGATTACAGTAGGAGCCACTGTGCCTGGTCAAAAATGTTATTCATTTATATATTTTATTGCTATATAATGTTTGTACAGATTTATAGGGTACATGTGACATTTTGTTACATGTGTAGAATGTGTAATGATCAAGTCAGGTGTTGAGGGCTGCCCATCACCTTGAGTATCTATCATTTCTATGTATCGGGAATATTTCAAGTTCTCTTTTCTAGCTATTTTGAAATATACAGTACATTGTTGTTAACTGTAGTCACTTGACTCTACTATCAAACATTATAACTTATTCCTGGCCAGGCACAGTGGCTCATGCCTGTATTCCCAGCACTTTGGGAGGCTGAGGTTAGTGGATCACCTGGGATCAGGAGTTTGAGACCAGCCTGGCCAACGTGGTGAAACCTTATCTCTACTAAAAATACAAAAATTAGCCAGGCGTGGTGGCACACTCCTGTAATCCCAGCTACTGGGGAGGCTGAGGCAGGAGAATCACTTGAACCTGAGATGCAGAGGCTGCACTGAGCTGAGATCGTGCCACTGCACTTTACCCTGGGCGACAGAGTGAGACTCTGTCTCAAAACAAAAACAAAAACAAAAAACAAACAAACAAAACTTATTCCTCCTAAATTTTTGTTTGTACCCATTAATCAACCTCTCTTTATCCCCCCACCTCCCATCCTTCCCAACCTCTGGTATTTATCATTCTACTCTCTACCTCCATGAGATCAACTTTTGTAGCCCCCATATGTAAGTGAGAACACATGATATTTGTTTTTCTGTGCTGGGCATATTTCACTTAACATAATGACCTCCCAATTCGAGTAATGATGTTTATTTTAAAGCAAAAAATTAAAATTCACTGGCATTGGATTTTGGGGAGCTAGGCCAATTATTTCCCAGAAATTTTAGAGATTTTGCAATTTAATTTGGCATGTTTTACACCTTTAGTTATAATAATAACTCAAGAAGACAACTTTAGTTATGCAAGCTTGTTTCCTCGGCCTTCTCTCTTCCACACCCTTGGCATGTCCTCCGTTGTAATTCCCATTGTCCTACCCATTTGGGACACATTGTCTGTTGATTGAAAAAGAAGCAATAGCAAATTTGGGAGCCAGCACATGTAGCCTCAGCTCCTAGGTGATCCCTGAGTCTTTTCCTGCAGCCCTGCCTTTGGAACTTCTTTCCTCGGCTTGCGAGTAGTCCTGGAGTATGGGAGAGACTTTGATCCCAGGAAGAAATTTTTTCTACAAGAGCATTACACAGGTAACTTCTCTTTAACACTCTGTTGCTTTTTGCTCTAAGACCAGAAGATGACTTGGAGGATTTTTTTTTTTTTTTTTTGAAATGAAGTCTCACTATGTTGCCCAGGCTGGCCTTGAACTCCTTGGATCAAGTGATCCTCCTATCTCAGCCTCTTGAGCAGCTGGGACTACAGGCACATGCCAGCATGCCCAGCTAACCTGGAAAATGTTTAAGAGTATATTTGTAGCCGCTGTTATTTGAAAACCTTCAGCAAAACTCCTTTGTTAGTAATATACACATTAAAATTACTCCATTTTCCTTTGGAGCCCAAGCCATTCATTGCTTTGCACCCTCTTAGCTATGATTGGCTTCAGGGTAACATACCACCTAGGATGACTCGAGTTAATACAGGAGTTTTTCAGGAATCATGGAAAAAGAACCTCTACCTCTCCACTGGCTTTGGGACTGTGAAGAGAGGTGAATGGAAATCTTGCAGAACTTCAAGTTGAAGAGAGAAACTAGATCCTGAGGACATTATATGAGCCCCTGTATCAGACCTCAACTGGAGCCTGAACTACTCTTGGCTTTTTAAATGATATGAGTCAATAAGTTATCTTTTATTATTTTTCTAATCTGGGATGAATTTTATGTCTCTTCCCACCACAAATCCTAGCTGATCCATTCAGGTGTGATTTGGACAGCAAGCAATGGGGCAAGGACAATTCAATCTCAGGCAATAGACTGTGAACAAAAGTGCAAAGTGTAGAAAATGCAGGGCGGAATTCTCAACAAAATCCCAGCCCAGCTGGTTGCCCTGGCAACAGCCGCCCTCCTTAAAAAAATAGAGAGAGAGAAGAAAATGCAAGGCCTGCTGAGGGTAGGTGGATGGCAACAAATTAGTGAAATTTTAGGGTACATGAACGAGAATAGAAAACAAGTATAGAAATTTTGGTTGAGATTTTGGTCATGGAAGATTTTGAAACCTAGGTCAAAAATTTATTTGAAAGAATAAGAAAAAAGGGGAATATTCTTCTTTATTGTGGAATATTATTCTTCAGAGTAAAATAAATGAATCTAAACTTCATGAAAATTGGTGAATGGATTTAATGAGGCAACTAGGCTGGGCAGAGTAGTTTGACATTTGCAGTAAGGCATAGACCATTAATAAGGTACATGTTGTAATCACCCTACAGAACCAGGATGAATCTTAGCCAAAATTTGACTTGGATGTTGAGACCGATGATGCCACACACACACTAAGAAGGTATGAGAACGTTTTTTTACTCACATAATGAGGCTTTCTAGGGGAGAGTAGAGTGGCTCCCAAGCAAGTCTAAAATTGGCTTGAGAGAACAGCAAAGAAAAGTGGCTTGGAGTTTTTATGGTGGTTAGTGAGTTGGGCAAGAGAAAGGGTTGTTTGCCTATGGTTTGAACTTCCCTCCAAGACCAAAAGAAGAGCACCTGGGATTTTTTGGCCCCTTTCATAGATAGATGGATGTATAGATAGACAGATGAATGGATGGATGGATGGATGGATGGACAGATAAATGGATGGATAGTTAGATGGATGAATAGATAGATGGAGAAAAGGACAGATGGATAGAAGCATAGATAATTGAATAGATAAATGGATGGATAGATTGATAGATGCATGAATAGACAGATGGATAGATGGATGGATACATAGATTGGATAGATGGATGGATAGATGGACGGATGGACGAATAGATAGATGAATAGATGGATAAAAGGATAGACGTAGATAGATGTATAGATGTAAGGATAAAGCTGTTTGACATGTTGTGGATGAGAAGGCTTTGGAACACTCATGGATATACCCTATGGTCAGAAGCTTGGGTTTGAGGTTGAGACATATATTTAGTAATTATCCTCATATACGCCATGGAAGTAGATAAAATGGCCAAAAGGGAAGTATAAGAGAGATAAGATAAGCAAAATGAAAATTTTGGGAGCTTTCCAAAGAATGAAAGTAAATTAAATGTGCCCAGAGAAGAATGTAGAGAAAAAAGAAGGGACGGAGCATGTTTCACGGAGGAGGGGTAACTGTTTTATAATGATGCAGAGAAGTAAAGGGGACGGGAATTAGAAAACTAGAGTACTCATGGGTCATTGGTTATCTCGGAGTCAAGAGATGCTTTTGGGAGGATGTAAGATGGAGCAGGGACCTCTCTTAAGGGACCACATTCCCTTTCCCCGGCATGAAATTAAGGAAAACCTTGAGTTCCTTCAAGAAAAATTTCAGGCACCTAGCTAGCCCTGAGAAATAAATAGGCAACTTGGTAAGCAAGAGGGTGATACTAGCTGAAAACAATAGCAAAGGACGTTAGAGTCAGGAGATGTTTTGTTCTCCAGAGAAACTAAAGATCACATCTTAGCATACATTCCTAAGTTGTTTTTCAGAACCCTAAAACCTCACTAAATGGATCTGCTGGTACATAGACCTCAGATAAGTGGAGACTGAGGACTTGAACTCTGACCACCGGTTTTGTTTTTCTAAATTTTTCCTGAGGGGCCTGGAGGATGTCATGCCCACCAACCAGAGAGAACTTTTTTTTTTCTGCTGACCCCAAATATTCAGACAAAGCTTCATCTCCTTAACCAATCACAAGTCGGAAATTTTCTGCCTTTGCGTCTCCCATAACCTGTGAACCTGTTTTTGAGATGTCTTACCTTTTTAAGTCAAACCAACGTGCAACCTCCATGTATGAACTTACGACTTTGGCTGTAACTTCTGCCTCTCCGCCTTTACAAACCCTTACCTGTGAGCAATCAGGGAATTTGGGTCTGGAGCATGAGTTGCCTGATTCTTCCTTCCTGGGGCCCTGCAATCAATGCCTCACCTTGTCTCTCTGCAATCCCAAAGTCAGTGTTTGGCTTTGGTGCTTTGGGCAGGTGGATCTATGTTCAGTTCAGTAACAGTTGTAGGTATAGTCAGTTTAGAAAGAGCAGAGGAATGAGTGATTGGCAGACAGAAATTAGTCTTTCAAAAATTTTGTAGGGAATGATGGTAGATAAATAAAGTAGTGAAATGAAGACATACAGATTTTATTTTTATTGAGATAAAATATATGTATATAATTTACTATCTTTGTCATTTTAAGTGTACAGTTCAGTGGTAATAAATACATTATATTCTTTCTTCTCCCTTCATTTTTCCTTCCCCTTAAGAAATACAAGTTTTTAAAATCAATGAATGGGCAGATTTGAGAACGTTTTGTGGATAGTGGGGAAATGGATTCAGGCAAGAGAAATAAATTATAGAAAAAGGAAAGAAAAGAATGAGTTTAGGTAGAAGTAAAAAAAAAGCAGAAAAGATTGGTTAGGGATATGAGAATTGGGATTAGTTCTATAAAGAGAAGAGATACTTCTTTTGAAATTATAAGTATTGAAGAAAATGTGGGTAGAGGAGAGAGGATACGGGATGGAGGGGACACAATTGTGTGTGTGTGTGCATATGTGTGTGTGCGTGCATGTGTGTGTGTGTGTGTGTGTAAAGTGTAGGCCTAAGCATTTCTAAGAAAGTTAGGACCAGGGCCATGGCTTGAGGCCAAGAAAAGGGACTTGAATAGTGACTTTGGGAAAGGTTATAAAAAGTAAAAAGGATTATAAATCATTCCTCTATAAAGACACATGCACATGTATGTTTACTGCAGCACTATTTACAAAGACTTGGAACCAACCCAAATGCATATCAATGATAGACTGGATAAAGAAAATGTGGCATGTATATACCATGGAATACTATGCAGCCATAAAAAAGAACGAGTTTATGCCCTTTGCAGGGACATGGATGAAGCTGGAAACCCATTCTCAGCAAACTAACACAGGGACAGAAAACCAAACACCGCATGTTCTCGGAGTTGAACGATGAGAACACATGGACACAGGGAAGGGAACATCACACACTGGGGCTTGTCAGAGGGTGGGGGGCAAGGGGAAGGAGAGCATTAGGACAAATACCTAATGCATGCGGGGCTTGAAACCTAGATGACGGGTTGATAGGTGCAGCAAACCACCACGACACATGTATACCTATGTAACAAACCTGCACATTCTGCACATATATCCCAGAATTTAAAGTAAAATTTTAAAGAAAGTAAAAACGAATTGCCAAGCAAAGCAACAGTAGCAAATAAACGGTAATTATATGCATTTTCAATGAATCACACAGAAGATTCCTCTGATCTCCAATAGCAGTCAGCAGTTAAGAAAGAGCAGTTTACGGGGCCTACCTAGGGTTAGGAATGCAGAACATGAGTAGACAGAAAGGCGAGTGAATGAGGGAGTGGACGATTCTATAAAACAATTCATTGACACAAGGGAGGTGGGGAAACGAGATGCCGGGAAGCGAGGTTAGGAGGGACAGTTGGTCTGGAAGAAAAGAGGAAGAACCTGGGCACTAGTGTTCATCAGTAAAGAACGACTCTAGTGTCCCTTTAAGAGTGAAGTGAATGGGAGGACAGGAAGGCACAGGAGTTCCGTGACTTGGGACTTATAGAAACCAGAGTGGTTCAGAGTGTTGATGTGGTTCTAATCTGAATAATGAAGTACAGATAAATATTTCCAGGGTTGAAAATGTTGAAGAACTGCAAAGAGTTGTCATTGGCCTTGTTGGAGGAACAGAAGAAAGGAACGTGAGCTGGATGGCCAAATATGGAAGAGGGTCCCAGGTCTTAGCCAGTGCAGGCAAAGTAGTGAGCCTACAGAGGCTTCAGGCTGAGCACAGTTAGGATAATAAGCACAAAAGGAGTCCCATCACAGTAAAGTTTACACGTGGGGGGTCAATGGTTACAGAAATGAGGCCAGCTGAGAAGTGTTAGTTATACGGGATGGGGATGGAAAAGGGCTCAGGAGGCTGCATCTTGTCGGTACAGGAGCGTACTCAGTTAACTAACACCCAAAGGCAAAGGTCCGAATGGCAGAGCCACAGGTCTTGGTTTGGACTGCTAGGTTCTAGGACACTTGAAGCTAAAATAGCGGGAGTGAGGATGTGACATGGGGCAGGCCAAGGAGTGACAGACTTCTGAAAACTTGTTCCAAAGTTTACTCCATCAACACTTAACTGAGGCTCTACTCAATATGAACTGGTGATAATAATAGCAATAATATGAGTAAAATGATGCTTATCATTTGCTTTTCATAAGCCAGACACCATATCAAGTGTTGTCTCATTTATTCTTTCTTACAACCCTAGGAGGAAGAACTATTATTAGCCCATTTTATGGGAAAAGGAACTCAGATTCAGATTCAAACTAAGTGCCCTGCTAAAGGCCACGCAGCCAGAAGGAACCCTGACTCCAAGCCCATCAGATGGCTTTGCATGTATTAGGTAGCAAAGAAATGGTGATGAATGCCACAAGGTCTATTTTTTTTTTTTTTTTTTTTTTTGAGATGGAGTCTTGCTCTGTTGCCCAGGCTGGAGTGCAGTGGCACGACCTCGGCTCACTGCAAGCTCTGCCTCCCGGGTTCACGCCATTCTCCTGTCTCAGCCTCCCGAGTTGCTGGGACTACAGGCACCCACCACCATGCCCGGTTAATTTTTTGTATTTTCAGCAGAGACGGGGTTTCACTGTGTTAGCCAGGATGGTCTTGATCTCCTGACCTTGTGATCTGCCTGCCTCGGCCTCCCAAAGTGCTGGGATTACAGGCGTGAGCCACTGTGCCCGGCCAACAATGTCTATTTTAAAGAAAGCCAGGCCGGGCGCAGTGGCTCATACCTGTAATCCCAGCACTTTGGGAAGCTGAGGCGGGTGGATCACGAGGTCAGGAGTTCAAGACCAGCCTGACCAATGTGGTGAAACCCTGTCTCTACTAAAAATACAAAAATCAGTCAGGTGTGTTGACGCATGCCTATAATCCCAGCTACTTGGGAGGCTGTGAGGCAGGAGAATCGCTTGAACCCGAGAGGCGGAGGTTGCAGTGAGCCGAGATCGCGCCACTGCACTCCAGCCTGGGTGACAGAGTGAGACTCTGTCTCAAAGAAAAAAAAAAGAAAGAAAGCCATATGTCATGTGACTCTTTTCATATGAATCACTGATTTTGGAGTGCTTAGCAATATCTTTAGCAATATTTGCCTTGACATGATTAGCCCTCTTTAATTTTATCCCTTAGCTAATGACATTCTAAAATATCCCTTTGTCTCTGCTGTTTGAAAATCCAATTCACTCTGTAGACTGACTATAAACGCAAATAAGAGCATTGATTTCTTCATTGCATCACCTCTAGAGAACAATTCATAAAGCACGGAAGTTCTAACTAGTCAATCAATAGTCACTACTTAAATCAGAGACTCCAAGAGTAGTCTATTATTAAAAAGTGTTCATCTGACAACGACATTAAATGAAAATAAAGGCACCGATCCAGCCCATGATCCTCATTCAGCTTCAGGAAATCGTCTGGAAGAAAGTTCTGTTAACCATATTTAGACCTTCTCCTGTTTTTGGTTCCTGCCTGAGAAGAAGTAGGGAAAATTCAATTTCTCAAAATACGGTGAAGCAGGGCAATCGACAGGGCTTTCCCTTTATAATGATTGCACAAGCCAAAACTGGCATTCAGCTACTTCTCTCATTTTGGCCTGTGATTGACTATAGGATAAATACAGATCTGTATGAAACATCAACTGCGTAGACCAGGCAACCAGTCTCATTAGTTATTGGAAATGCTATTATCTTACCAGTTTTGTAATCCTATTTCTGGAGTTAGTTATGTAATTTTACCCGAGACAGAAAAGTCAACTTTGACCCGAATTACATTAAAAATGGGGCTTTCACTAAATCAGGAAGAAAGATTTCTTCCTTCTTAATGAATCATAATTGGATGGCTGTAATAGGTGCAAGTGTGAAAATGGATGTGGAAGAGGAAATAAGAATGGCATTCATTATTTCTAGTAATTCAAATATTTAAAATGATACTTTATCACTCCTAGTTGGGGCTTCGGTTGGACCATTATTCATGTTTGCGTATTACTGTGTTCTTAAATTCGAGATGTTTTTTATGCCGGCAGGGATTTTTGATGACTAGTTCTCAAAATAGATAAGAATCTGCAGCTCAGGAAGATGTGATTTGCTCCGGGTCTCACAATGGCAAGTTCACGAGTTGAACTTTGGTTCTTTGTCCAAAATTCATTCCATTCTGCTCTCCTCTTTCCCCAGGAATGATTCTGAAAACAGAGTGTTGCTATGGCAATGAGGTCCATGGAAATTCTGTTGTTCTTTCTCATCAATAAGATACAGGCCAGGCTTGGTGGCACACACCTGTAATCCCAGCACTTTGAGAGGCCAAGGTGGGAAGACTGCTTGAGCCCAGGAGTTCAAGAGCATCCTGGGCAACATAGCAAGACTCCATCTCTACAAAAAATAATAAAAAAAATTTACTCAGGCATGGTGGCATGTATCTGAAGTCCCAGCCACTCAGGAGGCTGAGGTGGGAGGATTGCCTGAGCCTGGGAGGTCAAGGCTGCAGTGAGCCATGATGGCGCCATAGTACTCCAGCCTGGTCAATAGAATAAGACCTTGTCTCAAAAAAAAAAAAGAAAAAAAGAAAAAAAGAAAAATTAAAAAATTGGGAAGCCTAGGCAGGCAGATCACAAGGTCAGGAGTTCAAGACCAGCCTGACCAACATGGTGAAACCCTGTCTGTACTAAAAATACAAAACTTAGCCAGGTGTGGTGGTGCATGCCTGCAATACCAGCCACTTAGGAGGCTGAGGCAGGAGAATCACTTGAACCCAGGAGGCAGAGATTGCAGTGAGCTGAGATTGTGCCATTGCACTCCAGCCTGGGTGACAAAGCAAGGCTCTGTCTAAAAAAAAAAAAAAAAAAAAAAAAAAAAAGGAAATATGTCTATAATGTCTGTAGATGAGGTAGACATGCAGAGATGGAGACCAATGAGTTCGCCTACAGTCTACAGTTTCCTCTTTTCCTTAGTTCATGGAAATTTCCTTTAGGTAAACAAAAAACAAAATGTAACTTATCTTGCTCTCTGTACTTTGAAAAAGCACAGGAAACAGAAATTCTACATCATGGATTGCAGATTGCAATTCTACGTTAAATTGAAGTGCTTATTTTAATATATACTTATAACTAGTAGATACTTTTATGCTTAACATTTAGTGGTTTCCTGATTTTCCAAGAGTCAGCTTCCACTTTGGCAGAGTTGGTGGAGATGCACATGGAAGACAGTGAAGGGTACTATGCAGAGTTCTCGTGGCCCTCACGCCACTCTAGATGGCCATCAGGACCAGGCATCTCAAAATCAGAGAATCACATTTCTTTTCCTGGGATGTTAAGAATCCCTTATTAATGTGCAAATACCCCTGGAAGAGTTAATACTGAATCTTTTGCTGTATTAGCTATAAACACCTCAGTAAGTAGGGGTCTAGGTCTAGATTTCCCCATGAGGGGAAATTTGTACTGAGAAGTAAGGCACCAAAGATCAGTTTTGCCTATTTAACAATTTTGCCCAGAGCCGAACCTGAGTATTACCATGATTAATAAGTGAAAACAGCTTAAATTCCATTAGTAACATGATTCTAGCCAATAGATTTTAGACCAAGAGGGGCTGCTATTATAAATCATTATTATTTTATGATCAGAAAATGAATACACCGATGTTTACAGCGAGGGAAAATGCAAGCCAGCTTTTACCTTTCCTCCTGAGGAAAGTGATGAACTGGTAGGCATTTAGAAAATGCTGAATATCTTCTGGGTCTAACCAGCTCCATCCCCTCCTAAAATGTCCATATGTGAATTAGGCACTTTGCAGATATTTTTTTAACTCAGCATTTGCTGATCTTAAAAGAATTGCTAGTGTAAAAATATACCTTGCATTTGAAAGAAACCTGTTACAAGGAAAGGTGTGAACAAAATGCATTATGTTTGTCTGACATATTGAAAGTGGCTCATTTCATTCAAAGGTGTTGATTTATCTTTTTTTTCCCTCTCTTCTTCTCTTTTTAGTTCAGGTATAGTGCATGAAATAGTAGATGGTCAAATATTCTCCCTGGCAGTGCCCACATTCTATGACTTTTAAAATTTCCTTTCCTTACAGAACCCCACCTTAGCCAACTGGGCTTTGGAAAAGTGAAGGGTTAGTTCTTAGCCATTTGCAGTATGGAAACTCTAGTATGCCAAGCCTATAGCATTTCTTCTTTTATTCTCACTTAGTGCTTAGTGGTAAGGTGATAAGGTGGTAGGTCCTTCATATTTATAAAAAAATTAATCTGATAATCTAATTCTCAAAAGCCCAATATATAATACATTCCCAAGGGTTTAAAAAAATGTGGATCTATTAAAATCAAGAAGAAAAAAAAGTAGTATTATTTTGCCATACAATGCATGTTTATAAAACTACAAATCAATCTATATTGGATATAGAAAGCCTGTTAGCTTTTTGTGAAATGGCATAAATTAGGTTTTTTCAGTGATCCATTTGGCAAAATGTATAAAACTTGAAAACTACAAAATACTTAATTCTCTCTAGACCTGTGTACCCATTGTAGTGGAAGGAACTAGGGGGCTACTCTGTACTTAGTGAATCAAGTTTACCTGGTAAAATCAGGACAGAAATTAAGTTACAAAGGACGATTTTGTAAAGTATTTATGTCCTAAATATTTAGGTAGTGTATCACTTTTTTCTTCTAAACAACACTAACAATCTGTCTTTATGTCGCTTAGGCCCTTCCCAAGTTGCATTAAATGGATGAATAATGTATGATGTCATGCCTCAGTGATTCACATAGCTAAGCCCAGGTTAACATTCACTGCAAAGATTTGATTTTTTGTTTTTTAACATATTAGGGTCTAAGTGGGAAGATTCTTTATGTGGGTATTTTGAAAGACATTTTTTAAACAGACATTTTCATCGTGAGAATTAGAAGAGACAGGCTTGCTTTGTCTTATATGTTGAAGGCAGGAAGTTAATGCTGGGAGTGTTTGTAAGTCAATTGCCAGATAACCAGACCAGGGAGGAAAGACCACTGGGAGAGCTGTTCTTCTTTGATGAAAATAGCTGATAAAGTCACCTAATTTTGTACATGTTACTGACATGGAGAGGAGACAGAAAAATACCGGATAGAAGAGGATGGTTCCCTGGCAAAGGCCCCACCCTCAAGCCTGGAGGCCTACAGCCCTAAATGGGGACAGGCATTCCTGTTTTCACACCCAAAAAGTTGCCTTTTGGCCTGCCGTGCCCCCATCCTGTACCCATATAACCCTGAATCCCAGGCTCCAGAAGCTGATGAGCAGACAAGGAAACAAGCGGACAAACAGTGTGGCAGACAAAGAGAGAAGAGAAGGAACTCCTAAATGCAGAGAGGAGTTTGGCTAGTGGTGGTTGGAGAGGAGTTTGACAAAGGGACAGCCAAGCTCCAGAGGAAGATCATCTTCCCACTCCATCCTCCCTTCCAGCTCCCCATCTATCCCATTGAGAGCCACTTCCACCACTCAATAAAACCCCGCATTCATCCTTCAAGTCTGTGTGTGACCCGATTCTTCTGGGATGCTGGACAAAATCTTGGGATAAAGAAAGCTGTCACACTGGCCCTCTGCCTTTGCAGAAAGGCAGAGGGGGCACTGAGCTGGTTAACATTTAAGTCATCTGTGGATGGCAGAGCTAAAAGAGCATTGTAACACTGGGGTTGCAGGCACCCACCCCTAGACACTACTGTAGGGGTGGATCCCAAAGTGCTCACCCCAGCTCCTGCACTCCCCCTCTCACAAGGGGTTTGGGCTCCTGGCAGTTGAACAGAGAGCTGGACCCCTGTCACCCTGTGAGGGGGGCCAGGTAACTCTCTCGTCTCATTACCTGTATCCAGGGGCCAGATTCGGATCTCCTTATAAATCGTCATTATAATGTATCAGGTATCAGAACATTTCATACTTAAGAAACTCAGAAACATGAGTTCTGAGAAGGACAACATACTCTTACTAACATCTTCTGTTTCCACCTGGTAATTAGGGCCAAGAACAGCTACTGTATTCCTTAGAAGAGATGACATCCTAAAGTGATGAATACAACTCATGGTACAAATGGGAAGACAGAAGTTTCTTACCAGAGAAATATTTATTCAACTGACATTAACTGAGATGATCGGAAACTGCCTCTCATTTTAAGCCCCTTTGCAGGAAATAGACATGCTTCTTATTCCACCAAAGCCCACAGAAAAGGAAAACAGTTGTAGCTTGAGGGCAACTTTGAAAACAAAGACCAAATATTGACCCAATTGAAATTTGGCAGCTCCATTTCCCTGAAGGGCTTTCTCTGGGTCATGGATTAGGTGCTGTGGCTTTCCTTCCCTTTGCATGGTTCTGGCCCTGGCAGCACTGGGCCATAGCCTCCAGGGTTGGTAATTTGTCACTCTCCAGGATAACTCTATTTCAGAGGGATTGTCAAGTGGCCAGGAAGGCAGCAGGGCCACCCACTGCGACCTGATGTCCGAGCCTGAGAAGACCTGTTCCTCTTGGCCAGGCACTTCCCCTCCAGTCCCGTGGCTTTCGGACATCTTCAAAGAGACCCAGGATAAATGGTCCATATCTGGTTTTTCTCTAGTTCATATTGGCGCTGTACTCTGCTAAGCATGAGGTGGTTGTGTGAGAGTGAGAACTGGAGAAAGATGAGAAGTGGGTATTATGTGGATAGAGTGGCATTTTGTTTAAAAAGTAAAGGAAAATTTTGTGCACATTGTCTAGTCCAGTATTTCCAATTATTTTGTGTCTAATATTATTTG
This sequence comes from Homo sapiens, assembly GCF_000001405.40. Taxonomy (NCBI): domain Eukaryota; kingdom Metazoa; phylum Chordata; class Mammalia; order Primates; family Hominidae; genus Homo; species Homo sapiens. Next base: position 33,981,179 of record NC_000010.11, on the reverse strand, counting down.
GCTTCATGGATCTCTTTTTCTGTAGGTGCTTTTTGAAACCTATAGATGTACACACACACACACACACACATGCATGCACAAATTAAAATTAATTTTGCCCTGAGAAATCTGAGACTATTAAAAAACTAGAGTGGAGCCAATGATATCTTTTTTTAGTTCGTGCTTCATCAAGAAGTTTCTGTTGTTTGATTTTTGAGGACCATTTTCTACCACAAAATAAACATCAGGAGATGTTTTTCTCCTTCATGATGATTTTAACGCCAAACCCACTTTGTGTGGTTCCCTTTAATTCAAATACTTGCATTCTACAGAGAATAAAATTTTAATCTGTGGGATCTTCCTGGTGTCCAGGAATTTTGCTGATGATGACATATACTGTGGCAGGGAAAGTGATGAAGAGACACCCTCAGAGCATGGTGCATGGACTGTGTGCTGGCTGAAACACAGGGTATAAGGACTTGGGTTGAGGAATCAAAGTGCCTACTTTGGCTTTTAGCTAAAAGTACCATCTTCCAGGGGCAAGGAGAAAATGCGGTGATTATGGGATGATTTTTCAGAGTTGAAATCAAATTAAATGGTTTTTGGGAATGAGTCTTTTTGGCTTAAAAAGATTAAAAGGCATTTATTTTACTATAAAACACAAGTTTCGTTCCCCCTTTGAGTTAATTACTGGCTCTATCCTTTACAAAATGGACTACACTGCAATGGTATGGCAAAGCAAGCTGGATTTCTGTCACTGGTGTGGTAAACACGGTCCCCGTCCCCAATTGCAGACTAGCATAATGCTAAGTGCTACTTAAACGTGATCTAAGATGGGTTGATTTCATTGCTCTTAATCAGATGTCAGGAACCAGGAATAAACATAAAAATGAAGTTTGCCAGAGGAAAAAAAATCTGCCAGTTACCCTCAGTGAGGTGAAAATTGTCATCATTTAAAGCCATCTTCACTTACATATCACATTTCCAAAAAGGCTGCTTGGATTCTCATTCCCATTTTCCACGGGCCTCCAAAGACAGCTTTGAACCATATTTAATTGTTTGTTCTTACCCCCAGTCTTTGTCTTTTGCTTAAACTGCTTTCTGAAACTGATGATGCTAACACATGTTCACTTGTTCTGGTCTCTGCTTTCTTCCTGGATATAGTCTCCAAAAATTTGCTTCTCCTCTATATTTCAGACATTTTTCTTCCAACTGTTCTTACACACTAGCCAATGCTTTTTAACTAAAGTGACTTTAGAACGTTTCTTCTGCATTCAACAGATGGTATAGGACTATTGCCTTAGCTGTCTCTGTGGTTGGGTAGGGGGAGATGCATTTGCCGAAGGAGCAGGGGTAGAGGGAGGCAGAAGATTCTAGAGTCATGAAGAATGGTGTTGGGATCCTTGGGTGTGGGGGGAGAGGAGAAGGAGGTAAAATTGGAGAGAAAATGGATGGTTTAGTACTTATTTAGGCATTTTCTGTTTTAACCAACAGACTCACTCAAGATAGATGCCGACTAGAATTGGAGCCTTGGACTTGGAGATAGATCAAGGATCTGACGACTCTCTCTGCCCTCTTTGGATCAATGCAGTCTCTTTGTCATGATGTATTTCCTTGTTTTGTTCTATTCTACTTGGATACAAACTGACCGTTCTCTGTATGCCCAGTTTGAATCCCAAGAAAGCCACTTTGGTTAGCAATTTACTACTGACCCGGTTGGCCAGTGCTACACCTGGCACAAACCTGGGCCCTGGATGGACTGCCTGTGGGACGCCTCTGTCTGTCCTAACAATGTCTGTTCCCAGGCAAAGCACAGCATGAGAGCTGTGCTACTGAGCGGGAGTGGAGGCTGCAAGGGAGCTGCACATAGGAGTTAGCTGTGATGGGCTCCATTAATACCTCAACCCTATTCAGTTCTGTATGGATGCGTGATGTATTCAACAAAACAAAGAACTGAGAGAACACAGGCCTTAGAGTATTTTAATCAAAGGAGCAAACGTTGGAAATATTGGCAATGAAAGAGGTGAGGAATCTGTTGAGGCATCTTTCAGAAGAGGTAAAGATAGTTGGATGGACAGGTTGATATAGACCAAACTGGGGCTGAGTACTTAAGGCAAGTTTTAGAGGTCAAGAAAGGAGATGTATTTGGAGCAAGAAAGGGGCTTGGAGACCAGGAGCAAAGGGATGTACATTTTTCTCCACTTCTTTTTTGCAGTGCACATGGATAATTTGGTGTATACTGAATTCTTTGCCATGAATTCCCACAGGAGCAGGTGATTTCTTCTTGCCTTACAACAGTCTTTCACAGAAATATTGGAGAGAGAATATTTTTCCCTCTCAGTATCTCAAGGGCTTGAGGCTGCATTCTCTGCAGGAGATTGAGGAAGGGATGGAAGAGATTTTCATGGGTGGACCATTTTAATCCTTTTCCTTGGTACTGAGACTTGAGTCATCTCCATGACCTCTTAGCGGGTGGGTCTTTCTCTAGGTTGGAGCTGTGTTTCACACTGACTCCCTGACTTGCTCCCAAATCAGAAAAAATCTTTCCTAATGAAGAAGTACTAAAGCATTAACCAAGCTGCCACAGGTAACTAGAGTCATTGTTAGATACACAGTCAGTTTATTAATATACAAAACCCCTAGATCTTAATCTGAGTGCAACTTGAATTGGAAAAAAAAGGATTTGAGTTTGAAGATTATATGTCTTTTTGTCTCTGAAGAATATTCTGGGAATGATATTTGTGTAGAGAGAAGAAAAATATTTCATTAAAAATTTACTCTGTACATGAAAACTGAATTCCACATGAACAAAATATGATCTTTGCACAGTATATTATTTGCAGGCACTGACATTTCGGTTTCCTCAGAAACAGGTGAGCTTTGTTTTGTGCTCTATAGAGCCATATGTGCAGGTGGATTCTTAATAGGTGTTCTTTGGTGAGGAGCTCTCACTAAGTGTGTGACTGAATGGACTTACTTTCTCTATATTAAAATGCAGAGTTGTAATATGGGTAATTTTTACTCCCTCTCAATCAATTGATAAGTTGCTTTATATGTTCACAAGTATAATAATTTTCTGGGCATCTTAAGATGACTTGTGTGGTGTCTGGATTGAATCACTCACGTGGGAATGTGGGGTGAGATTGGCGCCCTTGAATAAATAATACACTTGCATTATTTTATTTTTCTATTTTGCATTAAAAAATCAGTACAGCTTTTATAAAACCTATTTTTGTCTTAAATGAAGCCAATTAAATTTTCAGCTAGGCCAATTCAATAGAAATGAGTTTGGAAAATATAATCAGCACAGAAAAAAGGAAGCTAAATGTGCATTCAGTCAAAAAAAAAAAAAACTTACATGTTTTTCTTGCTCTGCTGAGAGAGGCTATTGGGTAGGATATTCTTGGCATTTGTTCATTTAAAGATAAGGATAACTCCCTTCACGCAACCCTGAGAGCAGGATGCAGTGAGAATTTCATCAAAGGCTGTGCAATTCTGTAAACATGTTCTTGGGAGTTATAGAAATTCTTACCCATCCTCATATAATTTTGCATGCAACCTTCATGGAAGAGCCTCCTAATTTGTGTTGGATGAATGATGTCTTTTTCTAATTAGGCAGATGCTTCCATTTTAGCTGGGAATGAGAAGACAATGTCTAATTGAGCTCTTTTTTTTGTTGTTGTTTTGGTTTTTGGACAGTGTTAGAATTAGCCTTGGAATTTAGTCTCCTGATTGACTCGTGTTCTAATTAAAACCCAATTTGATTGATTCTGCTTGTGCCTTTCTATAGGAAACACAGAACGACGTCCCAGATTCGCAACATGTTGAAATCGCTGACTCCTTCTGATGCCCCTGATGTGTTCTGACATTCACAAGCGCTCCCCACAGGACCCCATCTGCACCAACGTGTGTGTTCTCTCAAGCTCCAACATGGATACATCATCCCACTTTACCTTTTATTATTCCTTTGTTGTAATATGTATTCAAATACAGTTACTGAACAGGATCTTATGGAGTAAATACGGCGGTATTGATAGTCTCCATTATCTCAATTTACAGAAGAGAGAAAAATCACTTCCAGAATCTGAGTAAGCCTAAGCTGCCCTTTATTTTTTTCCTTTGCCTTTAGCTTTGAAGGCTTGGAAAGTCCTATTATCCTAAAAGTTAAATTGGCTTGTCTAATGCATACAGATGGCAAAGCCTTGTGTTAGGTACAGCTGTCATTTTCATCTTCAAAAGAAAGGAGGGAAAGTATCATCAGCTCACCTGCAGCATCTAACTTAGAAAGGTGAGCATTGTGCAGACAGTAAGAAGGTCTAGCTGATGCAGTCGCATCTGCATAAAATAACAATTTTTTTTGGAAGAAAGGGTTCTCAGTGCCATCATCCCCTGACTTATTCCAAATACACTTTCAACTTTAGGAAAATAAAAACATATTTGTATCTCTGCTAAAGATATCATTACTTGAAAGCTTTCATGTTGGAGTAAGGCGTGATGTTTGTAGAATCACCTGGTTTGATTCTCATCCCAACTTTTTACATGAAATATACTGAGTTTGCATCCTCCGGGCCAAGATAGAATCAACCTGTCTCCTGAGTGCCCACCCATTTCTCTTAGAACATATCCAACCTTCCATTCTACCTCACGTTTATCTCTTTCTACCAAACTGTAAGCTTCTTACCTTGCCTTCTTATAGATTGTGAAATGTTTATTGAATAAATTCTTGGACTTTTATAAAGAGATAAAGCATTTCAGCAACATCTTCAAAAAATGCATATGCCGACCTATTTGATTTAGTATGTATGCAGTGAGGCCAGGTGTGGTGGCTCCTGTCTGTAATCCCAGCGCTTTGGGAGGCAGAAGTGGGAGGATCACTTGAGGCCAGGAGTTCAAGATCAGCCTGGGCAACATAGGAAGACCCTGTCTCTACAAAATAATAATAATAATAATAATAAATAAATAATAAAAACTAGCTAGGCATGGTGGTATGTGCCTGTGATCTTAGCTACCCAGGCTGAGGAGGGAGGGATTCCTTCAGCCTGGGAATTTGAGATTTTCATTCTGTGAGCTATGACTGTGCCACTGCACTCCAGTCTGGGTGACAGAGTAAGACTCTGTCTTGGGAAAAATAAAACAAAACATATATATGTATATATATATATGCAGTGAAGCTATCCACATGAGCCTGACTTCTTATTGTAAAGATCTAATAGATTCATAGCTTCAGATATAATCCAAGGTTGTGCATTTTTCATTAGATCATGCAAATGAGGTGAACAGAGAAATGATTACACTTCAGCTTACGGAGGGAAGAGATGCTCACTTAGCAAGTACCTCCACCAGCAGATTGCTGAACATTCTCTGAGTTTATTTTACAGTGTGCGTAGGCCCACTTTGCTGGAGAAAGGCAACTGAGAAGAGCTTTGCCAGAAATCTGGAATAAGGCTTGCATTGTTGCCATAGAGGGGACTTTCTTTTTGAGCATCGTGTAGATCTGTTTTGGCTATTTTTCAAGCCTACATTTATGCCTGGGTCAGTAACAGGAAAGAAATCTGTTATTAATTACTACAATTTGAAAAGAAGTTAAAATTGATCTCTCACAATCTGACTTGGCAGGAGAAAGACATTTACCACTCAAAATTTTGGAACTTGCCTTAGCACCAACATTATCTGCTGACCGTAGTGGGAAGTCTTTTTTGTAGAAAAACATTCAGTTCTATACAATTACTATGTGACAGAAAAGATAGTGTAAAAAGATTTTTTAAAAATCTGTAAACAGAATCCTGTTTTACTGTGTTTAATAAATGGTCCTCTGTAAAAGAGTCAAGTCCTACGGTATAGTAACATTTCACTTGCCTGTAAACTTGGATTGCCAAATATCAATTTTACCTTGAAGTGACATGCTCCTGTATAAGAAGATAAATAGCTGTTTGGTTACAGACAGCAGAATTAAGTAATTTCAGCAAATGAATTACCATATTGACCTTGTGTAGACCTGGCATGACAGCTTGCCAAGATGGGCCATTGCCAAGTTCCTGTCTCATTTTTGTGATGTAAACCCCACCTTTTCTTCTGATTTATGGTCGACTTGCTTTGATAAAACAGATTGTTTGAATTATATTTAATCGAATGTTCATTTCTTCTACTTTTTCTTTAAGTGTGGGTAACTCCAAAAATCCAGTAGTCTGCTGGAGGGTGAAGCCTAAAGGATATTCATTCTCGATCATGGACATAGGCTCAAATAAACAGTAATGTACCACTTGGGAGGTTGGAATGATGGTCTCTGGGTTCCCTTCCTGCCCTATGGTGCTGATCCTATATATTTCAGAAGAAATGGAAAATTCATCCATACCTAGGTCTTGTCCTAGACATTCACAGGAGCCCAGCATCCCCTGATCACTCTTAGAGCCACCATCATCCTATCTGTGTGGGCAGGGAGGTGGAAATGCTTCATGGGAGCACAGATACTTGAATCTGCTTGTAAAGCTGTTGCTGTCTAAGTTGCCAGACAGACAAGCATGAGCAGAAACCTTCCTAAGATAATACTACGCTCTTCTCAGAATCCTGTCTGCCCCTGAACTCTCTCTACATTTTGTTTAAACCTTCACTATAGCATTTCCCATAACTTGCTTTGGATTAGAGTTATCTTTGTAGATATCTGTCTACCTGTCCTTTCCAAGAGCCTTTGCACTTTCATAGGGTGGGAGCCAGGTTTCACTCTTCTCTTCATTCCTCAGAGATTCTAGGTCAGTGTTTCATGTGGAGCAGGCACTCTGTAAATGCTGAACAGGTTTTCATTTTGCTAATACTTCCTTAATTTTTTTCCCAAAGCTTTCTAAAAAATTGTTGGAAATATATAATATTGTCATTATTATTGCATTTCTAAAAAGATAACATGTCAGGAACACAAGCTGATTTAATGTTTCTCAGTAAATATTTATTTCCTATTTCAACTGCGTAGTAGGGCATGAAGTCAAGAACCATGTTCTTCTGGCTTCTGAATTCTCCAGCACGTTGCATGGTTTCTGGCAAATGGTGGCCCTTCCAGACACATTGGTTGAATAGATAAAAGAATTAAGATGTGCTATGTGCCAGGCATTGTACCGGGAATACATAAAATGGGTCCCACTCTAAAGGAATTTGCCAGGTGATGACAAGCGTGTCAATATCTGGGGTTTGTTTAGAGCTTTACCTTATCTTTGTGTAGTGCTTCTATTAAAAGGTGCTTTCAGTTACATGATTTCATTTAATCTCACAATCCAGTGGGGTGGTTAGTGCAGTAATTTATTCTTCTTGTTAAAAGTTTTAGCTTCTTTTCCTCTTTTCCTTAAATACAGATGTTTTCCTTATTGTTTCCAAGTATCTTTTCACAATTTGTAAAAAATGTACTTATAATTTATTTTGTGAGTACATAGTAGGTGCATATATTTATGGGGTTCATGAGATGTTTGGATACAGGCATGCAATGTGAAATAAGCACATCATGGAGAATGGGGTATCCATCCCCTCAAGCATTTATCCTTTACATTACAAATAATCCAATTACACTCTTTTAATTATTTTAAAACGTACAATTATTATATTTCCAAGTATTTTTATTATAAAAGCCTGAGGAATAGAAAAAAGGCAAGACTTATACCTATATATCTGTGTGTATGTATAATGTATATACACACACACATACACTTTCTCTATTTTACCTTCAGGCCTTTGTTCTGATGCCAGTTTTGTATTTAATATAAATATCTATCATACCCACAGAATTCCAGTCTTTGTCAGAGGCTTTGGTGAACATAAAATCAAATAAGGAAGTTTCTGTTCTCAATCTTACAATTAAATAAGGGAGTTAAAATTGAACCTATAATTACAATAGAAACCTAGGGTCCAATGACATTGGAGAAGAAACAACACTTTTTATAGAAACTAAATGGCTGTAAAGTGAGACAGGGTGAAAACTAGGGAAATCTAATCTTGAAGGCCAAGAAAGCAGAGTTTCAAGTATCAAGAATATTAAGGTCAACCCTTCCCTCACACCATATACAAAATTTAGCTCATAATGGATTATTGCCTTAAATGTAAGAGCAATGTAATTTGAGGTCATGAAAATTTCCCCCTACTTTTTCTTATGAGAGTGTTATTGTTTTATAACTATAACACTTATAAGGGTGTTATAACTATAACTAAAACTATAGTTTTATAAATATAACACTCTTATAAGAAAAAGTAGAGGAAAATCTTGATAACCTCAGATTAGATGGTGTTTTTTAGATATAATACCAAAGCACAAATAATAAAAGAGAAAATAGGTAAATTAGACTAATCAAAATCAAACATTTTTGTTCTTAAAAGGACACCATTGAGAAAGTGAAACTAGAACCCATAGAATAGGAGGAAAAATTCGCAAATTATTTATTTGACAATAAACTACATAAAAAATACATAAAGGATCTCATAAATTAATTAAAAAAGATTTAAAAAGTTGTTCAACATCATTAGTCATCGGGAAAATGAAAATTAAAACCACTATGAGATACTATGTTATTCTCACCTGGCTATAATAAAAAAGACAGATAATAACAAGTGTTGATGAGGATGTGGAGAAATTGGAAACCTCGTATGCTTCTGGTCAGAACACATAATAGTGCAACCCCTTTGGAAAATAGTCTGGCAGTTCTTTAAAAAGTTTGAGTTTCAAGTTACCATGTGACCCAGCAATTTCACTACTAGGTATATACTCAGCATAAAATAAAACATATGTCCACAGAAAAATCTCTGCAACAAATGTTCACAGCAGCATTATTCATAATAGCCAAAAGGTGGAAATAATCCAAATATCGACCAATTGATGAATGGATAAATAATATGTGGTATATTCATACAACAGAATGTTATTTGTCTATGAAAAAGAATGAAGTGGTGAGCTTTAGCACAATATGGATGAACCTTGAAAACATTGTGCTAAGTAAAAAGTAGTCACAGAAAACACACACATTGTATGATTTATTATTCCATTTATATGAAACATGAATAGGTAAAACTGTACCAACAGAAAGTAGATTCATAATTGCTTAGGGCTGGGGAGGGGTATGAAGGGAATGAGGGTGAATGTTAAAGAGTTTAGGCTTTTTTTGGGAGTGATGAAAATGTTCTAAAATTGACTGTGGTGATGACTGCATAACTCTGAGTATACTAAAACAAATACTGAATTGGGCACTTTGAATGGATTAATTTATGGTATGTAAATTGTATCTCAATAAAGCTGTTTCCCAAAACAAAAACAAAAACCCCAACCCAACAAAAGAAAGTATATCCACGTCTACAGAATAGTCAATGCAATGAAGACTGAAGTTTATCCATTGAGCTGAGCAACAAAATGGTCACTTGGTAATCTTGGAGAGCAGTTTTGGGGGGAAAGGTGGGACTTGAGACATTGATGAATGAAAAAGAGGTTAAAAACTGGGACCACGTGTTGGTAATTATTTTAGGTAGCTTGGCTCTGGAAGGAAAATCAAAGACTGGCAGCTGGAATGGACATGAGGCAAACACATCCTTTTTGAGATGACAGCAAATGAGTGGTTCTGAGGCTGACAAAAAAGATTGAAGCTACAATGGTTAGTGATTGACAGAGGAGCGTCCTGGGGAATGGGACATGAGGGCCTCAAAAATAAGGGATAAATTTGAGACAGAAGAAGGACCCTGCTTATGATCAGTCAGCAAGGAAGCGGGAAGGAGAATATTGATGAATAGAAGGGTGTGGGTTTTTTTTTTTTTTTTTTTCTGAAATAATTAGGAATTGGAACATCTCAGAATGTGAGCAGGGAGCACTGGGCTCAGCTGAGACTGGAAATCATGACTCAATACCAGTGTGTGTGGCTGGGTCCATCTCTTCAGCAGCCCAAAAGTAGAATCAGAGAACTCTGGTGTTTGGGTCAGTGCAAGGGTGATGTTTCACAGAACAGGAGGGAAGGAGGTCGAGAGAAAACCAAAGGAGCATGGAGAATGCAGAGTGTACTGCTTGAAGGGGGAAAAAAATGTGAGGAAGGAAAGGAATTGGTTAGGGAGTAAAAGGGAGTAATTAAGGGACTGGCGGTAGAAATAAGTTTAAAGAATGGTGTATGGGGTGTAAGAATGTAGGAGAACTGTAATAATAACTCACTTAGCAAATGGGATACTGGATTTTAAGGTTTATAAGACAGAAAAATTCTGATTAGTAAGAACCAGAGTGATTTTAGAAGTAGGTTGCTACATAGAAAGGCGTATCACTGGAATTCCCAAAATCAGACATCCATAGACCATGTTGGCAGATGCATCTTGCATTAGGACAATTATCCCATCCGGGAACACTGAGTAAAAGTAGGGTGGAGAGAAATGTGTTCACTCAGGTGCCAAAATGCTCCATGAATGTGTGGGAATCACTGAAAAAATTAGCAGATAGCAAAGACTAGAAAGGACAGAATAGTCATGCTGTTTATGCCATCTATCTATTTAATTTACTCTCCTAATATTACAAATGTTTTCCTTGGCTGGGCATGGTGGCTCATACCTGTAATCCCAGCACTTTGGAAAGCTGAGGTGGGTGGATCACTTGAGGTCAGGAGTTCGAGATCAGCCTGGCCAACGTGGTAAAACCCCATCTCTACTAAAAATACAAAAATTAGCCAGGTGTGGTGGCAGGCGCCTGCAATCCCAGCTACTAGGGAGGTTGAGGCAGGAAAATTGCTTCAACCCAGGAGGTGGAGGTTGCAATGAGCCAGGATCATGCCACTGTTCTCCAGCCTGGGAGACAAGAGCGAAATTCCATCTCCAAAATAATAATAATAATAATAAAACACATGTTATTGTTATTATCTATTTTATAAATGTTACTTTTATAACTGATATATGTATGTTTGCAACATAATGTGTGTACCCTCTGTCACATTTAAATTGTTTCCAATTTTTTACTGTTAAATGTAATTTTGTCTCATTTATAATTGCATGCGTATTTGCAAACAAATTTGAAGGCACTTTTTGAATTCAAATAATAGCTTTGCTTTTTATTTAACAACTGATCAAATTGAGTCTAATTATTTTGTGACTGGTTAAATTAATTTAATTTCAAGCATTCAAGAATTAGAATCTGCCCTGGTTACAGATTCTCAGTCCACTAAGAGAAAGTAGTACAGAGATATATCTGAGTGACATGTCTTCAGTACTTCAGAAGGAGCAATTGGTATTTTTCTTATTTCTAAATTGACAATAAAGGTTTTTTTTTTGTTTTTTTTTTTCACTGAAGTCCAGGAAATCTGCCAGATCTGGTCAGTGAGGTAATCCAAGCTGTAAATTAGAACTTCAGGCACAAATATGTCTGAGTATGTAATAGCTATTGGGAGTAATGTGTGATTAATGATTATGTATTGATGATAAATGTTAGGAGTAAATTTTTAAGTTCATTACTGAAAAAACTCAGATTTGGTTTTGGTGTCCCTAAGAGGTGTGTGAGTCCAGAAATCTTAGGAAATCAATGAAAACCCAGGTTTCAAGGTGGAAGCAGAAAGTAGTGAGAGAAGGAGAAATTTATGTCAGAAGATAAACTGCTGAGATTATCAGGAAGAAATCCTCAACTGGACATCAGAGAAGGAGGTCCTTTGTGGCTTCATATTGCAGGAAAAGAGAGAGAGAATTAGCAGAAGGTTGACCTGCTCTGGTAGTAAAAAAGGATACAATTATGTAAAAAAAGACACAACCTGTACTGCTAACCTGCTATGTGCCAGGCATATTAATAGATTGTTTTATCCCCACAATGACTATGTATGTATGTGTATTCTCATCAGTTAGGATTAGGTTTGACTGCCTATAAGGGAAAACTCAAAACAATGCTGGCTTCACTACACTGTCAGCTAAAGCAGTGTGAATGAGTCAGTCCCATGCAGATGTGACAGTTCCATGCTATCACAAGGGTCCCAGGCACCAGCTTTTCTTTACCGATATTTTCAGAGTATGACTTCATTTCAAGATCCCAAAATGACTGCTGGAGCTCCAGCCATCACATCTGCATTCCAAGCATCAGGAAGGAGATGTATTAAGCCATTCTCACATTGGTATAAAGAAATACCTGAGACTGGGTAATGTAAAAGAAAAGAGGTTGGCTCATGGTTCTGCAGGCTGTATAGGAAGCATGGTGGCACCTGCTTCTGGGGGTGCCTCAGGGAACTTTTACTCATGATGGAAGGCAAAGTGGGAGCTGGAAATTCATATGGAGAAAGCAGGAGCAAGAGAGAGTGAGGGGGGAGGTGCCACACACTTTGAAATGGACAGATCTCATGAGAACTCGCTCACTAATCGTGAGGGCAGTACCAAGGTGGTTGGTGCTATACCATTCATGAGAAACCCGACCCATGATCCAATCACCTCCCACCAGGCCCCACTTCCAACACTGGGGATTCCACTTTGACATGAGATTTGGTGGGGACACCATGGTTTGACAGGTCCAAACCATGTCAGGAGGGAGTACAAAAGGGGTTTTCTCCAACTATCCCTGCTTTTAAGTCTTTCTAGAAGTTCCATAACAATTTTTCCTGACATCTTATGATTAAGTTCTGATACAGAAGGCCACATCTAGTTGCATGGGAAACAAACTTTGTCATAAATTGACTAGGTACAGTACCTTCCTATATGGTAGTAAGGAAGAAGGGCAGAACTAATTTTGGGTAGTTACCATTCTCTACACAATAGTCTTACTTTCAATTTTGTATTTGTAGATAGTAGGGCTTAATACATTAGCTCAGGGCACATGGCTATTAAGTGGACATATCAGGATTAGAACACAAGCCTGTAAGACTTTAGAGCAAAGTCTCTGTTCTATTTTTTTTTTTTTTTTGAGACAGAGTCTCACTCTTTCACCCAGGTTGGAGGGCAGTGGCACAATCACAGCTCACTGCAGCCTCTGCCTCCTGGGTTCAAGTGAATCTCATGCCTCAGCCTCCCAAGTAGCTGAGACTACAGATGTGCGCCACCACACCCAGCTAATTTTTGTATTTTTACTAGAGATGGGTTTTTGCCATGTTGCCCAGGCTGGTCTTGAACTCCTGACCTCAGGTGATCCTCCCACCTCGGCCTCCCAAACTGCTGAGATTACAGGTGTGAGCCACTGCACATGGCCCAAGTCTCTGTTCTTCATGAGGCATTGACTCTCAACAGAGGATGGTCTTTTCCTAGACCGGGCAGATGACAGGTCCATGAACTGAAAGTCAGATTTCGAAAGGTTATGCCTTGGAGCCAACAGATCATTATCTGGTTTTTATCTCCTCACATAGATAAAGTTAGATTCTGGCCTGCATACCAAACCATTTTTCATCTTCAAAATAGTCTTGCTTTTTAGTCTTTGCACAATTCCATTTCTAGGAATTTCACGTATGGAAATAATTAAAACTGGTGCAAAGATTTATGGACTAGGATGTTCACTGAATCCTTATTTATAACAGTAGAAAATTGAAAATAACCAAAATGCCCAACAAAGGAAATTGGTTAAATTACAGAATACTAGAACATCCATATGGTGGAACACATTGCAACCATTAGAAATCATGTTCTTCAAGAATATTTAAGGGCACGTATGACAAAGCTAATCAGTTATGCTTAAAAAGATTAACAATAGTAATCACTGTGATCCCAATTTTATAATTTACATATGTAAAAGAACACATAGAAACCAGGAAGAATAAGCAGCAAAAAGTTAACGGCAGTTCTCTTGTAGATGATGGGATTATTAATTATTGTATTTTTTATTTATGCTTTTCTGAATTTTCCAAATTTCTATAATGAATATGCATTACTTTTGTAATCAGAAAGAGCTCACAAGTGTCATTGGAATATATGCTTTCTCCTTAGGAAAGCAGTCTTTGTTATTCTCAAGATGACTGGCATGGATGTTCAGCACCATCAAAGAGCTAGCATGAAGACGGCTACAGCAGATTGACTTCAATAAATATTTATCGAGTGCGGGTTATGTAAAAGCCACTCTTCTGGGAACTGGGGGAGTGACTTGGGCAAAGGGTGTGAACTACGAAGATGAGTAAGTCATGGTTCCTGTCTCCAGTGAGGTCTTTCTCTAAGAAGGGCTGTGCTTGGAAGGTGATAGTCATAGGAAAGGACTTCAGGCCCTTGTGGGGTCACAGCCATGGCTGAAAGGCCATGAACTCAGGCCATGTTTAGGAATGCAGTAAAAGTGTAATCTAGTTATCAACAGTGCACATTTCCCATGTGCCTGGATGTGAGGCATGGGGCATGCAGATTGAGCTCAACTTGGGCTGTTCATCAGCAGGGCTACCCACCTGCTCTCCCTATGGGGGTCGTAGAGCTTTGATAGTGAGAATCAACCCCCACAAATAAGGGAGCCACCTTAACTGCAGACAGCAATGAACAAAGGATGGAACCCAGGAATGCAATGAGAATTGCATGTAGTTTCCATATGGTTAAAATGTCATCTAGGCAACAAATGAATTTATCTGCGTTCCAATCCTGGTAGCACCATTTATCAGGAGTTTGGCAAAAGAAAGAAAGAAGAAAGAAAGGAAGAAAGGAAGGAAGGAAGGAAGGAAGGAAGGAAGGAAGGAAGGAAGGAAGAAAGAAAGAAGGAAGAAAGAAAGAAAGAAAAGGAAAGAAAGAAAGAAAGAAAAGGAAAGAAAGAAAGAAAGAAAGATTGATTCAATTTCTTCTTAGTTGGAATTGGTGAGAATGCTGAGTTTAGTTTGGGTAGGAGAACAGGTTCTGTTAGAATCTGGGCCGTATTTCTCCTTCTATGAGACCACTTCTTTGTTCTTCTGTGGGTCTTGCGCAATTCTGCCCTTGGCCCTGGCATGTGTCCTTTGAGTCCATAGAGCCAGGCCCTGAAAAGCAGTTGGGGGAAATCCTCATCCTCCACTTCTGCTCCTGCTCCTAGTTCACACTAAGGACCGAATCTGCAAAAAGGCACTCAGGGAGGCTTTGTTTCCCTGTGCACTCTATATGTCCCCTGCCATCAGTGACTATGGCCTAGGAACAACTTCCTTATTTGCTAGGTCCTGTGGCTTTCACGTTCTCTGTGAGCATTCTCTAGGTATATGCCCACAACTTCTGTGGTTTTACATTATGCTTTGGTATAGGGGAGATTTGAAAGCACCTTTGAGTGGATGAATAAATCCCTTACTGGGTCAGAGTGGAAAGGTATCGACCAATGGAGAGAGGCATCATGCATCCTGCCTGGCTGTAGCAGTAGGACCTAGAGACAGGTGGTGAAAACAGGGTGGTGGGGCGAATGGTTAACCTTATTGCTTCCAACATCAAGGGGATGACACATTGACACACACTTCCTTTTTAAGATCTTTTTTTTATGTGATCTGGTTTCAGGAAATAGTACACCTGGTCTAGCACACCTGTCTTTTAAAATTATTATTTAAAACAATTTAGTCAACTCACTCCCCTGTTCAATACCTTTTTCCTCTAAAAATAAATCGATCACCCTTTGAACCCTTTCCTTCCATCCTTTCTTCCAGGAAATTAGACCATCTGT